>NC_000023.11:59064933-59364933 GCF_000001405.40 Homo sapiens | reverse complement strand
CTGAGAACGCTTCTCTTTAGTTTTTACGTGAACATATACCCGTTTCGAACGAAGGCCACCCAGAGGTCCAAATATCCACTTGCAGATTCTACAGAAAGAGTGTTTCCAACCTGAACTCTCAAAGGCAGGTTCATCTCTGCGAGTTCAATACATTCATCATGAAGAACTTTCTCAGAGTGTTTGTGTTTAGGTATGGGAAATTATTCCCGTTTCCAACGAAATCCTCAGAGAGGTCCAAATATCCACCTGCAGATTCTACCAAAAGTGTATTTGGAAACTGCTCCATCAAAAGGCATGTTCAGCTCTGTGAGTGAAACTCCATCATCACAAAGAATATTCTGAGAATGCTTCCGTTTGCCTTTTATATGAAGTTCCTTCCTATACTACCGTAGGCCTCAAAGCAGTCCAAATCTCCATTTGCAGATTCTACAAAAAGAGTGATTCCAATCTGCTCTATCAATAGGATTGTTCAACTCCATGAGTTGAATGCCATCCTCACAAAGTCGTTTCTGAGAATGCTTCTATCTAGTTTTTATGTGAAGATATTTCCTTTTCCACCACAGGCCTCAAAGCCCTCCAAACGTCCACTTGCAGATTCTCGAAAAAGAGTGTTTCATAGCTGCTCTTTCAAAAGGAAAGTTCAACTCTGGGAGTTGAATACAAACATCACAAAGTAGTTTCCGAGAATGCTTCTGTTTAGTTTTTATGTGAAGATGATCCCGTTTCCAGTGAAATCTTCAAAGAGGTCCACATATCCCCTTGCAGATTCCAAAGAAAGAGGGTTTCAAAACTGCTCCATCAGAAGGATTGTTCATCTCTGTGAGTTGAATGCAGTCATCGCAGAAAACTTTCTGAGAATGCTTCTGTCTAGGTTTGATGTGAAGATATAGACGTTTCAAACGAAGGCTACAAAGTGGTCAAAATATACACTTGCAGATTCTACTACAAGGGTGTTGCAAACCTGAACTATCAAAGGAAGGTTCAACTCTGTGAGTTGAATACAAACATCACAAAGAATGTTCTGAGTTTGCTTCCGTTCAGTTATGGGAAGTTGATCCCGTTTCCAACGAAATCCTCAGAGAGGTCCAAATATCCCCTTGCAGATTCTACAAAACGTGTGTTTGGAAACTGCTCCAACATAACGAATGTTCAGCTCCCCGAGTTAAACTCCATCGTCACAAAGAATTTTCTGAGAGTGCTACCGTCTGGTTTTTATATGAAGTTCTTTCCTTCACTACCACAGGCCTCAAAGCGGTCCAAATCTCCACTTGCAGATTCTACAAAAAGAGTGTTTGCAAACTGCTCTATCAAAAGGAATGTTCAACTCTGGGAGTTGAATGCAATCATCACAGAGCAGTTTCTGAGAATGCTTCTATGTCGTTTTTAGGAGAAGATATTTCCTTTTCCAACACAGTCCTCCAAGCCCGCTAAATAGCCACTTGCACATTGTAGAAAACGTGTGTCAAAGCTGCGCTATCAAAGGGAAAGTTCAACTCTGTGAGGTGAATGCAAACATCCCAAAGAAGTTTCTGAGAATGCTTCCGTTTAGCTTTTAGGTGAAGATTATCCCGTTTCCAACGAAACCTTCAAAGAGGTCCAAATATCCCCTTGCGGATCCCACAGAAAGAGTGTTTCGAAACTGCTGTTTCAAAAGGAATCTTCAACTCTGTGAGTTGAATGCAATCATCACAAAGAAGTTTCTGACAATGCTTCTCTCTCGTCTTTCTGTGAAGATAAAGGAAAAGGCTTTCAGGCCTTTTCCACCACAGGCCTGAAAGCGCTCCAAATGTCCACTTGCAGATTCTGCCAAAAGAATATTTCAAAACTGCTCTATGAAAAGCAATGTTAAACTCTGTGGCTGGAACACAAACATCACAAAGCGGTTTCTGAGAATGTTTCAGTTTAGTTTTTCTGTGGAAATATTCCCGTTTCCAAAGAAATCTTCAAAGAGGTCCACGTATCCACTTACAGATTCTACAAAAAGACAGTTTCAAAACTGCTCCATCAAAAGGAGGGTTCAACCGTGTGACTTGAATGCAATCATCACTCAGAAGTTTCTGAGAATGCTTCTCTTTAGTTTTTACGTGAACATATACCCGTTTCGAACGAAGGCCACCCAGTGGTCCAAATATCCACTTGCAGATTATACAGAAAGAGTGTTTCGAACCTGAACTCTCAAAGGCAGGTTCATCTCTGCGAGTTAAATGCATTCATCATGAAGAACTTTCTCAGCGTGTTTGTGTTTAGTTATGGGAAATTATTCCCGTTTCCAACGAAATCCTCAGAGAGCTCCAAATATCCACCTGCAGATTCTACCAAAAGTGTATTTGGAAACTGCTCCATCAAAAGGCATGTTCAGCTCTGTGAGTGAAACTCCATCATCACAAAGAATATTCTGAGAATGCTTCCGTTTGCTTTTTTATGAATTTCCTTCCTATACTACCGTAGGCCTCAAAGCAGTCCAAATCTCCATTTGCAGATTCTACAAAAAGAGTGTTTCCAATCTGCTCTATCAATAGGATTGTTCAACTCCGTGAGTTGAATGCCATCGTCACAAATTAATTTCTGAGAATGCTTCTATCTAGTTTTTATGTGAAGATATTTCCTTTTCCACCACAGGCCTCAAAGCCCTCCAAACGTCCACTTGTAGATTCTCCAAAAAGAGTGTTTCATAGCTGCTCTTTCAAAAGGAATGTTCAACTCTGGCAGTTGAATGCAAACATCACAAAGTAGTTTCCGAGAATGCTTCCTGTTTAGTTTTTATGTGAAGATGATCCCGTTTCCAGTGAAATCTTCAAAGAGGTCCACATATCCCCTTGCAGATTCCAAAGAAAGAGGGTTTCAAAACTGCTCCATCAGAAGGATTGTTCAACTCTGTGAGTTGAATGCAGTCATCGCAGAAAACTTTCTGAGAATGCTTCTGTCTAGGTTTGATGTGAAGATATAGACGTTTCAAACGAAGGCTACAAAGTGGTCAAAATATACACTTGCAGATTCTACTACAAGGGTGTTGCAAACCTGAACTATCAAAGGAAGGTTCAACTCTGTGAGTTGAATACAAACATCACAAAGAATGTTCTGAGTTTGCTTCCGTTCAGTTATGGGAAGTTGATCCCGTTTCCAACGAAATCCTCAGAGAGGTCCAAATATCCCCTTGCAGATTCTACAAAACGTGTGTTTGGAAACTGCTCCATCATAACGAATGTTCAGCTCCCTGAGTTAAACTCCATCGTCACAAAGAATTTTCTGAGAGTGCTACCGTCTGGTTTTTATATGAAGTTCTTTCCTTCACTACCACAGGCCTCAAAGCGGTCCAAATCTCCACTTGCAGATTCTACAAAAAGAGTGTTTGCAAACTGCTCTATCAAAAGGAATGTTCAACTCTGGGAGTTGAATGCAATCATCACAGAGCAGTTTCTGAGAATGCTTCTATGTCGTTTTTAGGAGAAGATATTTCCTTTTCCAACACAGTCCTCCAAGCCCGCTAAATATCCACTTGCACATTGTAGAAAAAGTGTGTCGAAGCTGCGCTATCAAAGGGAAAATTCAACTCTCTGAGGTGAATGCAAACATCCAAAAGAAGTTTCTGAGAATGCTTCCCGTTTAGCTTTTAGGTGAGGATTATCCCGTTTCCAACGAAACCTTCAAAGAGGTCCAAATATCCCCTTGCGGATCCCACAGAAAGAGTGTTTCGAAACTGCTGTTTCAAAAGGAATCTTCAACTCTGTGAGTTGAATGCAATCATCACAAAGAAGTTTCTGACAATGCTTCTCTCTCGTCTTTCTGTGAAGATAAAGGAAAAGGCTTTCAGGCCTTTTCCAACCACAGGCCTGAAAGCGCTCCAAATGTCCACTTGCAGATTCTGCGAAAAGAATATTTCAAAACTGCTCTATGAAAAGCAATGTTAAACTCTGTGGCTCGAACACAAACATCACAAAGCAGTTTCTGAGAATGCTTCAGTTTAGTTTTTCTGTGGAAATATTCCCGTTTCCAAAGAAATCTTCAAAGAGGTCCACGTATCCACTTACAGATTCTACAAAAAGACAGTTTCAAAACTGCTCCATCAAAAGGAGGGTTCAACTGTGTGACTTGAATGCAATCATCACTCAGAAGTTTCTGAGAATGCTTCTCTTTAGTTTTTACGTGAACATATACCCGTTTCGAACGAAGGCCACCCAGTGGTCCAAATATCCACTTGCAGATTCTACAGAAAGAGTGTTTCGAACCTGAACTCTCAAAGGCAGGTTCATCTCTGCGAGTTAAATGCATTCATCATGAAGAACTTTCTCAGAGTGTTTGTGTTTAGTTATGGGAAATTATTCCCGTTTCCAACGAAATCCTCAGAGAGCTCCAAATATCCACCTGCAGATTCTACCAAAAGTGTATTTGGAAACTGCTCCATCAAAAGGCATGTTCAGCTCTGTGAGTGAAACTCCATCATCACAAAGAATATTCTGAGAATGCTTCCGTTTGCCTTTTATATGAAGTTCCTTCCTGTACTACTGTAGGCCTCAAAGCAGTCCAAATCTCCATTTGCAGATTCTACAAAAAGAGTGATTCCAATCTGCTCTATCAATAGGATTGTTCAACTCCATGAGTTGAATGCCATCCTCACAAAGTAGTTTCTGAGAATGCTTCTATCTAGTTTTTATGTGAAGGTATTTCCTTTTCCACCACAGGCCTCCAAGCCCTCCAAACGTCCACTTGCAGATTCTCGAAAAAGAGTGTTTCATAGCTGCTCTTTCAAAAGGAAAGTTCAACTCTGGGAGTTGAATACAAACATCACAAAGTAGTTTCCGAGAATGCTTCTGTTTAGTTTTTATGTGAAGATGATCCCGTTTCCAGTGAAATCTTCAAAGAGGTCCACATATCCCCTTGCAGATTCCAAAGAAAGAGGGTTTCAAAACTGCTCCATCAGAAGGATTGTTCAACTCTGTGAGTTGAATGCAGTCATCGCAGAAAACTTTCTGAGAATGCTTCTGTCTAGGTTTGCTGTGAAGATATAGACGTTTCAAATGAAGGCTACAAAGTGGTCAAAATATACACTTGCAGATTCTACTACAAGGGTGTTGCAAACCTGAACTATCAAAGGAAGGTTCAACTCTGTGAGTTGAATACAAACATCACAAAGAATGTTCTGAGTTTGCTTCCGTTCAGTTATGGGAAGTTGATCCCGTTTCCAACGAAATCCTCAGAGAGGTCCAAATATCCCCTCGCAGATTCTACAAAACGTGTGTTTGGAAACTGCTCCATCATAACGAATGTTCAGCTCCCTGAGTTAAACTCCATCGTCACAAAGAATTTTCTGAGAGTGCTACCGTCTGGTTTTTATATGAAGTTCTTTCCTTCACTACCACAGGCCTCAAAGCGGTCCAAATCTCCACTTGCAGATTCTACAAAAAGAGTGTTTGCAAACTGCTCTATCAAAAGGAATGTTCAACTCTGGGAGTTGAATGCAATCATCACAGAGCAGTTTCTGAGAATGCTTCTATGTCGTTTTTAGGAGAAGATATTTCCTTTTCCAACACAGTCCTCCAAGCCCGCTAAATAGCCACTTGCACGTTGTAGAAAAAGTGTGTCAAAGCTGCGCTATCAAAGGGAAAGTTCAACTCTGTGAGGTGAATGCAAACATCCCAAAGAAGTTTCTGAGAATGCTTCCGTTTAGCTTTTAGGTGAAGATTATCCCGTTTCCAACGAAACCTTCAAAGAGGTCCAAATATCCCCTTGCGGATCCCACAGAAAGAGTGTTTCGAAACTGCTGTTTCAAAAGGAATCTTCAACTCTGTGAGTTGAATGCAATCATCACAAAGAAGTTTCTGACAATGCTTCTCTCTCGTCTTTCTGTGAAGATAAAGGAAAAGGCTTTCAGGCCTTTTCCACCACAGGCCTGAAAGCGCTCCAAATGTCCACTTGCAGATTCTGCGAAAAGAATATTTCAAAACTGCTCTATGAAAAGCAATGTTAAACTCTGTGGCTCGAACACAAACATCACAAAGCGGTTTCTGAGAATGCTTCAGTTTAGTTTTTCTGTGGAAATATTCCCGTTTCCAAAGAAATCTTCAAAGAGGTCCACGTATCCACTTACAGATTCTACAAAAAGACAGTTTCAAAACTGCTCCATCAAAAGGAGGGTTCAACTGTGTGACTTGAATGCAATCATCACTCAGAAGTTTCTGAGAATGCTTCTCTTTAGTTTTTACGTGAACATATAACCTTTTCGAACCAAGGCCAGCCAGTGGTCCAAATATCCACTTGCAGATTCTACAGAAAGAATGTTTCGAACCTGAACTCTCAAAGGCAGGTTCATCTCTGCGAGTTAAATGCATTCATCATGAAGAACTTTCTCAGAGTGTTTGTGTTTAGTTATGGGAAATTATTCCCGTTTCCAACGAAATCCTCAGAGAGCTCCAAATATCCACCTGCAGATTCTACCAAAAGTGTATTTGGAAACTGCTCCATCAAAAGGCATGTTCAGCTCTGTGAGTGAAACTCCATCATCACAAAGAATATTCTGAGAATGCTTCCGTTTGCCTTTTATATGAAGTTCCTTCCTATACTACCGTAGGCCTCAAAGCAGTCCAAATCTCCATTTGCAGATTCTACAAAAAGAGTGATTCCAATCTGCTCTATCAATAGGATTGTTCAACTCCATGAGTTGAATGCCATCCTCACAAAGTAGTTTCTGAGAATGCTTCTATCTAGTTTTTATGTGAAGATATTTCCTTTTCCACCACAGGCCTCAAAGCCCTCCAAACGTCCACTTGCAGATTCTCGAAAAAGAGTGTTTCATAGCTGCTCTTTCAAAAGGAAAGTTCAACTCTGGGAGTTGAATACAAACATCACAAAATAGTTTCCGAGAATGCTTCTGTTTAGTTTTTATGTGAAGATGATCCCGTTTCCAGTGAAATCTTCAAAGAGGTCCACATATCCCCTTGCAGATTCCAAAGAAAGAGGGTTTCAAAACTGCTCCATCAAAAGGATTGTTCAACTCTGTGAGTTGAATGCAGTCATCGCAGAAAACTTTCTGAGAATGCTTCTGTCTAGGTTTGATGTGAAGATATAGACGTTTCAAACGAAGGCTACAAAGTGGTCAAAATATACACTTGCAGATTCTACTACAAGGGTGTTGCAAACCTGAACTATCAAAGGAAGGTTCAACTCTGTGAGTTGAATACAAACATCACAAAGAATGTTCTGAGTTTGCTTCCGTTCAGTTATGGGAAGTTGATCCCGTTTCCAGCGAAATCCTCAGAGAGGTCCAAATATCCCCTTGCAGATTCTACAAAACGTGTGTTTGGAAACTGCTCCATCATAACGAATGTTCAGCTCCCTGAGTTAAACTCCATCGTCACAAAGAATTTTCTGAGAGTGCTACCGTCTGGTTTTTATATGAAGCTCTTTCCTTCACTACCACAGGCCTCAAAGCGATCCAAATCTCCACTTGCAGATTCTACAAAAAGAGTGTTTGCAAACTGCTCTATCAAAAGGAATGTTCAACTCTGGGAGTTGAATGCAATCATCACAGAGCAGTTTCTGAGAATGCTTCTATGTCGTTTTTAGGAGAAGATATTACCTTTTCCAACACAGTCCTCCTAGCCCGCTAAATAGCCACTTGCACATTGTAGAAAAAGTGTGTCAAAGCTGCGCTATCAAAGGGAAAGTTCAACTCTGTGAGGTGAATGCAAACATCCCAAAGAAGTTTCTGAGAATGCTTCCGTTTAGCTTTTAGGTGAAGATTATCCCGTTTCCAACGAAACCTTCAAAGAGGTCCAAATATCCCCTTGCGGATCCCACAGAAAGAGTGTTTCGAAACTGCTGTTTCAAAAGGAATCTTCAACTCTGTGAGTTGAATGCAATCATCACAAAGAAGTTTCTGACAATGCTTCTCTCTCGTCTTTCTGTGAAGATAAAGGAAAAGGCTTTCAGGCCTTTTCCACCACAGGCCTGAAAGCGCTCCAAATGTCCACTTGCAGATTCTGTGAAAAGAATATTGCAAAACTGCTCTATGAAAAGCAATGTTAAACTCTGTGGCTCGAACACAAACATCACAAAGCAGTTTCTGAGAATGCTTCAGTTTAGTTTTTCTGTGGAAATATTCCCGTTTCCAAAGAAATCTTCAAAGAGGTCCACGTATCCACTTACAGATTCTACAAAAAGACAGTTTCAAAACTGCTCCATCAAAAGGAGGGTTCAACTGTGTGACTTGAATGCAATCATCACTCAGAAGTTTCTGAGAATGCTTCTCTTTAGTTTTTACGTGAACATATACCCGTTTCGAACGAAGGCCACCCAGTGGTCCAAATATCCACTTGCAGATTCTACAGAAAGAGTGTTTCGAACCTGAACTCTCAAAGGCAGGTTCATCTCTGCGAGTTAAATGCATTCATCATGAAGAACTTTCTCAGAGTGTTTGTGTTTAGTTATGGGAAATTATTCCCGTTTCCAACGAAATCCTCAGAGAGCTCCAAATATCCACCTGCAGATTCTACCAAAAGTGTATTTGGAAACTGCTCCATCAAAAGGCATGTTCAGCTCTGTGAGTGAAACTCCATCATCACAAAGAATATTCTGAGAATGCTTCCGTTTGCCTTTTATATGAAGTTCCTTCCTGTACTACCGTAGGCCTCAAAGCAGTCCAAATCTCCATTTGCAGATTCTATAAAAAGAGTGATTCCAATCTGCTCTATCAATAGGATTGTTCAACTCCATGAGTTGAATGCCATCCTCACAAAGTAGTTTCTGAGAATGCTTCTATGTAGTTTTTAAGTGAAGATATTTCCTTTTCCACCACAGGCCTCAAAGCCCTCCAAACGTCCACTTGCAGATTCCCGAAAAAGAGTGTTTCATAGCTGCTCTTTCAAAAGGAAAGTTCAACTCTGGGAGTTGAATACAAACATCACAAAGTAGTTTCCGAGAATGCTTCTGTTTAGTTCTTATGTGAAGATGATCCCGTTTCCAGTGAAATATTCAAAGAGGTCCACATATCCCCTTGCAGATTCCAAAGAAAGAGGGTTTCAAAACTGCTCCATCAAAAGGATTGTTCAACTCTGTGAGTTGAATGCAGTCATCGCAGAAAACTTTCTGAGAATGCTTCTGTCTAGGTTTGATGTGAAGATATAGACGTTTCAAACGAAGGCTACAAAGTGGTCAAAATATACACTTGCAGATTCTCCTACAAGGGTGCTGCAAACCTCAACTATCAAAGGAAGGTTCAACTCTGTGAGATGAATGCAAACATCACAAAGAATGTTCTGAGTTTGCTTCCGTTCAGTTATGGGAAGTTGATCCCGTTTCCAACGAAATCCTCAGAGAGGTCCAAATATCCCCTTGCAGATTCTACAAAACGTGTGTTTGGAAACTGCTCCATCATAACGAATGTTCAGCTCCCTGAGTTAAACTCCATCGTCACAAAGAATTTTCTGAGAGTGCTACCGTCTAGTTTTTATATGAAGTTCTTTCCTTTACTACCACAGGCCTCAAAGCGGTCCAAATCTCCACTTGCAGATTCTACAAAAAGAGTGTTTGCAAACTGCTCTATCAAAAGGAATGTTCAACTCTGGGAGTTGAATGCAATCATCACAGAGCAGTTTCTGAGAATGCTTCTATGTCGTTTTTAGGAGAAGATATTTCCTTTTCCAACACAGTCCTCCAAGCCCGCTACATATCCACTTGCACATTGTAGAAAAAGTGTGTCGAAGCTGCGCTATCAAAGGGAAAGTTCAACTCTGTGAGGTGAATGCAAACATCCCAAAGAAGTTTCTGAGAATGCTTCCGTTTAGCTTTTAGGTGAAGATTATCCCGTTTCCAACGAAATCTTCAAAGAGGTCCAAATATCCCCTTGCGGATCCCACAGAAAGAGTGTTTCGAAACTGCTGTTTCAAAAGGAATCTTCAACTCTGTGAGTTGAATGCAATCATCACAAAGAAGTTTCTGACAATGCTTCTCTCTCGTCTTTCTGTGAAGATAAAGGAAAAGGCTTTCAGGCCTTTTCCACCACAGGCCTGAAAGCGCTCCAAATGTCCACTTGCAGATTCTGCCAAAAGAATATTTCAAAACTGCTCTATGAAAAGCAATGTTAAACTCTGTGGCTCGAACACAAACATCACAAAGCGGTTTCTGAGAATGCTTCAGTTTAGTTTTTCTGTGGAAATATTCCCGTTTCCAAAGAAATCTTCAAAGAGGTCCACGCATCCACTTACAGATTCTACAAAAAGACAGTTTCAAAACTGCTCAATCAAAAGGAGGGTTCAACTGTGTGACTTGAATGCAATCATCACTCAGAAGTTTCTGAGAACGCTTCTCTTTAGTTTTTACGTGAACATATACCCGTTTCGAACGAAGGCCACCCAGTGGTCCAAATATCCACTTGCAGATTCTACAGAAAGAGTGTTTCGAACCTGAACTCTCAAAGGCAGGTTCATCTCTGCGAGTTAAATGCATTCATCATGAAGAACTTTCTCAGCGTGTTTGTGTTTAGTTATGGGAAATTATTCCCGTTTCCAACGAAATCCTAAGAGAGGTCCAAATATCCACCTGCAGATTCTACCAAAAGTGTATTTGGAAACTGCTCCATCAAAAGGCATGTTCAGCTCTGTGAGTGAAACTCCATCATCACAAAGAATATTCTGAGAATGCTTCCATTTGCCTTTTATATGAAGTTCCTTCCTATACTACCGTAGGCCTCAAAGCATTCCAAATCTCCATTTGCAGATTCTACAAAAAGAGTGATTCCAATCTGCTCTATCAATAGGACTGTTCAACTCCATGAGTTGAATGCCGTCCTCACAAAGTAGTTTCTGAGAATGCTTCTATCTAGTTTTTATGTGAAGATATTTCCTTTTCCACCACAGGCCTCAAAGCCCTCCAAACGTCCACTTGCAGATTCTCGAAAAAGAGTGTTTCATAGCTGCTCTTTCAAAAGGAAAGTTCAACTCTGGGAGCTGAATACAAACATCACAAAGTAGTTTCCGAGAATGCTTCTGTTTAGTTCTTATGTGAAGATGATCCCGTTTCCAGTGAAATCTTCAAAGAGGTCCACATATCCCCTTGCAGATTCCAAAGAAAGAGGGTTTCAAAACTGCTCCATCAAAAGGATTGTTCAACTCTGTGAGTTGAATGCAGTCATCGCAGAAAACTTTCTGAGAATGCTTCTGTCTAGGTTTGATGTGAAGATATAGACGTTTCAAACGAAGGCTACATAGTGGTCAACATATACACTTGCAGATTCTACTACAAGGGTGATGCAAACCTCAACTATCAAAGGAAGGTTCAACTCTGTGAGTTGAATACAAACATCACAAAGAATGTTCTGAGTTTGCTTCCGTTCAGTTATGGGAAGTTGATCCCGTTTCCAACGAAATCCTCAGAGAGGTCCAAATATCCCCTTGCAGATTCTACAAAACGTGTGTTTGGAAACTGCTCCATCATAACGAATGTTCAGCTCTCTGAGTTAAACTCCATCGTCACAAAGAATTTTCTGAGAGTGCTACCGTCTAGTTTTTATAGGAAGTTCTTTCCTTTACTACCACAGGCCTCAAAGCGGTCCAAATCTCCACTTGCAGATTCTACAAAAAGAGTGTTTGCAAACTGCTCTATCAAAAGGAATGTTCAACTCTGGGAGTTGAATGCAATCATCACAGAGCAGTTTCTGAGAATGCTTCTATGTGGTTTTTAGGAGAAGATATTTCCTTTTCCAACACAGTCCTGCAAGCACGCTAAATATCCACTTGCACATTTTAGAAAAAGTGTGTCGAAGCTGCGCTATCAAAGGGAAAGTTCGACTCTGTGAGGTGAATGCAAACATCCCAAAGAAGTTTCTGAGAATGCTTCCGTTTAGCTTTTAGGTGAAGATTATCCCGTTTCCAACGAAATCTTCAAAGAGGTCCAAATATCCCCTTGCGGATCCCACAGAAAGAGTGTTTCGAAACTGCTGTTTCAAAAGGAATCTTCAACTCTGTGAGTTGAATGCAATCATCACAAAGAAGTTTCTGACAATGCTTCTCTCTCGTCTTTCTGTGAAGATAAAGGAAAAGGCTTTCAGGCCTTTTCCACCACAGGCCTGAAAGCGCTCCAAATGTCCACTTGCAGATTCTGCCAAAAGAATATTTCAAAACTGCTCTATGAAAAGCAATGTTAAACTCTGCGGCTCGAACACAAACATCACAAAGCAGTTTCTGAGAATGCTTCGGTTAAGTTTTTCTGTGGAAATATTCCCGTTTCCAAAGAAATCTTCAAAGAGGTCCACGCATCCACTTACAGATTCTACAAAAAGACAGTTTCAAAACTGCTCAATCAAAAGGAGGGTTCAACTGTGTGACTTGAATGCAATCATCACTCAGAAGTTTCTGAGAACGCTTCTCTTTAGTTTTTACGTGAACATATACCCGTTTCGAACGAAGGCCAGCCAGTGGTCCAAATATCCACTTGCAGATTCTACAGAAAGAGTGTTTCGAACCTGAACTCTCAAAGGCAGGTTCATCTCTGCGAGTTAAATGCATTCATCATGAAGAACTTTCTCAGCGTGTTTGTGTTTAGTTATGGGAAATTATTCCCGTTTCCAACGAAATCCTCAGAGAGCTCCAAATATCCACCTGCAGATTCTACCAAAAGTGTATTTGGAAACTGCTCCATCAAAAGGCATGTTCAGCTCTGTGAGTGAAACTCCATCATCACAAAGAATATTCTGAGAATGCTTCCGTTTGCCTTTTATATGAAGTTCCTTCCTATACTACCGTAGGCCTCAAAGCAGTCCAAATCTCCATTTGCAGATTCTACAAAAAGAGTGATTCCAATCTGCTCTATCAATAGGATTGTTCAACTCCATGAGTTGAATGCCATCCTCACAAAGTCGTTTCTGAGAATGCTTCTGTCTAGCTTTTATGTGAAGATATTTCCTTTTCCACCACAGGCCTCAAAGCCCTCCAAACGTCCACTTGCAGATTCTCGAAAAAGAGTGTTTCATAGCTACTCTTTCAAAAGGAAAGTTCAACTCTGGGAGTTGAATACAAACATCACATAGTAGTTTCCGAGAATGCTTCTGTTTAGTTTTTATGTGAAGATGATCCCATTTCCAGTGAAATCTTCAAAGAGGTCCACATATCCCCTTGCAGATTCCAAAGAAAGAGGGTTTCAAGACTGCTCCATCAAAAGGATTGCTCAACTCTGTGAGTTGAATGCAGTCATCGCAGAAAACGTTCTGAGAATGCTTCTGTCTAGGTTTGATGTGAAGATATAGACGTTTCAAACGAAGGCTACAAAGTGGTCAAAATATACACTTGCAGATTCTACTACAAGGGTGTTGCCAACCTGAACTATCAAAGGAAGGTTCAACTCTGTGAGTTGAATAGAAACATCACAAAGAATGTTCTGAGTTTGCTTCCGTTCAGTTATGGGAAGTTGATCCCGTTTCCAACGAAATCCTCAGAGAGGTCCAAATATCCCCTTGCAGATTCTACAAAACGTGTGTTTGGAAACTGCTCCATCATAACGAATGTTCAGCTCTCTGAGTTAAACTCCATCGTCACAAAGAATTTTCTGAGAGTGCTACCGTCTAGTTTTTATATGAAGTTCTTTCCTTTACTACCACAGGCCTCAAAGCGGTCCAAATCTCCACTTGCAGATTCTACAAAAAGAGTGTTTGCAAACTGCTCTATCAAAAGGAATGTTCAACTCTGGGAGTTGAATGCAATCATCACAGAGCAGTTTCTGAGAATGCTTCTATGTCGTTTTTAGGAGAAGATATTTCCTTTTCCAACACAGTCCTCCAAGCCCGCTAAATATCCACTTGCACATTGTAGAAAAAGTGTGTCGAAGCTGCGCTATCAAAGGGAAAATTCAACTCTGTGAGGTGAATGCAAACTTCCCAAAGAAGTTTCTGAGAATGCTTCCGTTTAGCTTTTAGGTGAAGATTATCCCGTTTCCAACGAAATCTTCAAAGAGGTCCAAATATCCCCTTGCGGATCCCACAGAAAGAGTGTTTCGAAACTGCTGTTTCAAAAGGAATCTTCAACTCTGTGAGTTGAATGCAATCATCACAAAGAAGTTTCTGACAATGCTTCTCTCTCGTCTTTCTGTGAAGATAAAGGAAAAGGCTTTCAGGCCTTTTCCACCACAGGCCTGAAAGCGCTCCAAATGTCCACTTGCAGATTCTGCCAAAAGAATATTTCAAAACTGCTCTATGAAAAGCAATGTTAAACTCTGCGGCTCGAACACAAACATCACAAAGCAGTTTCTGAGAATGCTTCAGTTTAGTTTTTCTGTGGAAATATTCCCGTTTCCAAAGAAATCTTCAAAGAGGTCCACGCATCCACTTACAGATTCTACAAAAAGACAGTTTCAAAACTGCTCAATCAAAAGGAGGGTTCAACTGTGTGACTAGAATGCAATCATCACTCAGAAGTTTCTGAGAACGCTTCTCTTTAGTTTTTACGTGAACATATACCCGTTTCGAACGAAGGCCAGCCAGTGGTCCAAATATCCACTTGCAGATTCTACAGAAAGAGTGTTTCGAACCTGAACTCTCAAAGGCAGGTTCATCTCTGCGAGTTAAATGCATTCATCATGAAGAACTTTCTCAGCGTGTTTGTGTTTAGTTATGGGAAATTATTCCCGTTTCCAACGAAATCCTCAGAGAGCTCCAAATATCCACCTGCAGATTCTACCAAAAGTGTATTTGGAAACTGCTCCATCAAAAGGCATGTTCAGCTCTGTGAGTGAAACTCCATCATCACAAAGAATATTCTGAGAATGCTTCCGTTTGCCTTTTATATGAAGTTCCTTCCTATACTACCGTAGGCCTCAAAGCAGTCCAAATCTCCATTTGCAGATTCTACAAAAAAAGTGATTCCAATCTGCTCTATCAATAGGACTGTTCAACTCCATGAGTTGAATGCCATCCTCACAAAGTCGTTTCTGAGAATGCTTCTATCTAGTTTTTATGTGAAGATATTTCCTTTTCCCCCACAGGCCTCAAAGCCCTCCAAACGTCCACTTGCAGATTCTCGAAAAAGGGTGTTTCATAGCTGCTCTTTCAAAAGGAAAGTTCAACTCTGGGAGGTGAATACAAACATCACAAAGTAGTTTCTGAGAATGCTTCTGTTTAGTTCTTATGTGAAGATGATCCCGTTTCAAGTGAAATCTTCAAAGAGGTCCACATATCCCCTTGCAGATTCCAAAGAAAGAGGGTTTCAAAACTGCTCCATCAAAAGGATTGTTCAACTCTGTGAGTTGAATGCAGTCATCGCAGAAAACTTTCTTAGAATGCTTCTGTCTAGGTTTGATGTGAAGACATAGACGTTTCAAACGAAGGCTACAAAGTGGTCAAAATATACACTTGCAGATTCTACTACAAGGGTGATGCAAACCTGAACTATCAAAGGAAGGTTCAACTCTGTGAGTTGAATACAAACATCACAAAGAATGTTCTGAGTTTGCTTCCGTTCAGTTATGGGAAGTTGATCCCGTTTCCAATGAAATCCTCAGAGAGGTCCAAATATCCCCTTGCAGATTCTACAAAACGTGTGTTTGGAAACTGCTCCATCATAACTAATGTTCAGCTCCCTGAGTTAAACTCCATCGTCACAAAGAGTTTTCTGAGAGTGCTACCGTCTAGTTTTTATATGAAGTTGTTTCCTTTACTACCACAGGCCTCAAAGCGGTCCAAATCTCCACTTGCACATTGTAGAAAAATGTGTCGAAGCTGCGCTATCAAAGGGAAAGTTCAACTCTGTGAGGTGAATGCAAACATCCCAAAGAAGTTTCTGAGAATGCTTCCGTTCAGCTTTTAGGTGAAGATTATCCCGTTTCCAACGAAATCTTCAAAGAGGTCCAAATATCCCCTTGCGGATCCCACAGAAAGAGTGTTTCGAAACTGCTGTTTCAAAAGGAATCTTCAACTCTGTGAGTTGAATGCAATCATCACAAAGAAGTTTCTGACAATGCTTCTCTCTCGTCTTTCTGTGAAGATAAAGGAAAAGGCTTTCAGGCCTTTTCCACCACAGGCCTGAAAGCGCTCCAAATGTCCACTTGCAGATTCTGCCAAAAGAATATTTCAAAACTGCTCTATGAAAAGCAATGTTAAACTCTGCGGCTCGAACACAAACATCACAAAGCAGTTTCTGAGAATGCTTCAGTTTAGTTTTTCTGTGGAAATATTCCCGTTTCCAAAGAAATCTTCAAAGAGGTCCACGCATCCACTTACAGATTCTACAAAAAGACAGTTTCAAAACTGCTCAATCAAAAGGAGGGTTCAACTGTGTGACTAGAATGCAATCATCACTCAGAAGTTTCTGAGAACGCTTCTCTTTAGTTTTTACGTGAACATATACCCGTTTCGAACGAAGGCCAGCCAGTGGTCCAAATATCCACTTGCAGATTCTACAGAAAGAGTGTTTCGAACCTGAACTCTCAAAGGCAGGTTCATCTCTGCGAGTTAAATGCATTCATCATGAAGAACTTTCTCAGCGTGTTTGTGTTTAGTTATGGGAAATTATTCCCGTTTCCAACGAAATCCTCAGAGAGGTCCAAATATCCACCTGCAGATTCTACCAAAAGTGTATTTGGAAACTGCTCCATCAAAAGGCATGTTCAGCTCTGTGAGTGAAACTCCATCATCACAAAGGAGATATTCTGAGAATGCTTCCGTTTGCCTTTTATATGAAGTTCCTTCCTATACGACCGTAGGCCTCAAAGCAGTCCAAATCTCCATTTGCAGATTCTACAAAAAGAGTGATTCCAATCTGCTCTATCAATAGGATTGTTCAACTCCATGAGTTGAATGCCATCCTCACAAAGTAGTTTCTGAGAATGCTTCTATCTAGTTTTTATGTGAAGATATTTCCTTTTCCACCACAGGCCTCAAAGCCCTCCAAACGTCCACTTGCAGATCCTCGAAAAAGAGTGTTTCATAGCTGCTCTTTCAAAAGGAAAGTTCAACTCTGGGAGTTGAATACAAACATCACAAAGTAGTTTCCGAGAATGCTTCTGTTTAGTTTTTATGTGAAGATGATCCCGTTTCCAGTGAAATCTTCAAAGAGGTCCACATATCCCCTTGCAGATTCCAAAGAAAGAGGGTTTCAAAACTGCTCCATCAGAAGGATTGTTCAACTCTGTGAGTTGAATGCAGTCATCGCAGAAAACTTTCTGAGAATGCTTCTTTCTAGGTTTGATGTGAAGATATAGACGTTTCAAACGAAGGCTACAAAGTGGTCAAAATATACACTTGCAGATTCTACTACAAGGGTGTTGCAAACCTGAACTATCAAAGGAAGGTTCAACTCTGTGAGTTGAATACAAACATCACAAAGAATGTTCTGAGTTTGCTTCCGTTCAGTTATGGGAAGTTGATCCCGTTTCCAACGAAATCCTCAGAGAGGTCCAAATATCCCCTTGCAGATTCTACAAAACGTGTGTTTGGAAACTGCTCCATCATAACGGATGTTCAGCTCTCTGAGTTAAACTCCATCGTCACAAAGAATTTTCTGTGAGTGCTACCGTCTGGTTTTTATATGAAGTTGTTTCCTTTACTACCACAGGCCTCAAAGCGGTCCAAATCTCCACTTGCAGATTCTACAAAAAGAGTGTTTGCAAACTGCTCTATCAAAAGGAATGTTCAACTCTGGGAGTTGAATGCAATCATCACAGAGCAGTTTCTGAGAATGCTTCTATGTCGTTTTTAGGAGAAGATATTTCCTTTTCCAACACAGTCCTCCAAGCCCGCTAAATATCCACTTGCACATTGTAGAAAAAGTGTGTCGAAGCTGCGCTATCAAAGGGAAAATTCAACTCTATGAGGTGAATGCAAACATCCAAAAGAAGTTTCTGAGAATGCTTCCGTTTAGCTTTTAGGTGACGATTATCCAGTTTCCAACGAAACCTTCAAATAGATCCAAATATCCCCTTGCGGTTCCCACAGAAAGAGTGTTTCGAAACTGCTGTTTCAAAAGGAATCTTCAACTCTGTGAGTTGAATGCAATCATCACAAAGAAGTTTCTGACAATGCTTCTCTCTCGTCTTTCTGTGAAGATAAAGGAAAAGGCTTTCAGGCCTTTTCCACCACAGGCCTGAAAGCGCTCCAAATGTCCACTTGCAGATTCTGCCAAAAGAATATTTCAAAACTGCTCTATGAAAAGCAATGTTAAACTCTGCGGCTCGAACACAAACATCACAAAGCAGTTTCTGAGAATGCTTCAGTTTAGTTTTTCTGTGGAAATATTCCCGTTTCCAAAGAAATCTTCAAAGAGGTCCACGCATCCACTTACAGATTCTACAAAAACACAGTTTCAAAACTGCTCAATCAAAACGAGGGTTCAACTGTGTGACTTGAATGCAATCATCACTCAGAAGTTTCTGAGAATGCTTCTCTTTAGTTTTTACGTGAACATATACCCGTTTCGAACGAAGGCCACCCAGTGGTCCAAATATCCACTTGCAGATTCTACAGAAAGAGTGTTTCGAACCTGAACTCTCAAAGGCAGGTTCATCTCTGCGAGTTAAATGCATTCATCATGAAGAACTTTCTCAGCGTGTTTCCGTTTGCCTTTTATATGAAGTTCCTTCCTATACTACCGTAGGCCTCAAAGCAGTCCAAATCTCCATTTGCAGATTCTACAAAAAGAGTGATTCCAATCTGCTCTATCAATAGGACTGTTCAACTCCATGAGTTGAATGCCATCCTCACAAAGTCGTTTCTGAGAATGCTTCTATCTAGTTTTTATGTGAAGATATTTCCTTTTCCACCACAGGCCTCAAAGCCCTCCAAACGTCCACTTGCAGATTCTCGAAAAAGAGTGTTTCATAGCTGCTCTTTCAAAAGGAAAGTTCAACTCTGGGAGTTGAATACAAACATCACAAAGTAGTTTCCGAGAATGCTTCTGTTTAGTTTTTATGTGAAGATGATCCCGTTTCCAGTGAAATCTTCAAAGAGGTCCACATATCCCCTTGCAGATTCCAAAGAAAGAGGGTTTCAAAACTGCTCCATCAGAAGGATTGTTCAACTCTGTGAGTTGAATGCAGTCATCGCAGAAAACTTTCTGAGAATGCTTCTGTCTAGGTTTGATGTGAAGATATAGACGTTTCAAACGAAGGCTACAAAGTGGTCAAAATATACACTTGCAGATTCTACTACAAGGGTGTTGCAAACCTGAACTATCAAAGGAAGGTTCAACTCTGTGAATTGAATACAAACATCACAAAGAATGTTCTGAGTTTGCTTCCGTTCAGTTATGGGAAGTTGATCCCGTTTCCAACGAAATCCTCAGAGAGGTCCAAATATCCCCTCGCAGATTCTACAAAACGTGTGTTTGGAAACTGCTCCATCATAACGAATGTTCAGCTCCCTGAGTTAAACTCCATCGTCACAAAGAATTTTCTGAGAGTGCTACCGTCTGGTTTTTATATGAAGTTCTTTCCTTCACTACCACAGACCTCAAAGCCGTCCAAATCTCCACTTCCAGATTCTACAAAAAGAGTGTTTGCAAACTGCTCTATCAAAAGGAATGTTCAACTCTGGGAGTTGAATGCAATCATCACAGAGCAGTTTCTGAGAATGCTTCTATGTCGTTTTTAGGAGAAGATATTTCCTTTTCCAACACAGTCCTCCAAGCCCGCTAAATAGCCACTTGCACATTGTAGAAAAAGTGTGTCAAAGCTGCGCTATCAAAGGGAAAGTTCAACTCTGTGAGGTGAATGCAAACATCCCAAAGAAGTTTCTGAGAATGCTTCCGTTTAGCTTTTAGGTGAAGATTATCCCGTTTCCAACGAAACCTTCAAAGAGGTCCAAATATCCCCTTGCGGATCCCACAGAAAGAGTGTTTCGAAACTGCTGTTTCAAAAGGAATCTTCAACTCTGTGAGTTGAATGCAATCATCACAAAGAAGTTTCTGACAATGCTTCTCTCTCGTCTTTCTGTGAAGATAAAGGAAAAGGCTTTCAGGCCTTTTCCACCACAGGCCTGAAAGCGCTCCAAATGTCCACTTGCAGATTCTGCCAAAAGAATATTTCAAAACTGCTCTATGAAAAGCAATGTTAAACTCTGTGGCTCGAACACAAACATCACAAAGCGGTTTCTGAGAATACTTCAGTTTAGTTTTTCTGTGGAAATATTCCCGTTTCCAAAGAAATCTTCAAAGAGGTCCACGTATCCACTTACAGATTCTACAAAAAGACAGTTTCAAAACTGCTCCATCAAAAGGAGGGTTCAACTGTGTGACTTGAATGCAATCATCACTCAGAAGTTTCTGAGAATGCTTCTCTTTAGTTTTTACGTGAACATATACCCGTTTCGAACGAAGGCCACCCAGTGGTCCAAATATCCACTTGCAGATTCTACAGAAAGAGTGTTTCGAACCTGAACTCTCAAAGGCAGGTTCATCTCTGCGAGTTGAATGCATTCATCATGAAGAACTTTCTCAGAGTGTTTGTGTTTAGTTATGGGAAATTATTCCCGTTTCCAACGAAATCCTCAGAGAGCTCCAAATATCCACCTGCAGATTCTACCAAAAGTGTATTTGGAAACTGCTCCATCAAAAGGCATGTTCAGCTCTGTGAGTGAAACTCCATCATCACAAAGAATATTCTGAGAATGCTTCCGTTTGCCTTTTATATGAAGTTCCTTCCTATACGACCGTAGGCCTCAAAGCAGTCCAAATCTCCATTTGCAGATTCTACAAAAAGAGTGATTCCAATCTGCTCTATCAATAGGATTGTTCAACTCCATGAGTTGAATGCCATCCTCACAAAGCAGTTTCTGAGAATGCTTCTATCTAGTTTTTATGTGAAGATATTTCCTTTTCCACCACAGGCCTCCAAGCCCTCCAAACGTCCACTTGCAGATTCTCGAAAAAGAGTGTTTCATAGCTGCTCTTTCAAAAGGAAAGTTCAACTCTGGGAGTTGAATACAAACATCACAAAGTAGTTTCCGAGAATGCTTCTGTTTAGTTTTTATGTGAAGATGATCCCGTTTCCAGTGAAATCTTCAAAGAGGTCCACATATCCCCTTGCAGATTCCAAAGAAAGAGGGTTTCAAAACTGCTCCATCAGAAGGATTGTTCAACTCTGTGAGTTGAATGCAGTCATCGCAGAAAACTTTCTGAGAATGCTTCTGTCTAGGTTTGATGTGAAGATATAGACGTTTCAAATGAAGGCTACAAAGTGGTCAAAATATACACTTGCAGATTCTACTACAAGGGTGTTGCAAACCTGAACTATCAAAGGAAGGTTCAACTCTGTGAGTTGAATACAAACATCACAAAGAATGTTCTGAGTTTGCTTCCGTTCAGTTATGGGAAGTTGATCCCGTTTCCAACGAAATCCTCAGAGAGGTCCAAATATCCCCTCGCAGATTCTACAAAACGTGTGTTTGGAAACTGCTCCATCATAACGAATGTTCAGCTCCCTGAGTTAAACTCCATCGTCACAAAGAATTTTCTGAGAGTGCTACCGTCTGGTTTTTATATGAAGTTCTTTCCTTCACTACCACAGGCCTCAAAGCGGTCCAAATCTCCACTTGCAGATTCTACAAAAAGAGTGTTTGCAAACTGCTCTATCCAAAGGAATGTTCAACTCTGGGAGTTGAATGCAATCATCACAGAGCAGTTTCTGAGAATGCTTCTATGTCGTTTTTAGGAGAAGATATTTCCTTTTCCAACACAGTCCTCCAAGCCCGCTAAATAGCCACTTGCACATTGTAGAAAAAGTGTGTCAAAGCTGCGCTATCAAAGGGAAAGTTCAACTCTGTGAGGTGAATGCAAACATCCCAAAGAAGTTTCTGAGAATGCTTCCGTTTAGCTTTTAGGTGAAGATTATCCCGTTTCCAACGAAACCTTCAAAGAGGTCCAAATATCCCCTTGCGGATCCCACAGAAAGAGTGTTTCGAAACTGCTGTTTCAAAAGGAATCTTCAACTCTGTGAGTTGAATGCAATCATCACAAAGAAGTTTCTGACAATGCTTCTCTCTCGTCTTTCTGTGAAGATAAAGGAAAAGGCTTTCAGGCCTTTTCCACCACAGGCCTGAAAGCGCTCCAAATGTCCACTTGCAGATTCTGCCAAAAGAATATTTAAAAACTGCTCTATGAAAAGCAATGTTAAACTCTGTGGCTCGAACACAAACATCACAAAGCGGTTTCTGAGAATGCTTCAGTTTAGTTTTTCTGTGGAAATATTCCCGTTTCCAAAGAAATCTTCAAAGAGGTCCACGTATCCACTTACAGATTCTACAAAAAGACAGTTTCAAAACTGCTCCATCAAAAGGAGGGTTCAACTGTGTGACTTGAATGCAATCATCACTCAGAAGTTTCTGAGAATGCTTCTCTTTAGTTTTTACGTGAACATATACCCGTTTCGAACGAAGGCCACCCAGTGGTCCAAATATCCACTTGCAGATTCTACAGAAAGAGTGTTTCGAACCTGAACTCTCAAAGGCAGGTTCATCTCTGCGAGTTAAATGCATTCATCATGAAGAACTTTCTCAGAGTGTTTGTGTTTAGTTATGGGAAATTATTCCCGTTTCCAACGAAATCCTCAGAGAGCTCCAAATATCCACCTGCAGATTCTACCAAAAGTGTATTTGGAAACTGCTCCATCAAAAGGCATGTTCAGCTCTGTGAGTGAAACTCCATCATCACAAAGAATATTCTGAGAATGCTTCCGTTTGCTTTTTATATGAAGTTCCTTCCTATACTACCGTAGGCCTCAAAGCAGTCCAAATCTCCATTTGCAGATTCTACAAAAAGAGTGATTCCAATCTGCTCTATCAATAGGATTGTTCAACTCCATGAGTTGAATGCCATCCTCACAAAGTAGTTTCTGAGAATGCTTCTATCTAGTTTTTATGTGAAGATATTTCCTTTTCCACCACAGGCCTCAAAGCCCTCCAAACGTCCACTTGCAGATTCTCGAAAAAGAGTGTTTCATAGCTGCTCTTTCAAAAGGAAAGTTCAACTCTGGGAGTTGAATACAAACATCACAAAGTAGTTTCCGAGAATGCTTCTGTTTAGTTTTTATGTGAAGATGATCCCGTTTCCAGTGAAATCTTCAAAGAGGTCCACATATCCCCTTGCAGATTCCAAAGAAAGAGGGTTTCAAAACTGCTCCATCAGAAGGATTGTTCAACTCTGTGAGTTGAATGCAGTCATCGCAGAAAACTTTCTGAGAATGCTTCTGTCTAGGTTTGATGTGAAGATATAGCATGTTTCAAACGAAGGCTACAAAGTGGTCAAAATATACACTTGCAGATTCTACTACAAGGGTGTTGCAAACCTGAACTATCAAAGGAAGGTTCAACTCTGTGAGTTGAATACAAACATCACAAAGAATGTTCTGAGTTTGCTTCCGTTCAGTTATGGGAAGTTGATCCCGTTTCCAACGAAATCCTCAGAGAGGTCCAAATATCCCCTTGCAGATTCTACAAAACGTGTGTTTGGAAACTGCTCCATCATAACGAATGTTCAGCTCCCTGAGTTAAACTCCATCGTCACAAAGAATTTTCTGAGAGTGCTACCGTCTGGTTTTTATATGAAGTTCTTTCCTTCACTACCACAGGCCTCAAAGCGGTCCAAATCTCCACTTGCAGATTCTACAAAAAGAGTGTTTGCAAACTGCTCTATCAAAAGGAATGTTCAACTCTGGGAGTTGAATGCAATCATCACAGAGCAGTTTCTGAGAATGCTTCTATGTCGTTTTTAGGAGAAGATATTTCCTTTTCCAACACAGTCCTCCAAGCCCGCTAAATAGCCACTTGCACATTGTAGAAAAAGTGTGTCAAAGCTGCGCTATCAAAGGGAAAGTTCAACTCTGTGAGGTGAATGCAAACATCCCAAAGAAGTTTCTGAGAATGCTTCCGTTTAGCTTTTAGGTGAAGATTATCCCGTTTCCAACGAAACCTTCAAAGAGGTCCAAATATCCCCTTGCGGATCCCACAGAAAGAGTGTTTCGAAACTGCTGTTTCAAAAGGAATCTTCAACTCTGTGAGTTGAATGCAATCATCACAAAGAAGTTTCTGACAATGCTTCTCTCTCGTCTTTCTGTGAAGATAAAGGAAAAGGCTTTCAGGCCTTTGCCACCACAGGCCTGAAAGCGCTCCAAATGTCCACTTGCAGATTCTGCCAAAAGAATATTTCAAAACTGCTCTATGAAAAGCAATGTTAAACTCTGTGGCTCGAACACAAACATCACAAAGCAGTTTCTGAGAATGCTTCAGTTTAGTTTTTCTGTGGAAATATTCCCGTTTCCAAAGAAATCTTCAAAGAGGTCCACGTATCCACTTACAGATTCTACAAAAAGACAGTTTCAAAACTGCTCCATCAAAAGGAGGGTTCAACTGTGTGACTTGAATGCAATCATCACTCAGAAGTTTCTGAGAATGCTTCTCTTTAGTTTTTACGTGAACATATACCCGTTTCGAACGAAGGCCAGCCAGTGGTCCAAATATCCACTTGCAGATTCTACAGAAAGAGTGTTTCGAACCTGAACTCTCAAAGGCAGGTTCATCTCTGCGAGTTAAATGCATTCATCATGAAGAACTTTCTCAGAGTGTTTGTGTTTAGTTATGGGAAATTATTCCCGTTTCCAACGAAATCCTCAGAGAGCTCCAAATATCCACCTGCAGATTCTACCAAAAGTGTATTTGGAAACTGCTCCATCAAAAGGCATGTTCAGCTCTGTGAGTGAAACTCCATCATCACAAAGAATATTCTGAGAATGCTTCCGTTTGCCTTTTATATGAACTTCCTTCCTATACTACCGTAGGCCTCAAAGCAGTCCAAATCTCCATTTGCAGATTCTACAAAAAGAGTGATTCCAATCTGCTCTATCAATAGGATTGTTCAACTCCATGAGTTGAATGCCATCCTCACAAAGTAGTTTCTGAGAATGCTTCTATCTAGTTTTTATGTGAAGATATTTCCTTTTCCACCACAGGCCTCAAAGCCCTCCAAACGTCCACTTGCAGATTCTCGAAAAAGAGTGTTTCATAGCTGCTCTTTCAAAAGGAAAGTTCAACTCTGGGAGTTGAATACAAACATCACAAAGTAGTTTCCGAGAATGCTTCTGTTTAGTTTTTATGTGAAGATGATCCCGTTTCCAGTGAAATCTTCAAAGAGGTCCACATATCCCCTTGCAGATTCCAAAGAAAGAGGGTTTCAAAACTGCTCCATCAGAAGGATTGTTCAACTCTGTGAGTTGAATGCAGTCATCGCAGAAAACTTTCTGAGAATGCTTCTGTCTAGGTTTGATGTGAAGATATAGACGTTTCAAACGAAGGCTACAAAGTGGTCAAAATATACACTTGCAGATTCTACTACAAGGGTGTTGCAAACCTGAACTATCAAAGGAAGGTTCAAATCTGTGAATTGAATACAAACATCACAAAGAATGTTCTGAGTTTGCTTCCGTTCAGTTATGGGAAGTTGATCCCGTTTCCAACGAAATCCTCAGAGAGGTCCAAATATCCCCTCGCAGATTCTACAAAACGTGTGTTTGGAAACTGCTCCATCATAACGAATGTTCAGCTCCCTGAGTTAAACTCCATCGTCACAAAGAATTTTCTGAGAGTGCTACCGTCTGGTTTTTATATGAACTTCTTTCCTTCACTACCACAGGCCTCAAAGCGGTCCAAATCTCCACTTGCAGATTCTACAAAAAGAGTGTTTGCAAACTGCTCTATCAAAAGGAATGTTCAACTCTGGGAGTTGAATGCAATCATCACAGAGCAGTTTCTGAGAATGCTTCTATGTCGTTTTTAGGAGAAGATATTTCCTTTTCCAACACAGTCCTCCAAGCCCGCTAAATAGCCACTTGCACATTGTAGAAAAAGTGTGTCAAAGCTGCGCTATCAAAGGGAAAGTTCAACTCTGTGAGGTGAATGCAAACATCCCAAAGAAGTTTCTGAGAATGCTTCCGTTTAGCTTTTAGGTGAAGATTATCCCGTTTCCAACGAAACCTTCAAAGAGGTCCAAATATCCCCTTGCGGATCCCACAGAAAGAGTGTTTCGAAACTGCTGTTTCAAAAGGAATCTTCAACTCTGTGAGTTGAATGCAATCATCACAAAGAAGTTTCTGACAATGCTTCTCTCTCGTCTTTCTGTGAAGATAAAGGAAAAGGCTTTCAGGCCTTTTCCCAACCACAGGCCTGAAAGCGCTCCAAATGTCCACTTGCAGATTCTGCCAAAAGAATATTTCAAAACTGCTCTATGAAAAGCAATGTTAAACTCTGTGGCTCGAACACAAACATCACAAAGCAGTTTCTGAGAATGCTTCAGTTTAGTTTTTCTGTGGAAATATTCCCGTTTCCAAAGAAATCTTCAAAGAGGTCCACGTATCCACTTACAGATTCTACAAAAAGACAGTTTCAAAACTGCTCCATCAAAAGGAGGGTTCAACTGTGTGACTTGAATGCAATCATCACTCAGAAGTTTCTGAGAATGCTTCTCTTTAGTTTTTACGTGAACATATACCCGTTTCGAACGAAGGCCAGCCAGTGGTCCAAATATCCACTTGCAGATTCTACAGAAAGAGTGTTTCGAACCTGAACTCTCAAAGGCAGGTTCATCTCTGCGAGTTAAATGCATTCATCATGAAGAACTTTCTCAGAGTGTTTGTGTTTAGTTATGGGAAATTATTCCCGTTTCCAACGAAATCCTCAGAGAGCTCCAAATATCCACCTGCAGATTCTACCAAAAGTGTATTTGGAAACTGCTCCATCAAAAGGCATGTTCAGCTCTGTGAGTGAAACTCCATCATCACAAAGAATATTCTGAGAATGCTTCCGTTTGCCTTTTATATGAAGTTCCTTCCTATACTACCGTAGGCCTCAAAGCAGTCCAAATCTCCATTTGCAGATTCTACAAAAAGAGTGATTCCAATCTGCTCTATCAATAGGATTGTTCAACTCCATGAGTTGAATGCCATCCTCACAAAGTAGTTTCTGAGAATGCTTCTATCTAGTTTTTATGTGAAGATATTTCCTTTTCCACCACAGGCCTCAAAGCCCTCCAAACGTCCACTTGCAGATTCTCGAAAAAGAGTGTTTCATAGCTGCTCTTTCAAAAGGAAAGTTCAACTCTGGGAGTTGAATACAAACATCACAAAGTAGTTTCCGAGAATGCTTCTGTTTAGTTTTTATGTGAAGATGATCCCGTTTCCAGTGAAATCTTCAAAGAGGTCCACATATCCCCTTGCAGATTCCAAAGAAAGAGGGTTTCAAAACTGCTCCATCAGAAGGATTGTTCAACTCTGTGAGTTGAATGCAGTCATCGCAGAAAACTTTCTGAGAATGCTTCTGTCTAGGTTTGATGTGAAGATATAGACGTTTCAAACGAAGGCTACAAAGTGGTCAAAATATACACTTGCAGATTCTACTACAAGGGTGTTGCAAACCTGAACTATCAAAGGAAGGTTCAACTCTGTGAGTTGAATACAAACATCACAAAGAATGTTCTGAGTTTGCTACCGTCTGGTTTTTATATGAAGTTCTTTCCTTCTCTACCACAGGCCTCAAAGCGGTCCAAATCTCCACTTGCAGATTCTACAAAAAGAGTGTTTGCAAACTGCTCTATCAAAAGGAATGTTCAACTCTGGGAGTTGAATGCAATCATCACAGAGCAGTTTCTGAGAATGCTTCTATGTCGTTTTTAGGAGAAGATATTTCCTTTTCCAACACAGTCCTCCAAGCCCGCTAAATAGCCACTTGCACATTGTAGAAAAAGTGTGTCAAAGCTGCGCTATCAAAGGGAAAGTTCAACTCTGTGAGGTGAATGCAAACATCCCAAAGAAGTTTCTGAGAATGCTTCCGTTTAGCTTTTAGGTGAAGATTATCCCGTTTCCAACGAAACCTTCAAAGAAGTCCAAATATCCCCTTGCGGATCCCACAGAAAGAGTGTTTCGAAACTGCTGTTTCAAAAGGAATCTTCAACTCTGTGAGTTGAATGCAATCATCACAAAGAAGTTTCTGACAATGCTTCTTCTCTCTCGTCTTTCTGTGAAGATAAATAAATGCTTTCAGGCCTTTGCCACCACAGGCCTGAAAGCGCTCCAAATGTCCACTTGCAGATTCTGCGAAAAGAATATTTCAAAACTGCTTTGTGAAAAGCAATGTTAAACTCTGTGGCTCGAACACAAACATCACAAAGCGGTTTCTGAGAATGCTTCAGTTTAGTTTTTCTGTGGAAATATTCCCGTTTCCAAAGAAATCTTCAAAGAGGTCCACGTATCCACTTACAGATTCTACAAAAAGACAGTTTCAAAACTGCTCCATCAAAAGGAGGGTTCAACTGTGTGACTTGAATGCAATCATCACTCAGAAGTTTCTGAGAATGCTTCTCTTTAGTTTTTACGTGAACATATACCCGTTTCGAACGAAGGCCACCCAGTGGTCCAAATATCCACTTGCAGATTTTACAGAAAGAGTGTTTCGAACATGAACTCTCAAAGGCAGGTTCATCTCTGCGAGTTAAATGCATTCATCATGAAGAACTTTCTCAGAGTGTTTGTGTTTAGTTATGGGAAATTATTCCCGTTTCCAACGAAATCCTCAGAGAGCTCCAAATATCCACCTGCAGATTCTACCAAAAGTGTATTTGGAAACTGCTCCATCAAAAGGCATGTTCAGCTCTGTGAGTGAAACTCCATCATCACAAAGAATATTCTGAGAATGCTTCCGTTTGCCTTTTATATGAAGTTCCTTCCTATACTACCGTAGGCCTCAAAGCAGTCCAAATCTCCATTTGCAGATTCTACAAAAAGAGTGATTCCAATCTGCTCTATCAATAGGATTGTTCAACTCCATGAGTTGAATGCCATCCTCACAAAGTAGTTTCTGAGAATGCTTCTATCTAGTTTTTATGTGAAGATATTTCCTTTTCCACCACAGGCCTCAAAGCCCTCCAAACGTCCACTTGCAGATTCTCGAAAAAGAGTGTTTCATAGCTGCTCTTTCAAAAGGAAAGTTCAACTCTGGGAGTTGAATACAAACATCACAAAATAGTTTCCGAGAATGCTTCTGTTTAGTTTTTATGTGAAGATGATCCCGTTTCCAGTGAAATCTTCAAAGAGGTCCACATATCCCCTTGCAGATTCCAAAGAAAGAGGGTTTCAAAACTGCTCCATCAAAAGGATTGTTCAACTCTGTGAGTTGAATGCAGTCATCGCAGAAAACTTTCTGAGAATGCTTCTGTCTAGGTTTGATGTGAAGATATAGACGTTTCAAACGAAGGCTACAAAGTGGTCAAAATATACACTTGCAGATTCTACTACAAGGGTGTTGCAAACCTGAACTATCAAAGGAAGGTTCAACTCTGTGAGTTGAATACAAACATCACAAAGAATGTTCTGAGTTTGCTTCTGTTCAGTTATGGGAAGTTGATCCCGTTTCCAGCGAAATCCTCAGAGAGGTCCAAATATCCCCTTGCAGATTCTACAAAACGTGTGTTTGGAAACTGCTCCATCATAACGAATGTTCAGCTCCCTGAGTTAAACTCCATCGTCACAAAGAATTTTCTGAGAGTGCTACCGTCTGGTTTTTATATGAAGTTCTTTCCTTTACTACCATAGGCCTCAAAGCGGTCCAAATCTCCACTTGCAGATTCTACAAAAAGAGTGTTTGCAAACTGCTCTATCAAAAGGAATGTTCAACCCTGG
Organism: Homo sapiens; assembly: GCF_000001405.40. Classification (NCBI taxonomy): domain Eukaryota; kingdom Metazoa; phylum Chordata; class Mammalia; order Primates; family Hominidae; genus Homo; species Homo sapiens. The sequence continues at coordinate 59,335,305 of NC_000023.11, read as the reverse complement.
GAGTTGAATGCAATCATCACAGAGCAGTTTCTGAGAATGCTTCTATGTCGTTTTTAGGAGAAGATATTTCCTTTTCCAACACAGTCCTCCACGCCCGCTAAATATCCACTTGCACATTGTAGAAAAAGTGTGTCAAAGCTGCGCTATCAAAGGGAAAGTTCAACTCTGTGAGGTGAATGCAAACATCCCAAAGAAGTTTCTGAGAGTGCTTCCGTTTAGCTTTTAGGTGAAGATTATCCCGTTTCCAACGAAAGCTTCAAAGAGGTCCAAATATCCCCTTGCGGATCCCACAGAAAGAGTGTTTCGAAACTGCTGTTTCAAAAGGAATCTTCAACTCTGTGAGTTGAATGCAATCATCACAAAGAAGTTTCTGACAATGCTTCTCTCTCGTCTTCCTGTGAAGATAAAGGAAAAGGCTTTCAGGCCTTTTCCACCACAGGCCTGAAAGCGCTCCAAATGTCCACTTGCAGATTCTGCCAAAAGAATATTTCAAAACTGCTCTATGAAAAGCAATGTTAAACTCTGTGGCTCGAACACAAACATCACAAAGCAGTTTCTGAGAATGCTTCAGTTTAGTTTTTCTGTGGAAATATTCCCGTTTCCAAAGAAATCTTCAAAGAGGTCCACGTATCCACTTACAGATTCTACAAAAAGACAGTTTCAAAACTGCTCCATCAAAAGGAGGGTTCAACCATGTGACTTGAATGCAATCATCACTCAGAAGTTTCTGAGAATGCTTCTTTTTAGTTTTTATGTGAACATATACCCGTTTCGAACGAAGGCCACCCAGTGGTCCAAATATCCACTTGCAGATTCTACAGAAAGAGTGTTTCGAACCTGAACTCTCAAAGGCAGGTTCATCTCTGCGAGTTAAATGCATTCATCATGAAGAACTTTCTCAGAGTGTTTGTGTTTAGTTATGGGAAATTATTCCCGTTTCCAACGAAATCCTCAGAGAGCTCCAAATATCCACCTGCAGATTCTACCAAAAGTGTATTTGGAAACTGCTCCATCAAAAGGCATGTTCAGCTCTGTGAGTGAAACTCCATCATCACAAAGAATATTCTGAGAATGCTTCCGTTTCCCTTTTATATGAAGTTCCTTCCTATACTACCGTAGGCCTCAAAGCAGTCCAAATCTCCATTTGCAGATTCTACAAAAAGAGTGATTCCAATCTGCTCTATCAATAGGATTGTTCAACTCCATGAGTTGAATTCCATCCTCACAATGTCGTTTGTGAGAATGCTTCTATCTAGTTTTTATGTGAAGATATTTCCTTTTCCACCACAGGCCTCAAAGCCCTCCAAACGTCCACTTGCAGATTCTCGAAAAAGAGTGTTTCATAGCTGCTCTTTCAAAAGGAAAGTTCAACTCTGGGAGTTGAATACAAACATCACAAAGTAGTTTCCGAGAATGCTTCTGTTTAGTTTTTATGTGAAGATGATCCCGTTTCCAGTGAAATCTTCAAAGAGGTCCACATATCCCCTTGCAGATTCCAAAGAAAGAGGGTTTCAAAACTGCTCCATCAGAAGGATTGTTCAACTCTGTGAGTTGAATGCAGTCATCGCAGAAAACTTTCTGAGAATGCTTCTGTCTAGGTTTGATGTGAAGATATAGACGTTTCAAACGAAGGCTACAAAGTGGTCAAAATATACACTTGCAGATTCTACTACAAGGGTGTTGCAAACCTGAACTATCAAAGGAAGGTTCAACTCTGTGAGTTGAATACAAACATCACAAAGAATGTTCTGAGTTTGCTTCCGTTCAGTTATGGGAAGTTGATCCCGTTTCCAACGAAATCCTCAGAGAGGTCCAAATATCCCCTTGCAGATTCTACAAAACGTGTGTTTGGAAACTGCTCCATCATAACGAATGTTCAGCTCCCTGAGTTAAACTCCATCGTCACAAAGAATTTTCTGAGAGTGCTACCGTCTGGTTTTTATATGAAGTTCTTTCCTTCACTACCACAGGCCTCAAAGCGGTCCAAATCTCCACTTGCAGATTCTACAAAAAGAGTGTTTGCAAACTGCTCTATCAAAAGGAATGTTCAACTCTGGGAGTTGAATGCAATCATCACAGAGCAGTTTCTGAGAATGCTTCTATGTCGTTTTTAGGAGAAGATATTTCCTTTTCCAACACAGTCCTCCAAGCCCGCTAAATAGCCACTTGCACATTGTAGAAAAAGTGTGTCAAAGCTGCGCTATCAAAGGGAAAGTTCAACTCTGTGAGGTGAATGCAAACATCCCAAAGAAGTTTCTGAGAATGCTTCCGTTTAGCTTTTAGGTGAAGATTATCCCGTTTCCAACGAAACCTTCAAAGAGGTCCAAATATCCCCTTGCGGATCCCACAGAAAGAGTGTTTCGAAACTGCTGTTTCAAAAGGAATCTTCAACTCTGTGAGTTGAATGCAATCATCACAAAGAAGTTTCTGACAATGCTTCTCTCTCGTCTTTCTGTGAAGATAAAGGAAAAGGCTTTCAGGCCTTTTCCACCACAGGCCTGAAAGCGCTCCAAATGTCCACTTGCAGATTCTGCCAAAAGAATATTTCAAAACTGCTCTATGAAAAGCAATGTTAAACTCTGTGGCTCGAACACAAACATCACAAAGCGGTTTCTGAGAATGCTTCAGTTTAGTTTTTCTGTGGAAATATTCCCGTTTCCAAAGAAATCTTCAAAGAGGTCCACGTATCCACTTACAGATTCTACAAAAAGACAGTTTCAAAACTGCTCCATCAAAAGGAGGGTTCAACTGTGTGACTTGAATGCAATCATCACTCACAAGTTTCTGAGAATGCTTCTCTTTAGTTTTTAGGTGAACATATACCCGTTTCGAACGAAGGCCACCCAGTGGTCCAAATATCCACTTGCAGATTCTACAGAAAGAGTGTTTCGAACCTGAATCTCTCAAAGGCAGGTTCATCTCTGCGAGTTAAATGCATTCATCATGAAGAACTTTCTCAGAGTGTTTGTGTTTAGTTATGGGAAATTATTCCCGTTTCCAACGAAATCCTCAGAGAGCTCCAAATATCCACCTGCAGATTCTACCAAAAGTGTATTTGGAAACTGCTCCATCAAAAGGCATGTTCAGCTCTGTGAGTGAAACTCCATCATCACAAAGAATATTCTGAGAATGCTTCCGTTTGCCTTTTATATGAAGTTCCTTCCTATACGACCGTAGGCCTCAAAGCAGTCCAAATCTCCATTTGCAGATTCTACAAAAAGAGTGATTCCAATCTGCTGTATCAATAGGATTGTTCAACTCCATGAGTTGAAAGCCATCCTCACGAAGTAGTTTCTGAGAATGCTTCTATCTAGTTTTTATGTGAAGATATTTCCTTTTCCACCACAGGCCTCAAAGCCCTCCAAACGTCCACTTGCAGATTCTCGAAAAAGAGTGTTTCATAGCTGCTCTTTCAAAAGGAAAGTTCAACTCTGGGAGTTGAATACAAACATCACAAAGTAGTTTCCGAGAATGCTTCTGTTTAGTTGTTATGTGAAGATGATCCCGTTTCCAGTGAAATCTTCAAAGAGGTCCATATATCCCCTTGCAGATTCCAAAGAAAGAGGGTTTCAAAACTGCTCCATCAAAAGGATTGTGCAACTCTGTGAGTTGAATGCAGTCATCGCAGAAAACTTTCTGAGAATGCTTCTGTCTAGGTTTGATGTGAAGATATAGACGTTTCAAACGAAGGCTACAAAGTGGTCAAAATATACACTTGCAGATTCTACTACAAGGGTGATGCAAACCTCAACTATCAAAGGAAGGTTCAACTCTGTGAGTTGAATACAAACATCACAAAGAATGTTCTGAGTTTGCTTCCGTTCAGTTATGGGAAGTTGATCCCGTTTCCAACGAAATCCTCAGAGAGGTCCAAATATCCCCTTGCAGATTCTACAAAACGTGTGTTTGGAAACTGCTCCATCATAACGGATGTTCAGCTCTCTGAGTTAAACTCCATCGTCACAAAGAATTTTCTGAGAGTGCTACCGTCTGGTTTTTATATGAAGTTGTTTCCTTTACTACCACAGGCCTCAAAGCGGTCCAAATCTCCACTTGCAGATTCTACAAAAAGAGTGTTTGCAAACTGCTCTATCAAAAGGAATGTTCAACTCTGGGAGTTGAATGCAATCATCACAGAGCAGTTTCTGAGAATGCTTCTATGTCGTTTTTAGGAGAAGATATTTCCTTTTCCAACACAGTCCTCCAAGCCCGCTAAATATCCACTTGCACATTGTAGAAAAAGTGTGTCGAAGCTGCGCTATCAAAGGGAAAGTTCAACTCTGTGAGGTGAATGCAAACATCCCAAAGAAGTTTCTGAGAATGCTTCCGTTTAGCTTTTAGGTGAAGATTATCCCGTTTCCAACGAAACCTTCAAAGAGGTCCAAATATCCCCTTGCGGATCCCACAGAAAGAGTGTTTCGAAACTGCTGTTTCAAAAGGAATCTTCAACTCTGTGAGTTGAATGCAATCATCACAAAGAAGTTTCTGACAATGCTTCTCTCTCGTCTTTCTGTGAAGATAAAGGAAAAGGCTTTCAGGCCTTTTCCACCACAGGCCTGAAAGCGCTCCAAATGTCCACTTGCAGATTCTGCCAAAAGAATATTTCAAAACTGCTCTATGAAAAGCAATGTTAAACTCTGTGACTCGAACACAAACATCACAAAGCAGTTTCTGAGAATGCTTCAGTTTAGTTTTTCTGTGGAAATATTCCCGTTTTCAAAGAAATCTTCAAAGAGGTCCACGTATCCACTTACAGATTCTACAAAAAGACAGTTTCAAAACTGCTCCATCAAAAGGAGGGTTCAACTGTGTGACTTGAATGCAATCATCACTCAGAAGTTTCTGAGAATGCTTCTCTTTAGTTTTTACGTGAACATATACCCGTTTCGAACGAAGGCCACCCAGTGGTCCAAATATCCACTTGCAGATTCTACAGAAAGAGTGTTTCGAACCTGAACTCTCAAAGGCAGGTTCATCTCTGTTAGTTAAATGCATTCATCATGAAGAACTTTCTCAGAGTGTTTGTGTTTAGTTATGGGAAATTATTCCCGTTTCCAACGAAATCCTCAGAGAGCTCCAAATATCCACCTGCAGATTCTACCAAAAGTGTATTTGGAAACTGCTCCATCAAAAGGCATGTTCAGCTCTGTGAGTGAAACTCCATCATCACAAAGAATATTCTGAGAATGCTTCCGTTTGCCTTTTATCTGAAGTTCCTTCCTATACGACCGTAGGCCTCAAAGCAGTCCAAATCTCCATTTGCAGATTCTACAAAAAGAGTGATTCCAATCTGCTCTATCAATAGGATTGTTCAACTCCATGAGTTGAATGCCATCCTCACAAAGTCGTTTCTGAGAATGCTTCTATCTGGTTTTTGTGTGAAGATATTTCCTTTTCCACCACAGGCCTCAAAGCCCTCCAAACGTCCACTTGCAGATTCTCGAAAAAGAGTGTTTCATAGCTGCTCTTTCAAAAGGAAAGTTCAACTCTGGGAGTTGAATACAAACATCACAAAGTAGTTTCCGAGAATGCTTCTGTTTAGTTTTTATGTGAAGATGATCCCGTTTCCAGTGAAATCTTCAAAGAGGTCCACATATCCCCTTGCAGATTCCAAAGAAAGAGGGTTTCAAAACTGCTCCATCAGAAGGATTGTTCAACTCTGTGAGTTGAATGCAGTCATCGCAGAAAACTTTCTGAGAATGCTTCTGTCTAGGTTTGATGTGAAGATATAGACGTTTCAAACGAAGGCTACAAAGTGGTCAAAATATACACTTGCAGATTCTACTACAAGGGTGTTACAAACCTGAACTATCAAAGGATGGTTCAACTCTGTGAGTTGAATACAAACATCACAAAGAATGTTCTGAGTTTGCTTCCGTTCAGTTATGGGAAGTTGATCCCGTTTCCAACGAAATCCTCAGAGAGGTCCAAATATCCCCTCGCAGATTCTACAAAACGTGTTTTTGGAAACTGCTCCATCATAACGAATGTTCAGCTCCCTGAGTTAAACTCCATCGTCACAAAGAATTTTCTGAGAGTGCTACCGTCTGGTTTTTATATGAAGTTCTTTCCTTCACTACCACAGGCCTCAAAGCGGTCCAAATCTCCACTTGCAGATTCTACAAAAAGAGTGTTTGCAAACTGCTCTATCAAAAGGAATGTTCAACTCTGGGAGTTGAATGCAATCATCACAGAGCAGTTTCTGAGAATGCTTCTATGTCGTTTTTAGGAGAAGATATTTCCTTTTCCAACACTGTCCTCCAAGCCCGCTAAATAGCCACTTGCACATTGTAGAAAAAGTGTGTCAAAGCTGCGCTATCAAAGGGAAAGTTCAACTCTGTGAGGTGAATGCAAACATCCCAAAGAAGTTTCTGAGAATGCTTCCGTTTAGCTTTTAGGTGAAGATTATCCCGTTTCCAACGAAATCTTCAAAGAGGTCCAAATATCCCCTTGCGGATCCCACAGAAAGAGTGTTTCGAAACTGCTGTTTCAAAAGGAATCTTAAACTCTGTGAATTGAATGCAATCATCACAAAGAAGTTTCTGACAATGCTTCTCTCTCGTCTTTCTGTGAAGATAAAGGAAAAGGCTTTCAGGCCTTTTCCACCACAGGCCTGAAAGCGCTCCAAATGTCCACTTGCAGATTCTGTGAAAAGAATATTTCAAAACTGCTCTATGAAAAGCAATGTTAAACTCTGTGGCTCGAACACAAACATCACAAAGCGGTTTCTGAGAATGCTTCAGTTTAGTTTTTCTGTGGAGATATTCCCATTTCCAAAGAAATCTTCTAAGAGTTCCACATATCCACTTACATATTCTACAAAAAGACAGATTCAAAACTGCTCAATCAAAAGGAGGATTCAACCCTGTGACTTGAATCCAATCATCACACAGAAGTTTCTGAGAATGCTTCTCTTTAGTTTTTACGTGAACATATACCCATTTCGAACGAAGGCCACACAGTGGTCCAAATATCCACTTGCAGATTCTACAGAAAGAGTGTTTCAAACCTGAAATCTCAAAGGAAGGTTCATCTCTGTGAGTTAAATACATTCATCATGAAGAACTTTCTCAGACTGTTTGTGTTTAGATATGGGAAATTTCTCCCGTTTCCAACGAAATCCTTAGAGAGGTCCAAATATCCCCTTGCAGATTCTACCAAAAGTGTATTTGGAAACTGCTCCATCAAAAGACACGTTCAGCTCTGTTAGTTAAACTCCATCATCACAAAGAATATTCTGAGAATGCTTCCGTTTGCTTTTTTATGAATTTCCTTCCTATACTACCGTAGGCCTCAAAGCAGTCCAAATCTCCATTTGCAGATTCTACAAAAAGAGTGTTTCCAATCTGCTCTATCAATAGGATTGTTCAACTCCGTGAGTTGAATGCCATCGTCACAAATTAATTTCTGAGAATGCTTCTATCTAGTTTTTATGTGAAGATATTTCCTTTTCCACCACAGGCCTCAAAGCCCTCCAAACGTCCACTTGTAGATTCTCCAAAAAGAGTGTTTCATAGCTGCTCTTTCAAAAGGAATGTTCAACTCTGGCAGTTGAATGCAAACATCACAAAGTAGTTTCCGAGAATGCTTCCTGTTTAGTTTTTATGTGAAGATGATCCCGTTTCCAGTGAAATCTTCAAAGAGGTCCACATATCCCCTTGCAGATTCCAAAGAAAGAGGGTTTCAAAACTGCTCCATCAGAAGGATTGTTCAACTCTGTGAGTTGAATGCAGTCATCGCAGAAAACTTTCTGAGAATGCTTCTGTCTAGGTTTGATGTGAAGATATAGACGTTTCAAACGAAGGCTACAAAGTGGTCAAAATATACACTTGCAGATTCTACTACAAGGGTTTTGCAAACCTGAACTATCAAAGGAAGGTTCAACTCTGTGAGTTGAATACAAACATAACAAAGAATGTTCTGAGTTTGCTTCCGTTCAGTTATGGGAAGTTGATCCCGTTTCCAACGAAATCCTCAGAGAGGTCCAAATATCCCCTCGCAGATTCTACAAAACGTGTGTTTGGAAACTGCTCCATCATAACGAATGTTCAGCTCCCTGAGTTAAACTCCATCGTCACAAAGAATTTTCTGAGAGTGCTACCGTCTGGTTTTTATATGAAGTTCTTTCCTTCACTACCACAGGCCTCAAAGCGGTCCAAATCTCCACTTGCAGATTCTACAAAAAGAGTGTTTGCAAACTGCTCTATCAAAAGGAATGTTCAACTCTGGGAGTTGAATGCAATCATCACAGAGCAGTTTCTGAGAATGCTTCTATGTCGTTTTTAGGAGAAGATATTTCCTTTTCCAACACAGTCCTCCAAGCCCGCTAAATAGCCACTTGCACATTGTAGAAAAAGTGTGTCGAAGCTGCGCTATCAAAGGGAAAGTTCAACTCTGTGAGGTGAATGCAAACATCCCAAAGAAGTTTCTGAGAATGCTTCCGTTTAGCTTTTAGGTGAAGATTATCCCGTTTCCAACGAAACCTTCAAAGAGGTCCAAATATCCCCTTGCGGATCCCACAGAAAGAGTGTTTCGAAACTGCTGTTTCAAAAGGAATCTTCAACTCTGTGAGTTGAATGCAACCATCACAAAGAAGTTTCTGACAATGCTTCTCTCTCGTCTTTCTGTGAAGATAAAGGAAAAGGCTTTCAGGCCTTTGCCACCACAGGCCTGAAAGCGCTCCAAATGTCCACTTGCAGATTCTGCGAAAAGAATATTTCAAAACTGCTCTATGAAAAGCAATGTTAAACTCTGTGGCTCGAACACAAACATCACAAAGCGGTTTCTGAGAATGCTTCAGTTTAGTTTTTCTGTGGAAATATTCCCGTTTCCAAAGAAATCTTCAAAGAGGTCCACGTATCCACTTACAGATTCTACAAAAAGACAGTTTCAAAACTGCTCCATCAAAAGGAGGGTTCAACTGTGTGACTTGAATGCAATCATCACTCAGAAGTTTCTGAGAATGCTTCTCTTTAGTTTTTACGTGAACATATACCCGTTTCGAACGAAGGCCAGCCAGTGGTCCAAATATCCACTTGCAGATTCTACAGAAAGAGTGTTTCGAACCTGAACTCTCAAAGGCAGGTTCATCTCTGCGAGTTAAATGCATTCATCATGAAGAACTTTCTCAGAGTGTTTGTGTTTAGTTATGGGAAATTATTCCCGTTTCCAACGAAATCCTCAGAGAGCTCCAAATATCCACCTGCAGATTCTACCAAAAGTGTATTTGGAAACTGCTCCATCAAAAGGCATGTTCAGCTCTGTGAGTGAAACTCCATCATCACAAAGAATATTCTGAGAATGCTTCCGTTTGCCTTTTATATGAAGTTCCTTCCTATACGACCGTAGGCCTCAAAGCAGTCCAAATCTCCATTTGCAGATTCTACAAAAAGAGTGATTCCAATCTGCTCTATCAATAGGATTGTTCAACTCCATGAGTTGAATGCCATCCTCACAAAGTCGTTTCTGAGAATGCTTCTATCTAGTTTTTATGTGAAGATATTTCCTTTTCCACCACAGGCCTCAAAGCCCTCCAAACGTCCACTTGCAGATTCTCGAAAAAGAGTGTTTCATAGCTGCTCTTTCACAAGGAAAGTTCAACTCTGGGAGTTGAATACAAACTTCACAAAGTAGTTTCCGAGAATGCTTCTGTTTAGTTCTTATGTGAAGATGATCCCGTTTCCAGTGAAATCTTCAAAGAGGTCCACATATCCCCTTGCAGATTCCAAAGAAAGAGGGTTTCAAAACTGCTCCATCAAAAGGATTGTTCAACTCTGTGAGTTGAATGCAGTCATCGCAGAAAACTTTCTGAGAATGCTTCTGTCTAGGTTTGAGGTGAAGATATAGACGTTTCAAACGAAGGCTACAAAGTGGTCAAAATATACACTTGCAGATTCTACTACAAGGGTGTTGCAAACTTCAACTATCAAAGGAAGGTTCAACTCTGTGAGTTGAATACAAACATCACAAAGAATGTTCTGAGTTTGCTTCCGTTCAGTTATGGGAAGTTGATCCCGTTTCCAACGAAATCCTCAGAGAGGTCCAAATATCCCCTTGCAGATTCTACAAAACGTGTGTTTGGAAACTGCTCCATCATAACGAATGTTCAGCTCTCTGAGTTAAACTCCATCGTCACAAAGAATTTTCTGAGAGTGCTACCGTCTGGTTTTTATATGAAGTTCTTTCCTTTACTACCACAGGCCTCAAAGCGGTCCAAATCTCCACTTGCAGATTCTACAAAAACAGTGTTTGCAAACTGCTCTATCAAAAGGAATGTTCAACTCTGGGAGTTGAATGCAATCATCACAGAGCAGTTTCTGAGAATGCTTCTATGTCGTTTTTAGGAGAAGATATTTCCTTTTCCAACACAGTCCTCCAAGCCCGCTAAATATCCACTTGCACATTGTAGAAAAAGTGTGTCGAAGCTGCGCTATCAAAGGGAAAGTTCAACTCTGTGAGGTGAATGCAAACATCCCAAAGAAGTTTCTGAGAATGCTTCCGTTTAGCTTTTAGGTGAAGATTATCCCGTTTCCAAAGAAACCTTCAAAGAGGTCCAAATATCCCCTTGCGGATCCCACAGAAAGAGTGTTTCGAAACTGCTGTTTCAAAAGGACTCTTCAACTCTGTGAGTTGAATGCAATCATCACAAAGAAGTTTCTGACAATGCTTCTCTCTCGTCTTTCTGTGAAGATAAAGGAAAAGGCTTTCAGGCCTTTTCCACCACAGGCCTGAAAGCACTCCAAATGTCCACTTGCAGATTCTGCCAAAACAATATTTCAAAACTGCTCTATGAAAAGCAATGTTAAACTCTGCGGCTCGAACACAAACATCACAAAGCGGTTTCTGAGAATGCTTCAGTTTAGTTTTTCTGTGGAAATATTCCCGTTTCCAAAGAAATCTTCAAAGAGGTCCACGTATCCATTTACAGATTCTACAAAAAGACAGTTTCAAAACTGCTCAATCAAAAGGAGGGTTCAACCGTGTGACTTGAATGCAATCATCAGTCAGAAGTTTCTGAGAATGCTTCTCTTTAGTTTTTACGTGAACATATACCCGTTTCGAACGAAGGCCACCCAGTGGTCCAAATATCCACTTGCAGATTCTACAGAAAGAGTGTTTCGAACCTGAACTCTCAAAGGCAGGTTCATCTCTGCGAGTTCAATGCATTCAACATGAAGAACTTTCTCAGCGTGTTTGTGTTTAGTTATGGGAAATTATTGCCGTTTCCAACGAAATCCTCAGAGAGGTCCAAATATCCACCTGCAGATTCTACCAAAAGTGTATTTGGAAACTGCTCCATCAAAAGGCATGTTCAGCTCTGTGAGTGAAACTCCATCATCACAAAGAATATTCTGAGAATGCTTCCGTTTGCCTTTTATATGAAGTTCCTTCCTATACTACCGTAGGCCTCAAAGCAGTCCAAATCTCCATTTGCAGATTCTACAAAAAGAGTGATTCCAATCTGCTCTATCAATAGGATTGTTCAACTCCATGAGTTGAAGGTCATCCTCACAAAGTCGTTTCTGAGAATGCTTCTATCTAGTTTTTATGTGAAGATATTTCCTTTTCCACCACAGGCCTCAAAGCCCTCCAAACGTCCACTTGCAGATTCTCGAAAAAGAGTGTTTCATAGCTGCTCTTTCAAAAGGAAAGTTCAACTCTGAGAGTTGAATACAAACATCACAAAGTAGTTTCCGAGAATGCTTCTGTTTAGTTCTTATGTGAAGATGATCCCGTTTCCAGTGAAATCTTCAAAGAGGTCCACATATCCCCTTGCAGATTCCAAAGAAAGAGGGTTTCAAAACTGCTCCATCAAAAGGATTGTTCAACTCTGTGAGTTGAATGCAGTCATCGCAGAAAACTTTCTGAGAATGCTTCTGTCTAGGTTTGAGGTGAAGATATAGACGTTTCAAACGAAGGCTACAAAGTGGTCAAAATATACACTTGCAGATTCTACTACAAGGGTGTTGCAAACCTCAACTATCAAAGGAAGGTTCAACTCTGTGAGTTGAATACAAACATCACAAAGAATGTTCTGAGTTTGCTTCCGTTCAGTTATGGGAAGTTGATCCCGTTTCCAACGAAATCCTCAGAGAGGTCCAAATATCCCCTTGCAGATTCTACAAAACGTGTGTTTGGAAACTGCTCCATCATAACGAATGTTCAGCTCTCTGAGTTAAACTCCATCGTCACAAAGAATTTTCTGAGAGTGCTACCGTCTGGTTTTTATATGAAGTTCTTTCCTTTACTACCACAGGCCTCAAAGCGGTCCAAATCTCCACTTGCAGATTCTACAAAAAGAGTGTTTGCAAACTGCTCTATCAAAAGGAATGTTCAACTCTGGGAGTTGAATGCAATCATCACAGAGCAGTTTCTGAGAATGCTTCTATGTCGTTTTTAGGAGAAGATATTTCCTTTTCCAACACAGTCCTCCAAGCCCGCTAAATATCCACTTGCACATTGTAGAAAAAGGGTGTCGAAGCTGCGCTATCAAAGGGAAAGTTCAACTCTGTGAGGTGAATGCAAACATCCCAAAGAAGTTTCTGAGAATGCTTCCGTTTAGCTTTTAGGTGAAGATTATCCCGTTTCCAACGAAATCTTCAAAGAGGTCCAAATATCCCCTTGCGGATCCCACAGAAAGAGTGTTTCGAAACTGCTGTTTCAAAAGGAATCTTCAACTCTGTGAGTTGAATGCAATCATCACAAAGAAGTTTCTGACAATGCTTCTCTCTCGTCTTTCTGTGAAGATAAAGGAAAAGGCTTTCAGGCCTTTTCCACCACAGGCCTGAAAGCGCTCCAAATGTCCACTTGCAGATTCTGCCAAAAGAATATTTCAAAACTGCTCTATGAAAAGCAATGTTAAACTCTGTGGCTCGAACACAAACATCACAAAGCCGTTTCTGAGAATGCTTCAGTTTACTTTTTCTGTGGAAGTATTCCCGTTTCCAAAGAAATCTTCAAAGAGGTCCACGCATCCACTTACAGATTCTACAAAAAGACAGTTTCAAAACTGCTCAATCAAAAGGAGGGTTCAACTGTGAGACTTGAATGCAATCATCACTCAGAAGTTTCTGAGAACGCTTCTCTTTAGTTTTTACGTGAACATATACCCGTTTCGAACGAAGGCCACCCTGTGGTCCAAATATCCACTTGCAGATTCTACAGAAAGAGTGTTTCGAACCTGAACTCTCAAAGGCAGGTTCATCTCTGCGAGTTAAATGCATTCATCATGAAGAACTTTCTCAGCGTGTTTGTGTTTAGTTATGGGAAATTATTCCCGTTTCCAACGAAATCCTCAGAGAGGTCCAAATATCCACCTGCAGATTCTACCAAAAGTGTATTTGGAAACTGCTCCATCAAAAGGCATGTTCAGCTCTGTGAGTGAAACTCCATCATCACAAAGAATATTCTGAGAATGCTTCCGTTTGCCTTTTATATGAAGTTCCTTCCTATACTACCGTAGGCCTCAAAGCAGTCCAAATCTCCATTTGCAGATTCTACAAAAAGAGTGATTCCAATCTGCTCTATCAATAGGATTGTTCAACTCCATGAGTTGAATGCCATCCTCACAAAGTCGTTTCTGAGAATGCTTCTATCTAGTTTTTATGTGAAGATATTTCCTTTTCCACCACAGGCCTCAAAGCCCTCCAAACGTCCACTTTCAGATTCTCGAAAAAGAGTGTTTCATAGCTGCTCTTTCAAAAGGAAAGTTCAACTCTGGGAGTTGAATACAAACATCACAAAGTAGTTTCCGAGAATGCTTCTGTTTAGTTTTTATGTGAAGATGATCCCGTTTCCAGTGAAATCTTCAAAGAGGTCCACATATCCCCTTGCAGATTCCAAAGAAAGAGGGTTTCAAAACTGCTCCATCAGAAGGATTGTTCAACTCTGTGAGTTGAATGCAGTCATCGCAGAAAACTTTCTGAGAATGCTTCTGTCTAGGTTTGACGTGAAGATATAGACGTTTCAAACGAAGGCTACAAAGTGGTCAAAATATACACTTGCAGATTCTACTACAAGGGTGTTGCAAACCTGAACTATCAAAGGAAGGTTCAACTCTGTGAGTTGAATACAAACATCACAAAGAATGTTCTGAGTTTGCTTCCGTTCAGTTATGGGAAGTTGATCCCGTTTCCAACGAAATCCTCAGAGAGGTCCAAATATCCCCTCGCAGATTCTACAAAACGTGTGTTTGGAAACTGCTCCATCATAACGAATGTTCAGCTCCCTGAGTTAAACTCCATCGTCACAAAGAATTTTCTGAGAGTGCTACCGTCTGGTTTTTATATGAAGTTCTTTCCTTCACTACCACAGGCCTCAAAGCGGTCCAAATCTCCACTTGCAGATTCTACAAAAAGAGTGTTTGCAAACTGCTGTATCAAAAGGAATGTTCAACTCTGGGAGTTGAATGCAATCATCACAGAGCAGTTTCTGAGAATGCTTCTATGTCGTTTTTAGGAGAAGATATTTCCTTTTCCAACACAGTCCTCCAAGCCCGCTAAATAGCCACTTGCACATTGTAGAAAAAGTGTGTCAAAGCTGCGCTATCAAAGGGAAAGTTCAACTCTGTGAGGTGAATGCAAACATCCCAAAGAAGTTTCTGAGAATGCTTCCGTTTAGCTTTTAGGTGAAGATTATCCCGTTTCCAACGAAACCTTCAAAGAGGTCCAAATATCCCCTTGCGGATCCCACAGAAAGAGTGTTTCGAAACTGCTGTTTCAAAAGGAAAATCAACTCTGTGAGTTGAATGCAATCATCACAAAGAAGTTTCTGACAATGCTTCTCTCTCGTCTTTCTGTGAAGATAAAGGAAAAGGCTTTCAGGCCTTTTCCACCACAGGCCTGAAAGCGCTCCAAATGTCCACTTGCAGATTCTGCCAAAAGAATATTTCAAAACTGCTCTATGAAAAGCAATGTTAAACTCTGTGGCTCGAACACAAACATCACAAAGCGGTTTCTGAGAATGCTTCAGTTTAGTTTTTCTGTGGAAATATTCCCGTTTCCAAAGAAATCTTCAAAGAGGTCCACGTATCCACTTACAGATTCTACAAAAAGACAGTTTCAAAACTGCTCCATCAAAAGGAGTGTTCAACTGTGTGACTTGAATGCAATCATCACTCAGAAGTTTCTGAGAATGCTTCTCTTTAGTTTTTACGTGAACATATACCCGTTTCGAACGAAGGCCACCCAGTGGTCCAAATATCCACTTGCAGATTCTACAGAAAGAGTGTTTCGAACCTGAACTCTCAAAGGCAGGTTCATCTCTGCGAGTTAAATGCATTCATCATGAAGAACTTTCTCAGAGTGTTTGTGCTTAGTTATGGGAAATTATTCCCGTTTCCAACGAAATCCTCAGAGTGGTCCAAATATCCACCTGCAGATTCTACCAAAAGTGTATTTGGAAACTGCTCCATCAAAAGGCATGTTCAGCTCTGTGAGTGAAACTCCATCATCACAAAGAATATTCTGAGAATGCTTCCGTTTGCCTTTTATCTGAAGTTCCTTCCTATACGACCGTAGGCCTCAAAGCAGTCCAAATCTCCATTTGCAGATTCTACAAAAAGAGTGATTCCAATCTGCTCTATCAATAGGATTGTTCAACTCCATGAGTTGAATGCCATCCTCCAAAGTCGTTTCTGAGAATGCTTCTATCTAGTTTTTATGTGAAGATATTTCCTTTTCCACCACAGGCCTCAAAGCCCTCCAAACGTCCACTTGCAGATTCTCGAAAAAGAGTGTTTCATAGCTGCTCTTTCAAAAGGAAAGTTCAACTCTGGGAGTTGAATACAAACATCACAAAGTAGTTTCCGAGAATGCTTCTGTTTAGTTTTTATGTGAAGATGATCCCGTTTCCAGTGAAATCTTCAAAGAGGTCCACATATCCCCTTGCAGATTCCAAAGAAAGAGGGTTTCAAAACTGCTCCATCAGAAGGATTGTTCAACTCTGTGAGTTGAATGCAGTCATCGCAGAAAACTTTCTGAGAATGCTTCTGTCTAGGTTTGATGTGAAGATATAGACGTTTCAAACGAAGGCTACAAAGTGGTCAAAATATACACTTGCAGATTCTACTACAAGGGTGTTGCAAACCTGAACTATCAAAGGAAGGTTCAACTCTGTGAGTTGAATACAAACATCACAAAGAATGTTCTGAGTTTGCTTCCGTTCAGTTATGGGAAGTTGATCCCGTTTCCAACGAAATCCTCAGAGAGGTCCAAATATCCCCTCGCAGATTCTACAAAACGTGTGTTTGGAAACTGCTCCATCATAACGAATGTTCAGCTCCCTGAGTTAAACTCCATCGTCACAAAGAATTTTCTGAGAGTGCTACCGTCTGGTTTTTATATGAAGTTCTTTCCTTCACTACCACAGGCCTCAAAGCGGTCCAAATCTCCACTTGCAGATTCTACAAAAAGAGTGTTTGCAAACTGCTCTATCAAAAGGAATGTTCAACTCTGGGAGTTGAATGCAATCATCACAGAGCAGTTTCTGAGAATGCTTCTATGTCGTTTTTAGGAGAAGATATTTCCTTTTCCAACACTGTCCTCCAAGCCCGCTAAATAGCCACTTGCACATTGTAGAAAAAGTGTGTCAAAGCTGCGCTATCAAAGGGAAAGTTCAACTCTGTGAGGTGAATGCAAACATCCCAAAGAAGTTTCTGAGAATGCTTCCGTTTATCTTTTAGGTGAAGATTATCCCGTTTCCAACGAAACCTTCAAAGAGGTCCAAATATCCCCTTGCGGATCCCACAGAAAGAGTGTTTCGAAACTGCTGTTTCAAAAGGAAAATCAACTCTGTGAGTTGAATGCAATCATCACAAAGAAGTTTCTGACAATGCTTCTCTCTCGTCTTTCTGTGAAGATAGAGGAAAAGGCTTTCAGGCCTTTTCCACCACAGGCCTGAAAGCGCTCCAAATGTCCACTTGCAGATTCTGCCAAAAGAATATTTCAAAACTGCTCTATGAAAAGCAATGTTAAACTCTGTGGCTCGAACACAAACATCACAAAGCAGTTTCAGAGAATGCTTCAGTTTAGTTTTTCTGTGGAAATATTCCCGTTTCCAAAGAAATCTTCAAAGAGGTCCACGTATCCACTTACAGATTCTACAAAAAGACAGTTTCAAAACTGCTCCATCAAAAGGAGGGTTCAACTATGTGACTTGAATGCAATCATCACTCAGAAGTTTCTGAGAATGCTTCTTTTTAGTTTTTATGTGAACATATACCCGTTTCGAACGAAGGCCACCCAGTGGTCCAAATATCCACTTGCAGATTCTACAGAAAGAGTGTTTCGAACCTGAACTCTCAAAGGCAGGTTCATCTCTGCGAGTTAAATGCATTCATCATGAAGAACTTTCTCAGAGTGTTTGTGTTTAGTTATGGGAAATTATTCCCGTTTCCAACGAAATCCTCAGAGAGCTCCAAATATCCACCTGCAGATTCTACCAAAAGTGTATTTGGAAACTGCTCCATCAAAAGGCATGTTCAGCTCTGTGAGTGAAACTCCATCATCACAAAGAATATTCTGAGAATGCTTCCGTTTGCCTTTTATCTGAAGTTCCTTCCTATACGACCGTAGGCCTCAAAGCAGTCCAAATCTCCATTTGCAGATTTTACAAAAAGAGTGATTCCAATCTGCTCTATCAATAGGATTGTTCAACTCCATGAGTTGAATGCCATCCTCACAAAGTCGTTTCTGAGAATGCTTCTATCTAGTTTTTATGTGAAGATATTTCCTTTTCCACCACAGGCCTCAAAGCCTTCCAAACGTCCACTTGCAGATTCTCGAAAAAGAGTGTTTCATAGCTGCTCTTTCAAAAGGAAAGTTCAACTCTGGGAGTTGAATACAAACATCACAAAGTAGTTTCCGAGAATGCTTCTGCTAAGTTCTTATGTGAAGATGATCCCGTTTCCAGTGAAATCTTCAAAGAGGTCCACATATCCCCTTGCAGATTCCAAAGAAAGAGGGTTTCAAAACTGCTCCATCAAAAGGATTGTTCAACTCTGTGAGTTGAATGCAGTCATCGCAGAAAACTTTCTGAGAATGCTTCTGTCTAGGTTTGATGTGAAGATATAGACGTTTCAAACGAAGGCTACAAAGTGGTCAAAATATACACTTGCAGATTCTACTACAAGGGTGTTGCAAACCTGAACTATCAAAGGAAGGTTCAACTCTGTGAGTTGAATACAAACATCACAAAGAATGTTACGAAGTTTGCTCCGTTCAGTTATGGGAAGTTGATCCCGTTTCCAACGAAATCCTCAGAGAGGTCCAAATATCCCCTTGCAGATTCTACAAAACGTGTGTTTGGAAACTGCTCCATCATAACGAATGTTCAGCTCTGCTGAGTTAAACTCCATCGTCACAAAGAATTTTCTGAGAGTGCTAACCGTCTGGTTTTTATATGAAGTTCTTTCCTTCACTACCACAGGCCTCAAAGCGGTCCAAATCTCCACTTGCAGATTCTACAAAAAGAGTGTTTGCAAACTGCTCTATCAAAAGGAATGTTCAACTCTGGGAGTTGAATGCAATCATCACAGAGCAGTTTCTGCGAATGCTTCTATGTCGTTTTTAGAAGATATTTCCTTTTCCAACACAGTCCTCCAAGCCCGCTAAATAGCCACTTGCACATTGTAGAAAAAGTGTGTCAAAGCTGCGCTATCAAAGGGAAAGTTCAACTCTGTGAGGTGAATGCAAACATCCCAAAGAAGTTTCTGAGAATGCTTCCGTTTAGCTTTTAGGTGAAGATTATCCCGTTTCCAACGAAACCTTCAAAGAGGTCCAAATATCCCCTTGCGGATCCCACAGAAAGAGTGTTTCGAAACAGCTGTTTCAAAAGGAATCTTCAACTCTGTGAGTTGAATGCAATCATCACAAAGAAGTTTCTGACAATGCTTCTCTCTCGTCTTTCTGTGAAGATAAAGGAAAAGGCTTTCAGGCCTTTGCCACCACAGGCCTGAAAGCGCTCCAAATGTCCACTTGCAGATTCTGCGAAAAGAATATTTCAAAACTGCTCTATGAAAAGCAATGTTAAACTCTGTGGCTCGAACACAAACATCACAAAGCGGTTTTTGAGAATGTTTCAGTTTAGTTTTTCTGTGGAAATATTCCCGTTTCCAAAGAAATCTTCAAAGAGGTCCACGTATCCACTTACAGATTCTACAAAAAGACAGTTTCAAAACTGCTCCATCAAAAGGAGGGTTCAACTGTGTGACTTGAATGCAATCATCACTCAGAAGTTTCTGAGAATGCTTCTCTTTAGTTTTTACGTGAACATATACCCGTTTCGAACGAAGGCCAGCCAGTGGTCGAAATATCCACTTGCAGATTCTACAGAAAGAGTGTTTCGAACATGAACTCTCAAAGGCAGGTTCATCTCTGCGAGTTAAATGCATTCATCATGAAGAACTTTCTCAGAGTGTTTGTGTTTAGTTATGGGAAATTATTCCCGTTTCCAACGAAATCCTCAGAGAGCTCCAAATATCCACCTGCAGATTCTACCAAAAGTGTATTTGGAAACTGCTCCATCAAAAGGCATGTTCAGCTCTGTGAGTGAAACTCCATCATCACAAAGAATATTCTGAGAATGCTTCCGTTTGCCTTTTATATGAAGTTCCTTCCTATACGACCGTAGGCCTCAAAGCAGTCCAAATCTCCATTTGCAGATTCTACAAAAAGAGTGATTCCAATCTGCTCTATCAATAGGATTGTTCAACTCCATGAGTTGAATGCCATCCTCACAAAGTCGTTTCTGAGAATGCTTTCTATCTAGTTTTTATGTGAAGATATTTCCTTTTCCACCACAGGCCTCAAAGCCCTCCAATCGTCCACTTGCAGATTCTCGAAAAAGAGTGTTTCATAGCTGCTCTTTCAAAAGGAAAGTTCAACTCTGGGAGCTGAATACAAACATCACAAAGTAGTTTCCGAGAATGCTTCTGTTTAGTTTTTATGTGAAGATGATCCCGTTTCCAGTGAAATCTTCAAAGAGGTCCACATATCCCCTTGCAGATTCCAAAGAAAGAGGGTTTCAAAACTGCTCCATCAGAAGGATTGTTCAACTCTGTGAGTTGAATGCAGTCATCGCAGAAAACTTTCTGAGAATGCTTCTGTCTAGGTTTGATGTGAAGATATAGACGTTTCAAATGAAGGCTACAAAGTGGTCAAAATATACACTTGCAGATTCTACTACAAGGGTGTTGCAAACCTGAACTATCAAAGGAAGGTTCAACTCTGTGAGTTGAATACAAACATCACAAAGAATGTTCTGAGTTTGCTTCCGTTCAGTTATGGGAAGTTGATCCCGTTTCCAACGAAATCCTCAGAGAGGTCCAAATATCCCCTTGCAGATTCTACAAAACGTGTGTTTGGAAACTGCTCCATCATAACGAATGTTCAGCTCCCTGAGTTAAACTCCATCGTCACAAAGAATTTTCTGAAAGTGCTACCGTCTGGTTTTTATATGAAGTTCTTTCCTTCACTACCACAGGCCTCAAAGCGGTCCAAATCTCCACTTGCAGATTCTACAAAAAGAGTGTTTGCAAACTGCTCTATCAAAAGGAATGTTCAACTCTGGGAGTTGAATGCAATCATCACAGAGCAGTTTCTGAGAATGCTTCTATGTCGTTTTTAGGAGAAGATATTTCCTTTTCCAACACAGTCCTCCAAGCCCGCTAAAGATCCACTTGCACATTGTAGAAAAAGTGTGTCAAAGCTGCGCTATCAAAGGGAAAGTTCAACTCTGTGAGGTGAATGCAAACATCCCAAAGAAGTTTCTGAGAATGCTTCCGTTTAGCTTTTAGGTGAAGATTATCCCGTTTCCAACGAAACCTTCAA
Organism: Homo sapiens; assembly: GCF_000001405.40. Taxonomy (NCBI): domain Eukaryota; kingdom Metazoa; phylum Chordata; class Mammalia; order Primates; family Hominidae; genus Homo; species Homo sapiens. The sequence continues at coordinate 59,314,477 of NC_000023.11, read as the reverse complement.
AGAGGTCCAAATATCCCCTTGCGGATCCCACAGAAAGAGTGTTTCGAAACTGCTGTTTCAAAAGGAATCTTCAACTCTGTGAGTTGAATGCAATCATCACAAAGAAGTTTCTGACAATGCTTCTCTCTCGTCTTTCTGTGAAGATAAAGGAAAAGGCTTTCAGGCCTTTTCCACCACAGGCCTGAAAGCGCTCCAAATGTCCACTTGCAGATTCTGCCAAAAGAATATTTCAAAACTGCTCTATGAAAAGCAATGTTAAACTCTGTGGCTCGAACACAAACATCACAAAGCGGTTTCTGAGAATGCTTCAGTTTAGTTTTTCTGTGGAAATATTCCCGTTTCCAAAGAAATCTTCAAAGAGGTCCACGTATCCACTTACAGATTCTACAAAAAGACAGTTTCAAAACTGCTCCATCAAAAGGAGGGTTCAACCGTGTGACTTGAATGCAATCATCACTCAGAAGTTTCTGAGAATGCTTCTCTTTAGTTTTTACGTGAACATATACCCGTTTCGAACGAAGGCCAGCCAGTGGTCCAAATATCCACTTGCAGATTCTACAGAAAGAGTGTTTCGAACCTGAACTCTCAAAGGCAGGTTCATCTCTGCGAGTTAAATGCATTCATCATGAAGAACTTTCTCAGCGTGTTTGTGTTTAGTTATGGGAAATTATTCCCGTTTCCAAAGAAATCCTCAAAGAGCTCCAAATATCCACCTGCAGATTCTACCAAAAGTGTATTTGGAAACTGCTCCATCAAAAGGCATGTTCAGCTCTGTGAGTGAAACTCCATCATCACAAAGAATATTCTGAGAATGCTTCCGTTTGCCTTTTATCTGAAGTTCCTTCCTATACGACCGTAGGCCTCAAAGCAGTCCAAATCTCCATTTGCAGATTCTACAAAAAGAGTGATTCCAATCTGCTCTATCAATAGGATTGTTCAACTCCATGAGTTGAATGCCATCCTCACAAAGTAGTTTCTGAGAATGCTTCTATCTAGTTTTTATGTGAAGATATTTCCTTTTCCACCACAGGCCTCAAAGCCCTCCAAACGTCCACTTGCAGATTCTCGAAAAAGAGTGTTTCATAGCTGCTCTTTCAAAAGGAAAGTTCAACTCTGGGAGTTGAATACAAACATCACAAAGTAGTTTCCGAGAATGCTTCTGTTTAGTTTTTATGTGAAGTTGATCCCGTTTCCAGTGAAATCTTCAAAGAGGTCCACATATCCCCTTGCAGATTCCAAAGAAAGAGGGTTTCAAAACTGCTCCATCAGAAGGATTGTTCAACTCTGTGAGTTGAATGCAGTCATCGCAGAAAACTTTCTGAGAATGCTTCTGTCTAGGTTTGATGTGAAGATATAGACGTTTCAAACGAAGGCTACAAAGTGGTCAAAATATACACTTGCAGATTCTACTACAAGGGTGTTGCAAACCTGAACTATCAAAGGAAGGTTCAACTCTGTGAGTTGAATACAAACATCACAAAGAATGTTCTGAGTTTGCTTCCGTTCAGTTATGGGAAGTTGATCCCGTTTCCAACGAAATCCTCAGAGAGGTCCAAATATCCCCTTGCAGATTCTACAAAACGTGTGTTTGGAAACTGCTCCATCATAACGAATGTTCAGCTCCCTGAGTTAAACTCCATCGTCACAAAGAATTTTCTGAGAGTGCTACCGTCTGGTTTTTATATGAAGTTCTTTCCTTCACTACCACAGGCCTCAAAGCGGTCCAAATCTCCACTTGCAGATTCTACAAAAAGAGTGTTTGCAAACTGCTCTATCAAAAGGAATGTTCAACTCTGGGAGTTGAATGCAATCATCACAGAGCAGTTTCTGAGAATGCTTCTATGTCGTTTTTAGGAGAAGATATTTCCTTTTCCAACACAGTCCTCCAAGCCCGCTAAATAGCCACTTGCACATTGTAGAAAAAGTGTGTCAAAGCTGCGCTATCAAAGGGAAAGTTCAACTCTGTCAGGTGAATGCAAACATCCCAAAGAAGTTTCTGAGAATGCTTCCGTTTAGCTTTTAGGTGAAGATTATCCCGTTTCCAACGAAACCTTCAAAGAGGTCCAAATATCCCCTTGCGGATCCCACAGAAAGAGTGTTTCGAAACTGCTGTTTCAAAAGGAATCTTCAACTCTGTGAGTTGAATGCAATCATCACAAAGAAGTTTCTGACAATGCTTCTCTCTCGTCTTTCTGTGAAGATAAAGGAAAAGGCTTTCAGGCCTTTTCCACCACAGGCCTGAAAGCGCTCCAAATGTCCACTTGCAGATTCTGTGAAAAGAATATTTCAAAACTGCTCTATGAAAAGCAATGTTAAACTCTGTGGCTCGAACACAAACATCACAAAGCAGTTTCTGAGAATACTTCAGTTTAGTTTTTCTGTGGAAATATTCCCGTTTCCAAAGAAATCTTCAAAGAGGTCCACGTATCCACTTACAGATTCTACAAAAAGACAGTTTCAAAACTGCTCCATCAAAAGGAGGGTTCAACCGTGTGACTTGAATGCAATCATCACTCAGAAGTTTCTGAGAATGCTTCTCTTTAGTTTTTACGTGAGCATATACCCGTTTCGAACGAAGGCCACCCAGTGGTCCAAATATCCACTTGCAGATTATACAGAAAGAGTGTTTCGAACCTGAACTCTCAAAGGCAGGTTCATCTCTGCGAGTTAAATGCATTCATCATGAAGAACTTTCTCAGAGTGTTTGTGTTTAGTTATGGGAAATTATTCCCGTTTCCAACGAAATCCTCTGAGAGCTCCAAATATCCACCTGCAGATTCTACCAAAAGTGTATTTGGAAACTGCTCCATCAAAAGGCATGTTCAGCTCTGTGAGTGAAACTCCATCATCACAAAGAATATTCTGAGAATGCTTCCGTTTGCCTTTTATATGAAGTTCCTTCCTGTACTACCGTAGGCCTCAAAGCAGTCCAAATCTCCATTTGCAGATTCTATAAAAAGAGTGATTCCAATCTGCTCTATCAATAGGATTGTTCAACTCCATGAGTTGAATGCCATCCTCACAAAGTAGTTTCTGAGAATGCTTCTATCTGGTTTTTGTGTGAAGATATTTCCTTTTCCACCACAGGCCTCAAAGCCCTCCAAACGTCCACTTGCAGATTCTCGAAAAAGAGTGTTTCATAGCTGCTCTTTCAAAAGGAAAGTTCAACTCTGGGAGTTGAATACAAACATCACAAAGTAGTTTCCGAGAATGCTTCTGTTTAGTTTTTATGTGAAGATGATCCCGTTTCCAGTGAAATCTTCAAACAGGTCCACATATCCCCTTGCAGATTCCAAAGAAAGAGGGTTTCAAAACTGCTCCATCAGAAGGATTGTTCAACTCTGTGAGTTGAATGCAGTCATCGCAGAAAACTTTCTGAGAATGCTTCTGTCTAGGTTTGATGTGAAGATATAGACGTTTCAAACGAAGGCTACAAAGTGGTCAAAATATACACTTGCAGATTCTACTACAAGGGTGTTGCAAACCTGAACTATCAAAGGAAGGTTCAACTCTGTGAGTTGAATACAAACATCACAAAGAATGTTCTGAGTTTGCTTCCGTTCAGTTATGGGAAGTTGATCCCGTTTCCAACGAAATCCTCAGAGAGGTCCAAATATCCCCTCACAGATTCTACAAAACGTGTGTTTGGAAACTGCTCCATCATAACGAATGTTCAGCTCCCTGAGTTAAACTCCATCGTCACAAAGAATTTTCTGAGAGTGCTACCGTCTGGTTTTTATATGAAGTTCTTTCCTTCACTACCACAGGCCTCAAAGCGGTCCAAATCTCCACTTGCAGATTCTACAAAAAGAGTGTTTGCAAACTGCTCTATCAAAAGGAATGTTCAACTCTGGGAGTTGAATGCAATCATCACAGAGCAGTTTCTGAGAATGCTTCTATGTCGTTTTTAGGAGAAGATATTTCCTTTTCCAACACAGTCCTCCAAGCCCGCTAAATAGCCACTTGCACATTGTAGAAAAAGTGTGTCGAAGCTGCGCTATCAAAGGGAAAGTTCAACTCTGTGAGGTGAATGCAAACATCCCAAAGAAGTTTCTGAGAATGCTTCCGTTTAGCTTTTAGGTGAAGATTATCCCGTTTCCAACGAAACCTTCAAAGAGGTCCAAATATCCCCTTGCGGATCCCACAGAAAGAGTGTTTCGAAACTGCTGTTTCAAAAGGAATCTTCAACTCTGTGAGTTGAATGCAACCATCACAAAGAAGTTTCTGACAATGCTTCTCTCTCGTCTTTCTGTGAAGATAAAGGAAAAGGCTTTCAGGCCTTTGCCACCACAGGCCTGAAAGCGCTCCAAATGTCCACTTGCAGATTCTGCGAAAAGAATATTTCAAAACTGCTCTATGAAAAGCAATGTTAAACTCTGTGGCTCGAACACAAACATCACAAAGCGGTTTCTGAGAATGCTTCAGTTTAGTTTTTCTGTGGAAATATTCCCGTTTCCAAAGAAATCTTCAAAGAGGTCCACGTATCCACTTACAGATTCTACAAAAAGACAGTTTCAAAACTGCTCCATCAAAAGGAGGGTTCAACTGTGTGACTTGAATGCAATCATCACTCAGAAGTTTCTGAGAATGCTTCTCTTTAGTTTTTACGTGAACATATACCCGTTTCGAACGAAGGCCACCCAGTGGTCCAAATATCCACTTGCAGATTATACAGAAAGAGTGTTTCGAACCTGAACTCTCAAAGGCAGGTTCATCTCTGCGAGTTAAATGCATTCATCATGAAGAACTTTCTCAGCGTGTTTGTGTTTAGTTATGGGAAATTATTCCCGTTTCCAACGAAATCCTCAAAGAGCTCCAAATATCCACCTGCAGATTCTACCAAAAGTGTATTTGGAAACTGCTCCATCAAAAGGCATGTTCAGCTCTGTGAGTGAAACTCCATCATCACAAAGAATATTCTGAGAATGCTTCCGTTTGCCTTTTATATGAAGTTCCTTCCTATACGACCGTAGGCCTCAAAGCAGTCCAAATCTCCATTTGCAGATTCTACAAAAAGAGTGATTCCAATCTGCTCTATCAATAGGATTGTTCAACTCCATGAGTTGAATGCCATCCTCACAAAGTAGTTTCTGAGAATGCTTCTATCTAGTTTTTATGTGAAGATATTTCCTTTTCCACCACAGGCCTCAAAGCCCTCCAAACGTCCACTTGCAGATTCTCGAAAAAGAGTGTTTCATAGCTGCTCTTTCAAAAGGAAAGTTCAACTCTGGGAGTTGAATACAAACATCACAAAGTAGTTTCCGAGAATGCTTCTGTTTAGTTCTTATGTGAAGATGATCCCGTTTCCAGTGAAATCTTCAAAGAGGTCCATATATCCCCTTGCAGATTCCAAAGAAAGAGGGTTTCAAAACTGCTCCATCAAAAGGATTGTGCAACTCTGTGAGTTGAATGCAGTCATCACAGAAAACTTTCTGAGAATGCTTCTGTCTAGGTTTGATGTGAAGATATAGACGTTTCAAACGAAGGCTACAAAGTGGTCAAAATATACACTTGCAGATTCTACTACAAGGGTGATGCAAACCTCAACTATAAAAGGAAGGTTCAACTCTGTGAGTTGAATACAAACATCACAAAGAATGTTCTGAGTTTGCTTCCGTTCAGTTATGGGAAGTTGATCCCGTTTCCAACGAAATCCTCAGAGAGGTCCAAATATCCCCTTGCAGATTCTACAAAACGTGTGTTTGGAAACTGCTCCATCATAACGAATGTTCAGCTCTCTGAGTTAAACTCCATCGTCACAAAGAATTTTCTGAGAGTGCTACCCTCTGGTTTTTATATGAAGTTGTTTCCTTTACTACCACAGGCCTCAAAGCGGTCCAAATCTCCACTTGCAGATTCTACAAAAAGAGTGTTTGCAAACTGCTCTATCAAAAGGAATGTTCAACTCTGGGAGTTGAAAGCAATCATCACAGAGCAGTTTCTGAGAATGCTTCTATGTCGTTTTTAGGAGAAGATATTTCCTTTTCCAACACAGTCCTCCAAGCCCGCTAAATATCCACTTGCACATTGTAGAAAAAGTGTGTCGAAGCTGCGCTATCAAAGGGAAAGTTCAACTCTGTGAGGTGAATGCAAACATCCCAAAGAAGTTTCTGAGAATACTTCCGTTTAGCTTTTAGGTGAAGATTATCCCGTTTCCAACGAAATCTTCAAAGAGGTCCAAATATCCCCCTGCGGATCCCACAGAAAGAGTGTTTCGAAACTGCTGTTTCAAAAGGAATCTTCAACTCTGTGAGTTGAATGCAATCATCACAAAGAAGTTTCTGACAATGCTTCTCTCTCGTCTTTCTGTGAAGATTAAGGAAAAGGCTTTCAGGCCTTTTCCACCACAGGCCTGAAAGGGCTCCAAATGTCCACTTGCAGATTCTGCCAAAAGAATATTTCAAAACTGCTCTATGAAAAGCAATGTTAAACTCTGTGGCTCGAACACAAACATCACAAAGCAGTTTCTGAGAATGCTTCAGTTTAGTTTTTCTGTGGAAATATTCCCGTTTCCAAAGAAATCTTCAAAGAGGTCCACGCATCCACTTACAGATTCTACAAAAAGACAGTTTCAAAACTGCTCAATCAAAAGGAGGGTTCAACTGTGTGACTTGAATGCAATCATCACTCAGAAGTTTCTGAGAACGCTTCTCTTTAGTTTTTACGTGAACATATACCCGTTTCGAACGAAGGCCAGCCAGTGGTCCAAATATCCACTTGCAGATTCTACAGAAAGAGTGTTTCGAACCTGAACTCTCAAAGGCAGGTTCATCTCTGCGAGTTCAATGCATTCATCATGAAGAACTTTCTCAGCGTGTTTGTGTTTAGTTATGGGAAATTATTCCCGTTTCCAACGAAATCCTCAGAGAGGTCCAAATATCCACCTGCAGATTCTACCAAAAGTGTATTTGGAAACTGCTCCATCAAAAGGCATGTTCAGCTCTGTGAGTGAAACTCCATCATCACAAAGAATATTCTGAGAATGCTTCCGTTTGCCTTTTATATGAAGCTCCTTCCTATACTACCGTAGGCCTCAAAGCAGTCCAAATCTTCATTTGCAGATTCTACAAAAAGAGTGATTCCAATCTGCTCTATCAATAGGATTGTTCAACTCCATGAGTTGAATGCCATCCTCACAAAGTCGTTTCTGAGAATGCTTCTATCTAGTTTTTATGTGAAGATATTTCCTTTTCCACCACAGGCCTCAAAGCCCTCCAAACGTCCACTTGCAGATTCTCGAAAAAGAGTGTTTCATAGCTGCTCTTTCAAAAGGAAAGTTCAACTCTGGGAGTTGAATACAAACATCACAAAGTAGTTTCCGAGAATGCTTCTGTTTAGTTCTTATGTGAAGATGATCCCGTTTCCAGTGAAATCTTCAAAGAGGTCCACATATCCCCTTGCAGATTCCAAAGAAAGAGGGTTTCAAAACTGCTCCATCAAAAGGATTGTTCAACTCTGTGAGTTGAATGCAGTCATCGCAGAAAACTTTCTGAGAATGCTTCTGTCTAGGTTTGATGTGAAGATATAGACGTTTCAAACGAAGGCTACAAAGTGGTCAAAATATACACTTGCAGATTCTACTACAAGGGTGTTGCAAACCTGAACTATCAAAGGAAGGTTCAACTCTGTGAGTTGAATACAAACATCACAAAGAATGTTCTGAGTTTGCTTCCGTTCAGTTATGGGAAGTTGATCCCGTTTCCAACGAAATCCTCAGAGAGGTCCAAATATCCCCTTGCAGATTCTACAAAACGTGTGTTTGGAAACTGCTCCATCATAACGAATGTTCAGCTCTCTGAGTTAAACTCCATCGTCACAAAGAATTTTCTGAGGGTGCTACCTTCTAGTTTTTATATGAAGTTCTTTCCTTTACTACCCCAGGCCTCAAAGCGGTCCAAATCTCCACTTGCAGATTCTACAAAAACAGTGTTTGCAAATTGCTCTATCAAAAGGAATGTTCAACTCTGGGAGTTGAATGCAATCATCACAGAGCAGTTTCTGAGAATGCTTCTATGTCGTTTTTAGGAGAAGATATTTCCTTTTCCAACACAGTCCTCCAAGCCCGCTAAATATCCACTTACACATTGTAGAAAAAGTGTGTCGAAGCTGCGCTATCAAAGGGAAAGTTCAACTCTGTGAGGTGAATGCAAACATCCCAAAGAAGTTTCTGAGAATGCTTCCGTTTAGCTTTAAGTGAAGATTATCCCGTTTCCAACGAAATCTTCAAAGAGGTCCAAATATCCCCTTGCGGATCCCACAGAAAGAGTGTTTCGAAACTGCTGTTTCAAAAGGAATCTTCAACTCTGTGAGTTGAATGCAATCATCACAAAGAAGTTTCTGACAATGCTTCTCTCTCGTCTTTCTGTGAAGATAAAGGAAAAGGCTTTCAGGCCATTTCCACCACAGGCCTGAAAGCGCTCCACATGTCCACTTGCAGATTCTGCCAAAAGAATATTTCAAAACTGCTCTATGAAAAGCAATGTTAAACTCTGCGGCTCGAACACAAACATCACAAAGCAGTTTCTGAGAATGCTTCAGTTTAGTTTTTCTGTGGAAATATTCCCGTTTCCAAAGAAATCTTCAAAGAGGTCCACGCATCCACTTACAGATTCTACAAAAAGACAGTTTCAAAACTGCTCAATCAAAAGGAGGGTTCAACTGTGTGACTTGAATGCATTCATCACTCAGAAGTTTCTGAGAACGCTTCTCTTTAGTTTTTACGTGAACATATACCCGTTTCGAACGAAGGCCAGCCAGTGGTCCAAATATCCACTTGCAGATTCTACAGAAAGAGTGTTTTGAACCTGAACTCTCAAAGGCAGGTTCATCTCTGCGAGTTAAATGCATTCATCATGAAGAACTTTCTCAGCGTGTTTGTGTTTAGTTATGGGAAATTATTCCCGTTTCCAACGAAATCCTCAGAGAGCTCCAAATATCCACCTGCAGATTCTACCAAAAGTGTATTTGGAAACTGCTCCATCAAAAGGCATGTTCAGCTCTGTGAGTGAAACTCCATCATCACAAAGAATATTCTGAGAATGCTTCCGTTTGCCTTTTATATGAAGTTCCTTCCTATACTACCGTAGGCCTCAAAGCAGTCCAAATCTCCATTTGCAGATTCTACAAAAAGAGTGATTCCAATCTGCTCTATCAATATGATTGTTCAACTCCATGAGTTGAATGCCATCCTCACAAAGTAGTTTCTGAGAATGCTTCTATGTAGTTTTTATGTGAAGATATTTCCTTTTCCACCACAGGCCTCAAAGCCCTCCAAACGTCCACTTGCAGATTCTCGAAAAAGAGTGTTTCATAGCTGCTCTTTCAAAAGGAAATTTCAACTGTGGGAGTTGAATACAAACATCACAAAGTAGTTTCCGAGAATGCTTCTGTTTAGTTCTTATGTGAAGATGATCCCGTTTCCAGTGAAATCTCCAAAGAGGTCCACATATCCCCTTGCAGATTCCAAAGAAAGAGGGTTTCAAAACTGCTCCATCAAAAGGATTGTTCAACTCTGTGAGTTGAATGCAGTCATCGCAGAAAACTTTCTGAGAATGCTTCTGTCTAGGTTTGATGTGAAGATATAGACGTTTCAAACGAAGGCTACAAAGTGTTCAAAATATACACTTGCAGATTCTACTACAAGGGTGATGCAAACCTCAACTATCAAAGGAAAGTTCAACTCTGTGAGTTGAATACAAACATCACAAAGAATGTTCTGAGTTTGCTTCTGTTCAGTTATGGGAAGTTGATACCGTTTCCAACGAAATCCTCAGAGAGGTCCAAATATCCCCTTGCAGATTCTACAAAACGTGTGTTTGGAAACTGCTCCATCATAACGAATGTTCAGCTCTCTGAGTTAAACTCCATCGTCACAAAGAATTTTCTGAGAGTGTACCGTCTAGTTTTTATATGAAGTTCTTTCCTTTACTACCACAGGCCTCAAAGCGGTCCAAATCTCCACTTGCAGATTCTACAAAAAGAGTGTTTGCAAACTGCTCTATCAAAAGGAATGTTCAACTCTGGGAGTTGAAAGCAATCATCACAGAGGAGTTTCTGAGAATGCTTCTATGTCGTTTTTAGGAGAAGATATTTCCTTTTCCAACACAGTCCTCCAAGCCCGCTAAATATCCACTTGCACATTGTAGAAAAAGTGTGTCGAAGCTGCGCTATCAAAGGGAAAGTTCAACTCTGTGAGGTGAATGCAAACATCCCAAAGAAGTTTCTGAGAATACTTCCGTTTAGCTTTTAGGTGAAGATTATCCCGTTTCCAACGAAATCTTCAAAGAGGTCCAAATATCCCCCTGCGGATCCCACAGAAAGAGTGTTTCGAAACTGCTGTTTCAAAAGGAATCTTCAACTCTGTGAGTTGAATGCAATCATCACAAAGAAGTTTCTGACAATGCTTCTCTCTCGTCTTTCTGTGAAGGTAAAGGAAAAGGCTTTCAGGCCTTTTCCACCACAGGCCTGAACGTGCTCCAAATGTCCACTTGCAGATTCTGCCAAAAGAATATTTCAAAACTGCTCTATGAAAAGCAATGTTAAACTCTGTGGCTCGAACACAAACATCACAAAGCCGTTTCTGAGAATGCTTCAGTTTAGTTTTTCTGTGGAAATATTCCCGTTTCCAAAGAAATCTTCAAAGAGGTCCACGCATCCACTTACAGATTCTACAAAAAGACAGTTTCAAAACTGCTCAATCAAAAGGAGGGTTCAACTGTGTGACTTGAATGCAATCATCACTCAGAAGTTTCTGAGAATGCTTCTCTTTAGTTTTTACGTGAACATATACCCGTTTCGAACGAAGGCCAGCCAGTGGTCCAAATATCCACTTGCAGATTCTACAGAAAGAGTGTTTCGAACCTGAACTCTCAAAGGCAGGTTCATCTCTGCGAGTTCAATGCATTCATCATGAAGAACTTTCTCAGCGTGTTTGTGTTTAGTTATTGGAAATTATTCCCGTTTCCAACGAAATCCTCAGAGAGGTCCAAATATCCACCTGTAGATTCTACCAAAAGTGTATTTGGAAACTGCTCCATCAAAAGGAATGTTCAGCTCTGTGAGTGAAACTCCATCATCTCAAAGAATATTCTGAGAATGCTTCCATTTGCCTTTTATATGAAGTTCCTTCCTATACTACCCTAGGCCTCAAAGCAGTCCAAATCTCCATTTGCAGATTCTACAAAAAGAGTGATTCCAATCTGCTCTATCAATAGGACTGTTCAACTCCATGAGTTGAATGCCATCCTCACAAAGTAGTTTCTGAGAATGTTTCTATCTAGTTTTTATGTGAAGATATTTCCTTTTCCACCACAGGCCTCAAAGCCCTCCAAACGTCCACTTGCAGATTCTCGAAAAAGAGTGTTTCATAGCTGCTCTTTCAAAAGGAAAGTTCAACTCTGGGAGCTGAATACAAACATCACAAAGTAGTTTCCGAGAATGCTTCTGTTTAGTTCTTATGTGAAGATGATCCCGTTTCCAGTGAAATCTTCAAAGAGGTCCACATATCCCCTTGCAGATTCCAAAGAAAGAGGGTTTCAAAACTGCTCCATCAAAAGGATTGTTCAACTCTGTGAGTTGAATGCAGTCATCGCAGAAAACTTTCTGAGAATGCTTCTGTCTAGGTTTGATGTGAAGATATAGACGTTTCAAACGAAGGCTACAAAGTGGTCAAAATATACACTTGCAGAATGTACTACAAGGGTGTTGCAAACCTGAACTATCAAAGGAAGGTTCAACTCTGTGGGTTGAATACAAACATCGCAGAGAATGTTCTGAGTTTGCTTCCGTTCAGTTATGGGAAGTTGATCCCGTTTCCAACGAAATCCTCAGAGAGGTCCAAATATCCCCTTGCAGATTCTACAAAACGTGTGTTTGGAAACTGCTCCATCATAACGAATGTTCAGCTCCCTGAGTTAAACTCCATCGTCACAAAGAATTTTCTGAGAGTGCTACCGTCTAGTTTTTATATGAAGTTCTTTCCTTTACTACCACAGGCCTCAAAGCGGTCCAAATCTCCACTTGCAGATTCTACAAAAAGAGTGTTTGCAAACTGCTCTATCAAAAGGAATGTTCAACTCTGGGAGTTGAATGCAATCATCACAGAGCAGTTTCTGAGAATGCTTCTATGTCGTTTTTAGGAGAAGATATTTCCTTTTCCAACACAGTCCTCCAAGCCCGCTAAATATCCACTTGCACATTGTAGAAAAAGTGTGTCAAAGCTGCGCTATCAAAGGGAAAGTTCAACTCTGTGAGGTGAATGCAAACATCCCAAAGAAGTTTCTGAGAATGCTTCCGTTTAGCTTTTAGGTGAAGATTATCCCGTTTCCAACGATATCTTCAAAGAGGTCCAAATATCCCCTTGCGGATCCCACAGAAAGAGTGTTTCGAAACTGCTGTTTCAAAAGGAATCTTCAACTCTGTGAGTTGAATGCAATCATCTCAAAGAAGTTTCCGACAATGCTTCTCTCTCGTCTTTCTGTGAAGATAAAGGAAAAGGCTTTCAGGCCTTTTCCACCACAGGCCTGAAAGCGCTCCAAATGTCCACTTGCAGATTCTGCCAAAAGAATATTTCAAAACTGCTCTATGAAAAGCAATGTTAAACTTGGCGGCTCGAACACAAACATCACAAAGCAGTTTCTGAGAATGCTTCAGTTTAGTTTTTCTGTGGAAATATTCCCGTTTCCAAAGAAATCTTCAAAGAGGTCCACGTATCCACTTACAGATTCTACAAAAAGACAGTTTCAAAACTGCTCAATCAAAAGGAGGGTTCAACTGTGTGACTTGAATGCAATCATCACTCAGAAGTTTCTGAGAATGCTTCTCTTTAGTTTTTACGTGAACATATACCCGTTTCGAACGAAGGCCACCCAGTGGTCCAAATATCCACTTGCAGATTCTACAGAAAGAGTGTTTCGAACCTGAACTCTCAAAGGCAGGTTCATCTCTGCGAGTTAAATGCATTCATCATGAAGAACTTTCTCAGCGTGTTTGTGTTTAGTTATTGGAAATTATTCCCGTTTCCAACGAAATCCTCAGAGAGGTCCAAATATCCACCTGTAGATTCTACCAAAAGTGTATTTGGAAACTGCTCCATCAAAAGGAATGTTCAGCTCTGTGAGTGAAACTCCATCATCTCAAAGAATATTCTGAGAATGCTTCCATTTGCCTTTTATATGAAGTTCCTTCCTATACTACCGTAGGCCTCAAAGCAGTCCAAATCTCCATTTGCAGATTCTACAAAAAGAGTGATTCCAATCTGCTCTATCAATAGGACTGTTCAACTCCATGAGTTGAATGCCATCCTCACAAAGTAGTTTCTGAGAATGTTTCTATCTAGTTTTTATGTGAAGATATTTCCTTTTCCACCACAGGCCTCAAAGCCCTCCAAACGTCCACTTGCAGATTCTCGAAAAAGAGTGTTTCATAGCTGCTCTTTCAAAAGGAAAGTTCAACTCTGGGAGCTGAATACAAACATCACAAAGTAGTTTCCGAGAATGCTTCTGTTTAGTTCTTATGTGAAGATGATCCCGTTTCCAGTGAAATCTTCAAAGAGGTCCACATATCCCCTTGCAGATTCCAAAGAAAGAGGGTTTCAAAACTGCTCCATCAAAAGGATTGTTCAACTCTGTGAGTTGAATGCAGTCATCGCAGAAAACTTTCTGAGAATGCTTCTGTCTAGGTTTGATGTGAAGATATAGACGTTTCAAACGAAGGCTACAAAGTGGTCAAAATATACACTTGCAGATTCTACTACAAGGGTGTTGCAAACCTGAACTATCAAAGGAAGGTTCAACTCTGTGAGTTGAATACAAACATCACAAAGAATGTTCTGAGTTTGCTTCCGTTCAGTTATGGGAAGTTGATCCCGTTTCCAACGAAATCCTCAGAGAGGTCCAAATATCCCCTCGCAGATTCTACAAAACGTGTGTTTGGAAACTGCTCCATCATAACGAATGTTCAGCTCCCTGAGTTAAACTCCATCGTCACAAAGAATTTTCTGAGAGTGCTACCGTCTGGTTTTTATATGAAGTTCTTTCCTTCACTACCACAGGCCTCAAAGCGGTCCAAATCTCCACTTGCAGATTCTACAAAAAGAGTGTTTGCAAACTGCTCTATCAAAAGGAATGTTCAACTCTGGGAGTTGAATGCAATCATCACAGAGCAGTTTCTGAGAATGCTTCTATGTCGTTTTTAGGAGAAGATATTTCGTTTTCCAACACAGTCCTCCAAGCCCGCTAAATAGCCACTTGCACATTGTAGAAAAAGTGTGTCAAAGCTGCGCTATCAAAGGGAAAGTTCAACTCTGTGAGGTGAATGCAAACATCCCAAAGAAGTTTCTGAGAATGTTTCCGTTTAGCTTTTAGGTGAAGATTATCCCGTTTCCAACGAAACCTTCAAAGAGGTCCAAATATCCCCTTGCGGATCCCACAGAAAGAGTGTTTCGAAACTGCTGTTTCAAAAGGAATCTTCAACTCTGTGAGTTGAATGCAATCATCACAAAGAAGTTTCTGACAATGCTTCTCTCTCGTCTTTCTGTGAAGATAAAGGAAAAGGCTTTCAGGCCTTTTCCACCACAGGCCTGAAAGCGCTCCAAATGTCCACTTGTAGATTCTGCCAAAAGAATATTTCAAAACTGCTCTATGAAAAGCAATGTTAAACTCTGTGGCTCGAACACAAACATCACAAAGCAGTTTCTGAGAATGCTTCAGTTTAGTTTTTCTGTGGAAATATTCCCGTTTCCAAAGAAATCTTCAAAGAGGTCCACGTATCCACTTACAGATTCTACAAAAAGACAGTTTCAAAACTGCTCCATCAAAAGGAGGGTTCAACTGTGTGACTTGAATGCAATCATCACTCAGAAGTTTCTGAGAATGCTTCTCTTTAGTTTTTACGTGAACATATACCCGTTTCGAACGAAGGCCACCCAGTGGTCCAAATATCCACTTGCAGATTCTACAGAAAGAGTGTTTCGAACCTGAACTCTCAAAGGCAGGTTCATCTCTGCGAGTTAAATGCATTCATCATGAAGAACTTTCTCAGAGTGTTTGTGTTTAGTTATGGGAAATTATTCCCGTTTCCAACGAAATCCTCAGAGAGCTCCAAATATCCACCTGCAGATTCTACCAAAAGTGTATTTGGAAACTGCTCCATCAAAAGGCATGTTCAGCTCTGTGAGTGAAACTCCATCATCACAAAGAATATTCTGAGAATGCTTCCGTTTGCCTTTTATATGAAGTTCCTTCCTATACTACCGTAGGCCTCAAAGCAGTCCAAATCTCCATTTGCAGATTCTACAAAAAGAGTGATTCCAATCTGCTCTATCAATAGGATTGTTCAACTCCATGAGTTGAATGCCATCCTCACAAAGTCGTTTCTGAGAATGCTTCTATCTAGTTTTTATGTGAAGATATTTCCTTTTCCACCACAGGCCTCAAAGACCTCCAAACGTCCACTTGCAGATTCTCGAAAAGGAGTGTTTCATAGCTGCTCTTTCAAAAGGAAAGTTCAACTCTGGGAGTTGAATACAAACATCACAAAGTAGTTTCCGAGAATGCTTCTGTTTAGTTTTTATGTGAAGATGATCCCGTTTCCAGTGAAATCTTCAAAGAGGTCCACATATCCCCTTGCAGATTCCAAAGAAAGAGGGTTTCAAAACTGCTCCATCAGAAGGATTGTTCAACTCTGTGAGTTGAATGCAGTCATCGCAGAAAACTTTCTGAGAATGCTTCTGTCTAGGTTTGATGTGAAGATATAGACGTTTCAAACGAAGGCTACAAAGTGGTCAAAATATACACTTGCAGATTCTACTACAAGGGTGTTGCAAACCTGAACTATCAAAGGAAGGTTCAACTCTGTGAGTTGAATACAAACATCACAAAGAATGTTCTGAGTTTGCTTCTGTTCAGTTATGGGATGTTGATCCCGTTTCCAACGAAATCCTCAGAGAGGTCCAAATATCCCCTTGCAGAT
The DNA here is from genome assembly GCF_000001405.40 of Homo sapiens. Lineage (NCBI taxonomy): Eukaryota > Metazoa > Chordata > Mammalia > Primates > Hominidae > Homo > Homo sapiens. The sequence continues at coordinate 59,298,508 of NC_000023.11, read as the reverse complement.
TCTACAAAACGTGTGTTTGGAAACTGCTCCATCATAACGAATGTTCAGCTCCCTGAGTTAAACTCCATCGTCACAAAGAATTTTCTGAGAGTGCTACCGTCTGGTTTTTATATGAAGCTCTTTCCTTCACTACCACAGGCCTCAAAGCGGTCCAAATCTCCACTTGCAGATTCTACAAAAAGAGTGTTTGCAAACTGCTCTATCAAAAGGAATGTTCAACTCTGGGAGTTGAATGCAATCATCACAGAGCAGTTTCTGAGAATGCTTCTATGTCGTTTTTAGGAGAAGATATTTCCTTTTCCAACACAGTCCTCCAAGCCCGCTAAATAGCCACTTGCACATTGTAGAAAAAGTGTGTCAAAGCTGCGCTATCAAAGGGAAAGTTCAACTCTGTGAGGTGAATGCAAACATCCCAAAGAAGTTTCTGAGAATGCTTCCGTTTAGCTTTTAGGTGAAGATTATCCCGTTTCCAACGAAACCTTCAAAGAGGTCCAAATATCCCCTTGCGGATCCCACAGAAAGAGTGTTTCGAAACTGCTGTTTCAAAAGGAATCTTCAACTCTGTGAGTTGAATGCAATCATCCCAAAGAAGTTTCTGACAATGCTTCTCTCTCGTCTTTCTGTGAAGATAAAGGAAAAGGCTTTCAGGCCTTTTCCACCACAGGCCTGAAAGCGCTCCAAATGTCCACTTGCAGATTCTGCCAAAAGAATATTTCAAAACTGCTCTATGAAAAGCAATGTTAAACTCTGTGGCTCGAACACAAACATCACAAAGCAGTTTCTGAGAATGCTTCAGTTTAGTTTTTCTGTGGAAATATTCCCGTTTCCAAAGAAATCTTCAAAGAGGTCCACGTATCCACTTACAGATTCTACAAAAAGACAGTTTCAAAACTGCTCCATCAAAAGGAGGGTTCAACTGTGTGACTTGAATGCAATCATCACTCAGAAGTTTCTGAGAATGCTTCTCTTTAGTTTTTACGTGAACATATACCCGTTTCGAACGAAGGCCAGCCAGTGGTCCAAATATCCACTTGCAGATTCTACAGAAAGAGTGTTTCGAACCTGAACTCTCAAAGGCAGGTTCATCTCTGCGAGTTAAATGCATTCATCATGAAGAACTTTCTCAGAGTGTTTGTGTTTAGTTATGGGAAATTATTCCAGGTTCCAACGAAATCCTCAGAGAGCTCCAAATATCCACCTGCAGATTCTACCAAAAGTGTATTTGGAAACTGCTCCATCAAAAGGCATGTTCAGCTCTGTGAGTGAAACTCCATCATCACAAAGAATATTCTGAGAATGCTTCCGTTTGCCTTTTATATGAAGTTCCTTCCTATACGACCGTAGGCCTCAAAGCAGTCCAAATCTCCATTTTCAGATTCTACAAAAAGAGTGATTCCAATCTGCTCTATCAATAGGATTGTTCAACTCCATGAGTTGAATGCCATCCTCACAAAGTCGTTTCTGAGAATGCTTCTATCTAGTTTTTATGTGAAGATATTTCCTTTTCCACCACAGGCCTCAAAGCCCTCCAAACGTCCACTTGCAGATTCTCGAAAAAGAGTGTTTCATAGCTGCTCTTTCAAAAGGAAAGTTCAACTCTGGGAGTTGAATACAAACATCACAAAGTAGTTTCCGAGAATGCTTCTGTTTAGTTTTTATGTGAAGATGATCCCGTTTCCAGTGAAATCTTCAAAGAGGTCCACATATCCCCTTGCAGATTCCAAAGAAAGAGGGTTTCAAAACTGCTCCATCAGAAGGATTGTTCAACTCTGTGAGTTGAATGCAGTCATCGCAGAAAACTTTCTGAGAATGCTTCTGTCTAGGTTTGATGTGAAGATATAGACGTTTCAAACGAAGGCTACAAAGTGGTCAAAATATACACTTGCAGATTCTACTACAAGGGTGTTGCAAACCTGAACTATCAAAGGAAGGTTCAACTCTGTGAGTTGAATACAAACATCACAAAGAATGTTCTGAGTTTGCTTCCGTTCAGTTATGGGAAGTTGATCCCGTTTCCAACGAAATCCTCAGAGAGGTCCAAATATCCCCTTGCAGATTCTACAAAACGTGTGTTTGGAAACTGCTCCATCATAACGAATGTTCAGCTCCCTGAGTTAAACTCCATCGTCACAAAGAATTTTCTGAGAGTGCTACCGTCTGGTTTTTATATGAAGCTCTTTCCTTCACTACCCCAGGCCTCAAAGCGGTCCAAATCTCCACTTGCAGATTCTACAAAAAGAGTGTTTGCAAACTGCTCTATCAAAAGGAATGTTCAACTCTGGGAGTTGAATGCAATCATCACAGAGCAGTTTCTGAGAATGCTTCTATGTCGTTTTTAGGAGAAGATATTTCCTTTTCCAACACAGTCCTCCAAGCCCGCTAAATAGCCACTTGCACATTGTAGAAAAAGTGTGTCAAAGCTGCGCTATCAAAGGGAAAGTTCAACTCTGTGAGGTGAATGCAAACATCCCAAAGAAGTTTCTGAGAATGCTTCCGTTTAGCTTTTAGGTGAAGATTATCCCGTTTCCAACGAAACCTTCAAAGAGGTCCAAATATCCCCTTGCGGATCCCACAGAAAGAGTGTTTCGAAACTGCTGTTTCAAAAGGAATCTTCAACTCTGTGAGTTGAATGCAATCATCACAAAGAAGTTTCTGACAATGCTTCTCTCTCGTCTTTCTGTGAAGATAAAGGAAAAGGCTTTCAGGCCTTTTCCACCACAGGCCTGAAAGCGCTCCAAATGTCCACTTGCAGATTCTGCGAAAAGAATATTTCAAAACTGCTCTATGAAAAGCAATGTTAAACTCTGTGGCTGGAACACAAACATCACAAAGCGGTTTCTGAGAATGTTTCAGTTTAGTTTTTCTGTGGAAATATTCCCGTTTCCAAAGAAATCTTCAAAGAGGTCCACGTATCCACTTACAGATTCTACAAAAAGACAGTTTCAAAACTGCTCCATCAAAAGGAGGGTTCAACTGTGTGACTTGAATGCAATCATCACTCAGAAGTTTCTGAGAATGCTTCTCTTTAGTTTTTACGTGAACATATACCCGTTTCGAACGAAGGCCACCCAGTGGTCCAAATATCCACTTGCAGATTATACAGAAAGAGTGTTTCGAACCTGAACTCTCAAAGGCAGGTTCATCTCTGCGAGTTAAATGCATTCATCATGAAGAACTTTCTCAGAGTGTTTGTGTTTAGTTATGGGAAATTATTCCCGTTTCCAAAGAAATCCTCAGAGAGCTCCAAATATCCACCTGCAGATTCTACCAAAAGTGTATTTGGAAACTGCTCCATCAAAAGGCATGTTCAGCTCTGTGAGTGAAACTCCATCATCACAAAGAATATTCTGAGAATGCTTCCGTTTGCCTTTTATATGAAGTTCCTTCCTGTACTACCGTAGGCCTCAAAGCAGTCCAAATCTCCATTTGCAGATTCTACAAAAAGAGTGATTCCAATCTGCTCTATCAATAGGATTGTTCAACTCCATGAGTTGAATGCCATCCTCACAAAGCAGTTTCTGAGAATGCTTCTATCTGGTTTTTGTGTGAAGATATTTCCTTTTCCACCACAGGCCTCAAAGCCCTCTAAACGTCCACTTGCAGATTCTCGAAAAAGAGTGTTTCATAGCTGCTCTTTCAAAAGGAAAGTTCAACTCTGGGAGTTGAATACAAACATCACAAAATAGTTTCCGAGAATGCTTCTGTTTAGTTTTTATGTGAAGATGATCCCGTTTCCAGTGAAATCTTCAAAGAGGTCCACATATCCCCTTGCAGATTCCAAAGAAAGAGGGTTTCAAAACTGCTCCATCAGAAGGATTGTTCAACTCTGTGAGTTGAATGCAGTCATCGCAGAAAACTTTCTGAGAATGCTTCTGTCTAGGTTTGATGTGAAGATATAGACGTTTCAAACGAAGGCTACAAAGTGGTCAAAATATACACTTGCAGATTCTACTACAAGGGTGTTGCAAACCTGAACTATCAAAGGAAGGTTCAACTCTGTGAGTTGAATACAAACATCACAAAGAATGTTCTGAGTTTGCTTCCGTTCAGTTATGGGAAGTTGATCCCGTTTCCAACGAAATCCTCAGAGAGGTCTAAATATCCCCTTGCAGATTCTACAAAACGTGTGTTTGGAAACTGCTCCATCATAACGAATGTTCAGCTCCCTGAGTTAAACTCCATCGTCACAAAGAATTTTCTGAGAGTGCTACCGTCTGGTTTTTATATGAAGTTCTTTCCTTCACTACCACAGACCTCAAAGCGGTCCAAATCTCCACTTGCAGATTCTACAAAAAGAGTGTTTGCAAACTGCTCTATCAAAAGGAATGTTCAACTCTGGGAGTTGAATGCAATCATCACAGAGCAGTTTCTGAGAATGCTTCTATGTCGTTTTTAGGAGAAGATATTTCCTTTTCCAACACAGTCCTCCAAGCCCGCTAAATAGCCACTTGCACATTGTAGAAAAAGTGTGTCAAAGCTGCGCTATCAAAGGGAAAGTTCAACTCTGTGAGGTGAATGCAAACATCCCAAAGAAGTTTCTGAGAATGCTTCCGTTTAGCTTTTAGGTGAAGATTATCCCGTTTCCAACGAAACCTTCAAAGAGGTCCAAATATCCCCTTGCGGATCCCACAGAAAGAGTGTTTCGAAACTGCTGTTTCAAAAGGAATCTTCAACTCTGTGAGTTGAATGCAATCATCACAAAGAAGTTTCTGACAATGCTTCTCTCTCGTCTTTCTGTGAAGATAAAGGAAAAGGCTTTCAGGCCTTTTCCACCACAGGCCTGAAAGCGCTCCAAATGTCCACTTGCAGATTCTGCGAAAAGAATATTTCAAAACTGCTCTATGAAAAGCAATGTTAAACTCTGCGGCTCGAACACAAACATCACAAAGCGGTTTCTGAGAATGCTTCAGTTTAGTTTTTCCGTGGAAATATTCCCGTTTCCAAAGAAATCTTCAAAGAGGTCCACGTATCCACTTACAGATTCTACAAAAAGACAGTTTCAAAACTGCTCCATCAAAAGGAGGGTTCCAACTGTGTGACTTGAATGCAATCATCACTCAGAAGTTTCTGAGAATGCTTCTCTTTAGTTTTTACGTGAACATATACCCGTTTCGAACGAAGGCCACCCAGTGGTCCAAATATCCACTTGCAGATTCTACAGAAAGAGTGTTTCGAACCTGAACTCTCAAAGGCAGGTTCATCACTGCGAGTTAAATGCATTCATCATGAAGAACTTTCTCAGCGTGTTTGTGTTTAGTTATGGGAAATTATTCCCGTTTCCAACGAAATCCTCAGAGAGCTCCAAATATCCACCTGCAGATTCTACCAAAAGTGTATTTGGAAACTGCTCCATCAAAAGGCATGTTCAGCTCTGTGAGTGAAACTCCATCATCACAAAGAATATTCTGAGAATGCTTCCGTTTGCCTTTTATATGAAGTTCCTTCCTGTACTACCGTAGGCCTCAAAGCAGTCCAAATCTCCATTTGCAGATTCTACAAAAAGAGTGATTCCAATCTGCTCTATCAATAGGATTGTTCAACTCCATGAGTTGAATGCCATCCTCACAAAGTAGTTTCTGAGAATGCTTCTATCTGGTTTTTGTGTGAAGATATTTCCTTTTCCACCACAGGCCTCAAAGCCCTCCAAACGTCCACTTGCAGATTCTCGAAAAAGAGTGTTTCATAGCTGCTCTTTCAAAAGGAAAGTTCAACTCTGGGAGTTGAATACAAACATCACAAAATAGTTTCCGAGAATGCTTCTGTTTAGTTTTTATGTGAAGATGATCCCGTTTCCAGTGAAATCTTCAAAGAGGTCCACATATCCCCTTGCAGATTCCAAAGAAAGAGGGTTTCAAAACTGCTCCATCAGAAGGATTGTTCAACTCTGTGAGTTGAATGCAGTCATCGCAGAAAACTTTCTGAGAATGCTTCTTTCTAGGTTTGATGTGAAGATATAGACGTTTCAAACGAAGGCTACAAAGTGGTCAAAATATACACTTGCAGATTCTACTACAAGGGTGTTGCAAACCTGAACTATCAAAGGAAGGTTCAACTCTGTGAGTTGAATACAAACATCACAAAGAATGTTCTGAGTTTGCTTCCGTTCAGTTATGGGAAGTTGATCCCGTTTCCAACGAAATCCTCAGAGAGGTCCAAATATCCCCTTGCAGATTCTACAAAACGTGTGTTTGGAAACTGCTCCATCATAACGAATGTTCAGCTCCCTGAGTTAAACTCCATCGTCACAAAGAATTTTCTGAGAGTGCTACCGTCTGGTTTTTATATGAAGTTCTTTCCTTCACTACCACAGGCCTCAACGCGGTCCAAATCTCCACTTGCAGATTCTACAAAAAGAGTGTTTGCAAACTGCTCTATCAAAAGGAATGTTCAACTCTGGGAGTTGAATGCAATCATCACAGAGCAGTTTCTGAGAATGCTTCTATGTCGTTTTTAGGAGAAGATATTTCCTTTTCCAACACAGTCCTCCAAGCCCGCTAAATAGCCACTTGCACATTGTAGAAAAAGTGTGTCAAAGCTGCGCTATCAAAGGGAAAGTTCAACTCTGTGAGGTGAATGCAAACATCCCAAAGAAGTTTCTGAGAATGCTTCCGTTTAGCTTTTAGGTGAAGATAATCCCGTTTCCAACGAAACCTTCTAAGAGGTCCAAATATCCCCTTGCGGATCCCACAGAAAGAGTGTTTCGAAACTGCTGTTTCAAAAGGAATCTTCAACTCTGTGAGTTGAATGCAATCATCACAAAGAAGTTTCTGACAATGCTTCTCTCTCGTCTTTCTGTGAAGATAAAGGAAAAGGCTTTCAGGCCTTTTCCACCACAGGCCTGAAAGCGCTCCAAATGTCCACTTGCAGATTCTGCGAAAAGAATATTTCAAAACTGCTCTATGAAAAGCAATGTTAAACTCTGTGGCTTGAACACAAACATCACAAAGCGGTTTCTGAGAATGCTTCAGTTTAGTTTTTCTGTGGAAATATTCCCGTTTCCAAAGAAATCTTCAAAGAGGTCCACGTATCCACTTACAGATTCTACAAAAAGACAGTTTCAAAACTGCTCCATCAAAAGGAGGGTTCAACTGTGTGACTTGAATGCAATCATCACTCAGAAGTTTCTGAGAATGCTTCTCTTTAGTTTTTACGTGAACATATAACCTTTTCGAACCAAGGCCAGCCAGTGGTCCAAATATCCACTTGCAGATTCTACAGAAAGAATGTTTCGAACCTGAACTCTCAAAGGCAGGTTCATCTCTGCGAGTTAAATGCATTCATCATGAAGAACTTTCTCAGAGTGTTTGTGTTTAGTTATGGGAAATTATTCCCGTTTCCAACGAAATCCTCAGAGAGCTCCAAATATCCACCTGCAGATTCTACCAAAAGTGTATTTGGAAACTGCTCCATCAAAAGGCATGTTCAGCTCTGTGAGTGAAACTCCATCATCACAAAGAATATTCTGAGAATGCTTCCGTTTGCCTTTTATATGAAGTTCCTTCCTATACTACCATAGGCCTCAAAGCAGTCCAAATCTCCATTTGCAGATTCTACAAAAAGAGTGATTCCAATCTGCTCTATCAATAGGATTGTTCAACTCCATGAGTTGAATGCCATCCTCACAAAGTAGTTTCTGAGAATGCTTCTATCTAGTTTTTATGTGAAGATATTTCCTTTTCCACCACAGGCCTCAAAGCCCTCCAAACGTCCACTTGCAGATTCTCGAAAAAGAGTGTTTCATAGCTGCTCTTTCAAAAGGAAAGTTCAACTCTGGGAGTTGAATACAAACATCCCAAAGTAGTTTCCGAGAATGCTTCTGTTTAGTTTTTATGTGAAGATGATCCCGTTTCCAGTGAAATCTTCAAAGAGGTCCACATATCCCCTTGCAGATTCCAAAGAAAGAGGGTTTCAAAACTGCTCCATCAGAAGGATTGTTCAACTCTGTGAGTTGAATGCAGTCATCGCAGAAAACTTTCTGAGAATGCTTCTGTCTAGGTTTGATGTGAAGATATAGACGTTTCAAACGAAGGCTACAAAGTGGTCAAAATATACACTTGCAGATTCTACTACAAGGGTGTTGCAAACCTGAACTATCAAAGGAAGGTTCAACTCTGTGAGTTGAATACAAACATCACAAAGAATGTTCTGAGTTTGCTTCCGTTCAGTTATGGGAAGTTGATCCCGTTTCCAACGAAATCCTCAGAGAGGTCCAAATATCCCCTCGCAGATTCTACAAAACGTGTGTTTGGAAACTGCTCCATCATAACGAATATCCAGCTCCCTGAGTTAAACTCCATCGTCACAAAGAATTTTCTGAGAGTGCTACCGTCTGGTTTTTATATGAAGTTCTTTCCTTCACTACCACAGGCCTCAAAGCGGTCCAAATCTCCACTTGCAGATTCTACAAAAAGAGTGTTTGCAAACTGCTCTATCAAAAGGAATGTTCAACTCTGGGAGTTGAATGCAATCATCACAGAGCAGTTTCTGAGAATGCTTCTATGTCGTTTTTAGGAGAAGATATTTCCTTTTCCAACACAGTCCTCCAAGCCCGCTAAATAGCCACTTGCACATTGTAGAAAAAGTGTGTCAAAGCTGCGCTATCAAAGGGAAAGTTCAACTCTGTGAGGTGAATGCAAACATCCCAAAGAAGTTTCTGAGAATGCTTCCGTTTAGCTTTTAGGTGAAGATTATCCCGTTTCCAACGAAACCTTCAAAGAGGTCCAAATATCCCCTTGCGGATCCCACAGAAAGAGTGTTTCGAAACTGCTGTTTCAAAAGGAATCTTCAACTCTGTGAGTTGAATGCAATCATCGCAAAGAAGTTTCTGACAATGCTTCTCTCTCGTCTTTCTGTGAAGATAAAGGAAAAGGCTTTCAGGCCTTTTCCACCACAGGCCTGAAAGCGCTCCAAATGTCCACTTGCAGATTCTGCGAAAAGAATATTTCAAATCTGCTCTATGAAAAGCAATGTTAAACTCTGTGGCTCGAACACAAACATCACAAAGCGGTTTCTGAGAATGCTTCAGTTTAGTTTTTCTGTGGAAATATTCCCGTTTCCAAAGAAATCTTCAAAGAGGTCCACGTATCCACTTACAGATTCTACAAAAAGACAGTTTCAAAACTGCTCCATCAAAAGGAGGGTTCAACTGTGTGACTTGAATGCAATCATCACTCAGAAGTTTCTGAGAATGCTTCTCTTTAGTTTTTACGTGAACATATACCCGTTTCGAACGAAGGCCAGCCAGTGGTCCAAATATCCACTTGCAGATTCTACAGAAAGAGTGTTTCGAACCTGAACTCTCAAAGGCAGGTTCATCTCTGCGAGTTAAATGCATTCATCATGAAGAACTTTCTCAGAGTGTTTGTGTTTAGTTATGGGAAATTATTCCCTTTTCCAACGAAATCCTCAGAGAGCTCCAAATATCCACCTGCAGATTCTACCAAAAGTGTATTTGGAAACTGCTCCATCAAAAGGCATGTTCAGCTCTGTGAGTGAAACTCCATCATCACAAAGAATATTCTGAGAATGCTTCCGTTTGCCTTTTATATGAAGTTCCTTCCTATACTACCGTAGGCCTCAAAGCAGTCCAAATCTCCATTTGCAGATTCTACAAAAAGAGTGATTCCAATCTGCTCTATCAATAGGATTGTTCAACTCCATGAGTTGAATGCCATCCTCACAAAGTAGTTTCTGAGAATGCTTCTATCTGGTTTTTGTGTGAAGATATTTCCTTTTCCACCACAGGCCTCAAAGCCCTCCAAACGTCCACTTGCAGATTCTCGAAAAAGAGTGTTTCATAGCTGCTCTTTCAAAAGGAAAGTTCAACTCTGGGAGTTGAATACAAACATCACAAAATAGCTTCCGAGATTGCTTCTGTTTAGTTTTTATGTGAAGATGATCCCGTTTCCAGTGAAATCTTCAAAGAGGTCCACATATCCCCTTGCAGATTCCAAAGAAAGAGGGTTTCAAAACTGCTCCATCAAAAGGATTGTTCAACTCTGTGAGTTGAATGCAGTCATCGCAGAAAACTTTCTGAGAATGCTTCTTTCTAGGTTTGATGTGAAGATATAGACGTTTCAAACGAAGGCTACAAAGTGGTCAAAATATACACTTGCAGATTCTACTACAAGGGTGTTGCAAACCTGAACTATCAAAGGAAGGTTCAACTCTGTGAGTTGAATACAAACATCACAAAGAATGTTCTGAGTTTGCTTCCGTTCAGTTATGGGAAGTTGATCCCGTTTCCAACGAAATCCTCAGAGAGGTCCAAATATCCCCTCGCAGATTCTACAAAACATGTGTTTGGAAACTGCTCCATCATAACGAATGTTCAGCTCCCTGAGTTAAACTCCATCGTCACAAAGAATTTTCTGAGAGTGCTACCGTCTGGTTTTTATATGAAGTTCTTTCCTTCACTACCACAGGCCTCAAAGCGGTCCAAATCTCCACTTGCAGATTCTACAAAAAGAGTGTTTGCAAACTGCTCTATCAAAAGGAATGTTCAACTCTGGGAGTTGAATGCAATCATCACAGAGCAGTTTCTGAGAATGCTTCTATGTCGTTTTTAGAAGATATTTCCTTTTCCAACACAGTCCTCCAAGCCCGCTAAATAGCCACTTGCACATTGTAGAAAAAGTGTGTCAAAGCTGCGCTATCAAAGGGAAAGTTCAACTCTGTGAGGTGAATGCAAACATCCCAAAGAAGTTTCTGAGAATGCTTCCGTTTAGCTTTTAGGTGAAGATTATCCCGTTTCCAACGAAACCTTCAAAGAGGTGCAAATATCCCCTTGCGGATCCCACAGAAAGAGTGTTTCGAAACTGCTGTTTCAAAAGGAATCTTCAACTCTGTGAGTTGAATGCAATCATCACAAAGAAGTTTCTGACAATGCTTCTCTCTCGTCTTTCTGTGAAGATAATGGAAAAGGCTTTCAGGCCTTTTCCACCACAGGCCTGAAAGCGCTCCAAATGTCCACTTGCAGATTCTGCGAAAAGAATATTTCAAAACTGCTCTATGAAAAGCAATGTTAAACTCTGTGGCTGGAACACAAACATCACAAAGCGGTTTCTGAGAATGTTTCAGTTTAGTTTTTCTGTGGAAATATTCCCGTTTCCAAAGAAATCTTCAAAGAGGTCCACGTATCCACTTACAGATTCTACAAAAAGACAGTTTCAAAACTGCTCCATCAAAAGGAGGGTTCAACTGTGTGACTTGAATGCAATCATCACTCAGAAGTTTCTGAGAATGCTTCTCTTTAGTTTTTACGTGAACATATACCCGTTTCGAACGAAGGCCACCCAGTGGTCCAAATATCCACTTGCAGATTCTACAGAAAGAGTGTTTCGAACCTGAACTCTCAAAGGCAGGTTCATCTCTGCAAGTTAAATGCATTCATCATGAAGAACTTTCTCAGAGTGTTTGTGTTTAGTTATGGGAAATTATTCCCGTTTCCAACGAAATCCTCAGAGAGCTCCAAATATCCACCTGCAGATTCTACCAAAAGTGTATTTGGAAACTGCTCCATCAAAAGGCATGTTCAGCTCTGTGAGTGAAACTCCATCATCACAAAGAATATTCTGAGAATGCTTCCGTTTGCCTTTTATATGAAGTTCCTTCCTGTACTACCGTAGGCCTCAAAGCAGTCCAAATCTCCATTTGCAGATTCTATAAAAAGAGTGATTCCAATCTGCTCTATCAATAGGATTGTTCAACTCCATGAGTTGAATGCCATCCTCACAAAGTAGTTTCTGAGAATGCTTCTATCTGGTTTTTGTGTGAAGATATTTCCTTTTCCACCACAGGCCTCAAAGCCCTCCAAACGTCCACTTGCAGATTCTCGAAAAAGAGTGTTTCATAGCTGCTCTTTCAAAAGGAAAGTTCAACTCTGGGAGTTGAATACAAACATCACAAAGTAGTTTCCGAGAATGCTTCTGTTTAGTTTTTATGTGAAGATGATCGATCCCGTTTCCAGTGAAATCTTCAAAGAGGTCCACATATCCCCTTGCAGATTCCAAAGAAAGAGGGTTTCAAAACTGCTCCATCAGAAGGATTGTTCAACTCTGTGAGTTGAATGCAGTCATCGCAGAAAACTTTCTGAGAATGCTTCTGTCTAGGTTTGATGTGAAGATATAGACGTTTCAAACAAAGGCTACAAAGTGGTCAAAATATACACTTGCAGATTCTACTACAAGGGTGTTGCAAACCTGAACTATCAAAGGAAGGTTCAACTCTGTGAGTTGAATACAAACATCACAAAGAATGTTCTGAGTTTGCTTCCGTTCAGTTATGGGAAGTTGATCCCGTTTCCAACGAAATCCTCAGAGAGGTCCAAATATCCCCTTGCAGATTCTACAAAACGTGTGTTTGGAAACTGCTCCATCATAACGAATGTTCAGCTCCCTGAGTTAAACTCCATCGTCACAAAGAATTTTCTGAGAGTGCTACCGTCTGGTTTTTATATGAAGCTCTTTCCTTCACTACCACAGGCCTCAAAGCGGTCCAAATCTCCACTTGCAGATTCTACAAAAAGAGTGTTTGCAAACTGCTCTATCAAAAGGAATGTTCAACTCTGGGAGTTGAATGCAATCATCACAGAGCAGTTTCTGAGAATGCTTCTATGTCGTTTTTAGGAGAAGATATTTCCTTTTCCAACACAGTCCTCCAAGCCCGCTAAATAGCCACTTGCACATTGTAGAAAAAGTGTGTCAAAGCTGCGCTATCAAAGGGAAAGTTCAACTCTGTGAGGTGAATGCAAACATCCCAAAGAAGTTTCTGAGAATGCTTCCGTTTAGCTTTTAGGTGAAGATTATCCCGTTTCCAACGAAACCTTCAAAGAGGTCCAAATATCCCCTTGCGGATCCCACAGAAAGAGTGTTTCGAAACTGCTGTTTCAAAAGGAATCTTCAACTCTGTGAGTTGAATGCAATCATCACAAAGAAGTTTCTGACAATGCTTCTCTCTCGTCTTTCTGTGAAGATAAAGGAAAAGGCTTTCAGGCCTTTGCCACCACAGGCCTGAAAGCGCTCCAAGTGTCCACTTGCAGATTCTGCGAAAAGAATATTTCAAAACTGCTCTATGAAAAGCAATGTTAAACTCTGTGGCTCGAACACAAACATCACAAAGCGGTTTCTGAGAATGCTTCAGTTTAGTTTTTCTGTGGAAATATTCCCGTTTCCAAAGAAATCTTCAAAGAGGTCCACGTATCCACTTACAGATTCTACAAAAAGACAGTTTCAAAACTGCTCCATCAAAAGGAGGGTTCAACTGTGTGACTTGAATGCAATCATCACTCAGAAGTTTCTGAGAATGCTTCTCTTTAGTTTTTACGTGAACATATACCCGTTTCGAACGAAGGCCAGCCAGTGGTCCAAATATCCACTTGCAGATTCTACAGAAAGAGTGTTTCGAACATTAACTCTCAAAGGCAGGTTCATCTCTGCGAGTTAAATGCATTCATCATGAAGAACTTTCTCAGAGTGTTTGTGTTTAGTTATGGGAAATTATTCCCGTTTCCAACGAAATCCTCAGAGAGCTCCAAATATCCACCTGCAGATTCTACCAAAAGTGTATTTGGAAACTGCTCCATCAAAAGGCATGTTCAGCTCTGTGAGTGAAACTCCATCATCACAAAGAATATTCTGAGAATGCTTCCGTTTGCCTTTTATCTGAAGTTCCTTCCTATACGACCGTAGGCCTCAAAGCAGTCCAAATCTCCATTTGCAGATTCCACAAAAAGAGTGATTCCAATCTGCTCTATCAATAGGATTGTTCAACTCCATGAGGTTGAATGCCATCCTCACAAAGTCGTTTCTGAGAATGCTTCTATCTAGTTTTTATGTGAAGATATTTCCTTTTCCACCACAGGCCTCAAAGCCCTCCAAACGTCCACTTGCAGATTCTCGAAAAAGAGTGTTTCATAGCTGCTCTTTCAAAAGGAAAGTTCAACTCTGGCAGTTGAATACAAACATCACAAAGTAGTTTCCGAGAATGCTTCTGTTTAGTTTTTATGTGAAGATGATCCCGTTTCCAGTGAAATCTTCAAAGAGGTCCACATATCCCCTTGCAGATTCCAAAGAAAGAGGGTTTCAAAACTGCTCCATCAGAAGGATTGTTCAACTCTGTGAGTTGAATGCAGTCATCGCAGAAAACTTTCTGAGAATGCTTCTGTCTAGGTTTGATGTGAAGATATAGACGTTTCAAACGAAGGCTACAAAGTGGTCAAAATATACACTTGCAGATTCTACTACAAGGGTGTTGCAAACCTGAACTATCAAAGGAAGGTTCAACTCTGTGAGTTGAATACAAACATCACAAAGAATGTTCTGAGTTTGCTTCTGTTCAGTTATGGGATGTTGATCCCGTTTCCAACGAAATCCTCAGAGAGGTCCAAATATCCCCTTGCAGATTCTACAAAACGTGTGTTTGGAAACTGCTCCATCATAACGAATGTTCAGCTCCCTGAGTTAAACTCCATCGTCACAAAGAATTTTCTGAGAGTGCTACCGTCTGGTTTTTATATGAAGCTCTTTCCTTCACTACCACAGACCTCAAAGCGGTCCAAATCTCCACTTGCAGATTCTACAAAAAGAGTGTTTGCAAACTGCTCTATCAAAAGGAATGTTCAACTCTGGGAGTTGAATGCAATCATCACAGAGCAGTTTCTGAGAATGCTTCTATGTCGTTTTTAGGAGAAGATATTTCCTTTTCCAACACAGTCCTCCAAGCCCGCTAAATAGCCACTTGCACATTGTAGAAAAAGTGTGTCAAAGCTGCGCTATCAAAGGGAAAGTTCAACTCTGTGAGGTGAATGCAAACATCCCAAAGAAGTTTCTGAGAATGCTTCCGTTTAGCTTTTAGGTGAAGATTATCCCGTTTCCAACGAAACCTTCAAAGAGGTCCAAATATCCCCTTGCGGATCCCACAGAAAGAGTGTTTCGAAACTGCTGTTTCAAAAGGAATCTTCAACTCTGTGAGTTGAATGCAATCATCACAAAGAAGTTTCTGACAATGCTTCTCTCTCGTCTTTCTGTGAAGATAAAGGAAAAGGCTTTCAGGCCTTTGCCACCACAGGCCTGAAAACGCTCCAAATGTCCACTTGCAAATTCTGCGAAAAGAATATTTCAAAACTGCTCTATGAAAAGCAATGTTAAACTCTGTGGCTCGAACACAAACATCACAAAGCAGTTTCTGAGAATGCTTCAGTTTAGTTTTTCTGTGGAAATATTCCCGTTTCCAAAGAAATCTTCAAAGAGGTCCACGCATCCACTTACAGATTCTACAAAAAGACAGTTTCAAAACTGCTCCATCAAAAGGAGGGTTCAACTGTGTGACTTGAATGCAATCATCACTCAGAAGTTTCTGAGAATGCTTCTCTTTAGTTTTTACGTGAACATATACCCGTTTCGAACGAAGGCCACCCAGTGGTCCAAATATCCACTTGCAGATTCTACAGAAAGAGTGTTTCGAACCTGAACTCTCAAAGGCAGGTTCATCTCTGCGAGTTAAATGCATTCATCATGAAGAACTTTCTCAGAGTGTTTGTGTTTAGTTATGGGAAATTATTCCCGTTTCCAACGAAATCCTCAGAGAGCTCCAAATATCCACCTGCAGATTCTACCAAAAGTGTATTTGGAAACTGCTCCATCAAAAGGCATGTTCAGCTCTGTGAGTGAAACTCCATCATCACAAAGAATATTCTGAGAATGCTTCCGTTTGCCTTTTATATGAAGTTCCTTCCTATACGACCGTAGGCCTCAAAGCAGTCCAAATCTCCATTTGCAGATTCTACAAAAAGAGTGATTCCAATCTGCTCTATCAATAGGATTGTTCAACTCCATGAGTTGAATGCCATCCTCACAAAGTCGTTTCTGAGAATGCTTCTATCTAGTTTTTATGTGAAGATATTTCCTTTTCCACCACAGGCCTCAAAGCCCTCCAAACGTCCACTTGCAGATTCTCGAAAAAGAGTGTTTCATAGCTGCTCTTTCAAAAGGAAAGTTCAACTCTGGGAGTTGAATACAAACATCACAAAGTAGTTTCCGAGAATGCTTCTGTTTAGTTTTTATGTGAAGATGATCCCGTTTCCAGTGAAATCTTCAAAGAGGTCCACATATCCCCTTGCAGATTCCAAAGAAAGAGGGTTTCAAAACTGCTCCATCAGAAGGATTGTTCAACTCTGTGAGTTGAATGCTGTCATCGCAGAAAACTTTCTGAGAATGCTTCTGTCTAGGTTTGATGTGAAGATATAGACGTTTCAAACGAAGGCTACAAAGTGGTCAAAATATACACTTGCAGATTCTACTACAAGGGTGTTGCAAACCTGAACTATCAAAGGAAGGTTCAACTCTGTGAGTTGAATACAAACATCACAAAGAATGTTCTGAGTTTGCTTCCGTTCAGTTATGGGAAGTTGATCCCGTTTCCAACGAAATCCTCAGAGAGGTCCAAATATCCCCTTGCAGATTCTACAAAACGTGTGTTTGGAAACTGCTCCATCATAACGAATGTTCAGCTCCCTGAGTTAAACTCCATCGTCACAAAGAATTTTCTGAGAGTGCTACCGTCTGGTTTTTATATGAAGCTCTTTCCTTCACTACCCCAGGCCTCAAAGCGGTCCAAATCTCCACTTGCAGATTCTACAAAAAGAGTGTTTGCAAACTGCTCTATCAAAAGGAATGTTCAACTCTGGGAGTTGAATGCAATCATCACAGAGCAGTTTCTGAGAATGCTTCTATGTCGTTTTTAGGAGAAGATATTTCCTTTTCCAACACAGTCCTCCAAGCCCGCTAAATAGCCACTTGCACATTGTAGAAAAAGTGTGTCAAAGCTGCGCTATCAAAGGGAAAGTTCAACTCTGTGAGGTGAATGCAAACATCCCAAAGAAGTTTCTGAGAGTGCTTCCGTTTAGCTTTTAGGTGAAGATTATCCCGTTTCCAACGAAACCTTCAAAGAGGTCCAAATATCCCCTTGCGGATCCCACAGAAAGAGTGTTTCGAAACTGCTGTTTCAAAAGGAATCTTCAACTCTGTGAGTTGAATGCAATCATCACAAAGAAGTTTCTGACAATGCTTCTCTCTCGTCTTTCTGTGAAGATAAAGGAAAAGGCTTTCAGGCCTTTTCCACCACAGGCCTGAAAGCGCTCCAAATGTCCACTTGCAGATTCTGCCAAAAGAATATTTCAAAACTGCTCTATGAAAAGCAATGTTAAACTCTGCGGCTCGAACACAAACATCACAAAGCGGTTTCTGAGAATGCTTCAGTTTAGTTTTTCTGTGGAAATATTCCCGTTTCCAAAGAAATCTTCAAAGAGGTCCACGTATCCACTTACAGATTCTACAAAAAGACAGTTTCAAAACTGCTCCATCAAAAGGAGGGTTCAACTGTGTGACTTGAATGCAATCATCACTCAGAAGTTTCTGAGAATGCTTCTCTTTAGTTTTTACGTGAACATATACCCGTTTCGAACGAAAGCCAGCCAGTGGTCCAAATATCCACTTGCAGATTCTACAGAAAGAGTGTTTCGAACCTGAACTCTCAAAGGCAGGTTCATCTCTGCGAGTTAAATGCATTCATCATGAAGAACTTTCTCAGCGTGTTTGTGTTTAGTTATGGGAAATTATTCCCGTTTCCAACGAAATCCTCAGAGAGCTCCAAATATCCACCTGCAGATTCTACCAAAAGTGTATTTGGAAACTGCTCCATCAAAAGGCATGTTCAGCTCTGTGAGTGAAACTCCATCATCACAAAGAATATTCTGAGAATGCTTCCGTTTGCCTTTTATATGAAGTTCCTTCCTATACTACCGTAGGCCTCAAAGCAGTCCAAATCTCCATTTGCAGATTTTACAAAAAGAGTGATTCCAATCTGCTCTATCAATAGGATTGTTCAACTCCATGAGTTGAATGCCATCCTCACAAACTCGTTTCTGAGAATGCTTCTATCTAGTTTTTATGTAAAGATATTTCCTTTTCCACCACAGGCCTCAAAGCCCTCCAAACGTCCACTTGCAGATTCTCGAAAAAGAGTGTTTCATAGCTGCTCTTTCAAAAGGAAAGTTCAACTCTGGGAGGTGAATACAAACATCACAAAGTAGTTTCCGAGAATGCTTCTGTTTAGTTCTTATGTGAAGATGATCCCGTTTCCAGTGAAATCTTCAAAGAGGTCCACATATCCCCTTGCAGATTCCAAAGAAAGAGGGTTTCAAAACTGCTCCATCAAAAGGATTGTTCACCTCTGTGAGTTGAATGCAGTCATCGCAGAAAACTTTCTGAGAATGGTTCTGTCTAGGTTTGATGTGAAGATATAGACGTTTCAAACGAAGGCTACAAAGTGGTCAAAATATACACTTGCAGATTCTACTACAAGGGTGTTGCAAACCTGAACTATCAAAGGAAGGTTCAACTCTGTGAGTTGAATTCAAACATCATAAAGAATGTTCTGAGTTTGCTTCCGTTCAGTTATGGGAAGTTGATCCCGTTTCCAACGAAATCCTCAGAGAGGTCCAAATATCCCCTTGCAGATTCTACAAAACGTGTGTTTGGAAACTGCTCCATCATAACGAATGTTCAGCTCTCTGAGTTAAACTCCATCGTCACAAAGAATTTTCTGAGAGTGCTACCGTCTAGTTTTATATGAACTTCTTTCCTTTACTACCACCGGCCTCAAAGCGGTCCAAATCTCCACTTGCAGATTCTACAAAAAGAGTGTTTGCAAACTGCTCTATCAAAAGGAATGTTCAACTCTGGGAGTTGAATGCAATCATCACAGAGCAGTTTCTGAGAATGCTTCTATGTCGTTTTTAGGAGAAGATATTTCCTTTTCCAACACAGTCCTCCAAGCCCGCTAAATATCCACTTGCACATTGTAGAAAAAGAGTGTCGAAGCTGCGCTATCAAAGGGAAAGTTCAACTCTGTGAGGTGAATGCAAACATCCCAACGAAGTTTCTGAGAATGCTTCCGTTTAGCTTTTAGGTGAGGATTATCCCGTTTCCAACGAAACCTTCAAAGAGGTCCAAATATCCCCTTGCGGATCCCACAGAAAGAGTGTTTCGAAACTGCTGTTTCAAAAGGAATGTTCAACTCTGTGAGTTGAATGCAATCATCACAAAGAAGTTTCTGACAATGCTTCTCTCTCGTCTTTCTGTGAAGATAAAGGAAAAGGCTTTCAGGCCTTTTCCACCACAGGCCTGAAAGCGCTCCAAATGTCCACTTGCAGATTCTGCGAAAAGAATATTTCAAAACTGCTCTATGAAAAGCAATGTTAAACTCTGTGGCTCGAACACAAACATCACAAAGCAGTTTCTGAGAATGCTTCAGTTTAGTTTTTCTGTGGAAATATTACCGTTTCCAAAGAAATCTTCAAAGAGGTCCACGTATCCACTTACAGATTCTACAAAAAGACAGTTTCAAAACTGCTCCATCAAAAGGAGGGTTCAACTGTGTGACTTGAATGCAATCATCACTCAGAAGTTTCTGAGAATGCTTCTCTTTAGTTTTTACGTGAACATATACCCGTTTCGAACGAAGGCCACCCAGTGGTCCAAATATCCACTTGCAGATTCTACAGAAAGAGTGTTTCGAACCTGAACTCTCAAAGGAAGGTTCATCTCTGCGAGTTAAATGCATTCATCATGAAGAACTTTCTCAGAGTATTTGTGTTTAGTTATGGGAAATTATTCCCGTTTCCAAAGAAATCCTCAGAGAGCTCCAAATATCCACCTGCAGATTCTACCAAAAGTGTATTTGGAAACTGCTCCATCAAAAGGCATGTTCAGCTCTGTGAGTGAAACTCCATCATCACAAAGAATATTCTGAGAATGCTTCCGTTTGCCTTTTATATGAAGTTCCTTCCTATACTACCGTAGGCCTCAAAGCAGTCCAAATCTCCATTTGCAGATTCTACAAAAAGAGTGATTCCAATCTGCTCTATCAATAGGATTGTTCAACTCCATGAGTTGAATGCCATCCTCACAAAGTCGTTTCTGAGAATGCTTCTATCTAGTTTTTATGTGAAGATATTTCCTTTTCCACCACAGGCCTCAAAGCCCTCCAAACGTCCACTTGCAGATTCTCGAAAAAGAGTGTTTCATAGCTGCTCTTTCAAAAGGAAAGTTCAACTCTGGGAGTTGAATACAAACATCACAAAGTAGTTTCCGAGAATGCTTCTGTTTAGTTTTTATGTGAAGATGATCCCGTTTCCAGTGAAATCTTCAAAGAGGTCCACATATCCCCTTGCAGATTCCAAAGAAAGAGGGTTTCAAAACTGCTCCATCAGAAGGATTGTTCAACTCTGTGAGTTGAATGCAGTCATCGCAGAAAACTTTCTGAGAATGCTTCTGTCTAGGTTTGATGTGAAGATATAGACGTTTCAAACGAAGGCTACAAAGTGGTCAAAATATACACTTGCAGATTCTACTACAAGGGTGTTGCAAACCTGAACTATCAAAGGAAGGTTCAACTCTGTGAGTTGAATACAAACATCACAAAGAATGTTCTGAGTTTGCTTCCGTTCAGTTATGGGAAGTTGATCCCGTTTCCAACGAAATCCTCAGAGAGGTCCAAATATCCCCTTGCAGATTCTACAAAACGTGTGTTTGGAAACTGCTCCATCATAACGAATGTTCAGCTCCCTGAGTTAAACTCCATCGTCACAAAGAATTTTCTGAGAGTGCTACCGTCTGGTTTTTATATGAAGTTCTTTCCTTCACTACCACAGGCCTCAAAGCGGTCCAAATCTCCACTTGCAGATTCTACAAAAAGAGTGTTTGCAAACTGCTCTATCAAAAGGAATGTTCAACTCTGGGAGTTGAATGCAATCATCACAGAGCAGTTTCTGAGAATGCTTCTATGTCGTTTTTAGGAGAAGATATTTCCTTTTCCAACACAGTCCTCCAAGCCCGCTAAATAGCCACTTGCACATTGAAGAAAAAGTGTGTCAAAGCTGCGCTATCAAAGGGAAAGTTCAACTCTGTGAGGTGAATGCAAACATCCCAAAGAAGTTTCTGAGAATGCTTCCGTTTAGCTTTTAGGTGAAGATTATCCCGTTTCCAACGAAACCTTCAAAGAGGTCCAAATATCCCCTTGCGGATCCCACAGAAAGAGTGTTTCGAAACTGCTGTTTCAAAAGGAATCTTCAACTCTGTGAGTTGAATGCAATCATCACAAAGAAGTTTCTGACAATGCTTCTCTCTCGTCTTTCTGTGAAGATAAAGGAAAAGGCTTTCAGGCCTTTTCCACCACAGGCCTGAAAGCGCTCCAAATGTCCACTTGCAGATTCTGCGAAAAGAATATTTCAAAACTACTCTATGAAAAGCAATGTTAAACTCTGTGGCTGGAACACAAACATCACAAAGCGGTTTCTGAGAATGCTTCAGTTTAGTTTTTCTGTGGAAATATTCCCGTTTCCAAAGAAATCTTCAAAGAGGTCCACGTATCCACTTACAGATTCTACAAAAAGACAGTTTCAAAACTGCTCCATCAAAAGGAGGGTTCAACCGTGTGACTTGAATGCAATCATCACTCAGAAGTTTCTGAGAATGCTTCTCTTTAGTTTTTACGTGAACATATACCCGTTTCGAACGAAGGCCACCCAGTGGTCCAAATATCCACTTGCAGATTATACAGAAAGAGTGTTTCGAACCTGAACTCTCAAAGGCAGGTTCATCTCTGCAAGTTAAATGCATTCATCATGAAGAACTTTCTCAGAGTGTTTGTGTTTAGTTATGGGAAATTATTCCCGTTTCCAACGAAATCCTCAGAGAGCTCCAAATATCCACCTGCTGATTCTACCAAAAGTGTATTTGGAAACTGCTCCATCAAAAGGCATGTTCAGCTCTGTGAGTGAAACTCCATCATCACAAAGAATATTCTGAGAATGCTTCCGTTTGCCTTTTATATGAAGTTCCTTCCTATACGACCGTAGGCCTCAAAGCAGTCCAAATCTCCATTTGCAGATTCCACAAAAAGAGTGATTCCAATCTGCTCTATCAATAGGATTGTTCAACTCCATGAGTTGAATGCCATCCTCACAAAGTAGTTTCTGAGAATGCTTCTATCTAGTTTTATGTGAAGATATTTCCTTTTCCACCACAGGCCTCAAAGCCCTCCAAACGTCCACTTGCAGATTCTCGAAAAAGAGTGTTTCATAGCTGCTCTTTCAAAAGGAAAGTTCAACTCTGGGAGTTGAATACAAACATCACAAAGTAGTTTCCGAGAATGCTTCTGTTTAGTTTTTATGTGAAGATGATCCCGTTTCCAGTGAAATCTTCAAAGAGGTCCACATATCCCCTTGCAGATTCCAAAGAAAGAGGGTTTCAAAACTGCTCCATCAGAAGGATTGTTCAACTCTGTGAGTTGAATGCAGTCATCGCAGAAAACTTTCTGAGAATGCTTCTGTCTAGGTTTGATGTGAAGATATAGACGTTTCAAATGAAGGCTACAAAGTGGTCAAAATATACACTTGCAGATTCTACTACAAGGGTGTTGCAAACCTGAACTATCAAAGGAAGGTTCAACTCTGTGAGTTGAATACAAACATCACAAAGAATGTTCTGAGTTTGCTTCCGTTCAGTTATGGGAAGCTGATCCCGTTTCCAACGAAATCCTCAGAGAGGTCCAAATATCCCCTTGCAGATTCTACAAAACGTGTGTTTGGAAACTGCTCCATCATAACGAATGTTCAGCTCCCTGAGTTAAACTCCATCGTCACAAAGAATTTTCTGAGAGTGCTACCGTATGGTTTTTATATGAAGTTCTTTCCTTCACTACCACTGGCCTCAAAGCGGTCCAAATCTCCACTTGCAGATTCTACAAAAAGAGTGTTTGCAAACTGCTCTATCAAAAGGAATGTTCAACTCTGGGAGTTGAATGCAATCATCACAGAGCAGTTTCTGAGAATGCTTCTATGTCGTTTTTAGGAGAAGATATTTCCTTTTCCAACACAGTCCTCCAAGTCCGCTAAATAGCCACTTGCACATTGTAGAAAAAGTGTGTCAAAGCTGGGCTATCAAAGGGAAAGTTCAACTCTGAGAGGTGAATGCAAACATCCCAAAGAAGTTTCTGAGAGTGCTTCCGTTTAGCTTTTAGGTGAAGATTATCCCGTTTCCAACGAAACCTTCAAAGAAGTCCAAATATCCCCTTGCGGATCCCACAGAAAGAGTGTTTCGAAACTGCTGTTTCAAAAGGAATCTTCAACTCTGTGAGTTGAATGCAATCATCACAAAGAAGTTTCTGACAATGCTTCTCTCTCGTCTTTCTGTGAAGATAAATAAATGCTTTCAGGCCTTTGCCACCACAGGCCTGAAAGCGCTCCAAATGTCCACTTGCAGATTCTGCGAAAAGAATATTTCAAAACTGCTTTGTGAAAAGCAATGTTAAACTCTGTGGCTCGAACACAAACATCACAAAGCGGTTTCTGAGAATGCTTCAGTTTAGTTTTTCTGTGGAAATATTCCCGTTTCCAAAGAAATCTTCAAAGAGGTCCACGTATCCACTTACAGATTCTACAAAAAGACAGTTTCAAAACTGCTCCATCAAAAGGAGGGTTCAACTGTGTGAATTGAATGCAATCATCACTCAGAAGTTTCTGAGAATGCTTCTCTTTAGTTTTTACGTGAACATATACCCGTTTCGAACGAAGGCCACCCAGTGGTCCAAATATCCACTTGCAGATTCTACAGAAAGAGTGTTTCGAACCTGAACTCTCAAAGGCAGGTTCATCTCTGCGAGTTAAATGCATTCATCATGAAGAACTTTCTCAGAGTGTTTGTGTTTAGTTATGGGAAATTATTCCCGTTTCCAACGAAATCCTCAAAGAGCTCCAAATATCCACCTGCAGATTCTACCAAAAGTGTATTTGGAAACTGCTCCATCAAAAGGCATGTTCAGCTCTGTGAGTGAAACTCCATCATCACAAAGAATATTCTGAGAATGCTTCCGTTTGCCTTTTATATGAAGTTCCTTCCTATACGACCGTAGGCCTCAAAGCAGTCCAAATCTCCATTTGCAGATTCTACAAAAAGAGTGATTCCAATCTGCTCTATCAATAGGATTGTTCAACTCCATGAGTTGAATGCCATCCTCACAAAGTAGTTTCTGAGAATGCTTCTATCTAGTTTTTATGTGAAGATATTTCCTTTTCCACCACAGGCCTCAAAGCCCTCCAAACGTCCACTTGCAGATTCTCGAAAAAGAGTGTTTCATAGCTGCTCTTTCAAAAGGAAAGTTCAACTCTGGGAGTTGAATACAAACATCACAAAGTAGTTTCCGAGAATGCTTCTGTTTAGTTTTTATGTGAAGATGATCCCGTTTCCAGTGAAATCTTCAAAGAGGTCCACATATCCCCTTGCAGATTCCAAAGAAAGAGGGTTTCAAAACTGCTCCATCAGAAGGATTGTTCAACTCTGTGAGTTGAATGCAGTCATCGCAGAAAACTTTCTGAGAATGCTTCTGTCTAGGTTTGATGTGAAGATATAGACGTTTCAAACGAAGGCTACAAAGTGGTCAAAATATACACTTGCAGATTCTACTACAAGGGTGTTGCAAACCTGAACTATCAAAGGAAGGTTCAACTCTGTGAGTTGAATACAAACATCACAAAGAATGTTCTGAGTTTGCTTCCGTTCAGTTATGGGAAGTTGATCCCGTTTCCAACGAAATCCTCAGAGAGGTCCAAATATCCCCTTGCAGATTCTACAAAACGTGTGTTTGGAAACTGCTCCATCATAACGAATGTTCAGCTCCCTGAGTTAAACTCCATCGTCACAAAGAATTTTCTGAGAGTGCTACCGTCTGGTTTTTATATGAAGTTCTTTCCTTCACTACCACAGGCCTCAAAGCGGTCCAAATCTCCACTTGCAGATTCTACAAAAAGAGTGTTTGCAAACTGCTCTATCAAAAGGAATGTTCAACTCTGGGAGTTGAATGCAATCATCACAGAGCAGTTTCTGAGAATGCTTCTATGTCGTTTTTAGGAGAAGATATTTCCTTTTCCAACACAGTCCTCCAAGCCCGCTAAATAGCCACTTGCACATTGTAGAAAAAGTGTGTCAAAGCTGCGCTATCAAAGGGAAAGTTCAACTCTGTGAGGTGAATGCAAACATCCCAAAGAAGTTTCTGAGAATGCTTCCGTTTAGCTTTTAGGTGAAGATTATCCCGTTTCCAACGAAACCTTCAAAGAGGTCCAAATATCCCCTTGCGGATCCCACAGAAAGAGTGTTTCGAAACTGCTGTTTCAAAAGGAATCTTCAACTCTGTGAGTTGAATGCAATCATCACAAAGAAGTTTCTGACAATGCTTCTCTCTCGTCTTTCTGTGAAGATAAAGGAAAAGGCTTTCAGGCCTTTTCCACCACAGGCCTGAAAGCGCTCCAAATGTCCACTTGCAGATTCTGCCAAAAGAATATTTCAAAACTGCTCTATGAAAAGCAATGTTAAACTCTGTGGCTCGAACACAAACATCACAAAGCAGTTTCTGAGAATGCTTCAGTTTAGTTTTTCTGTGGAAATATTCCCGTTTTCAAAGAAATCTTCAAAGAGGTCCACGTATCCACTTACAGATTCTACAAAAAGACAGTTTCAAAACTGCTCCATCAAAAGGAGGGTTCAACTGTGTGACTTGAATGCAATCATCACTCAGAAGTTTCTGAGAATGCTTCTCTTTAGTTTTTACGTGAACATATACCCGTTTCGAACGAAGGCCACCCAGTGGTCCAAATATCCACTTGCAGATTATACAGAAAGAGTGTTTCGAACCTGAACTCTCAAAGGCAGGTTCATCTCTGCGAGTTAAATGCATTCATCATGAAGAACTTTCTCAGAGTGTTTGTGTTTAGTTATGGGAAATTATTCCCGTTTCCAACGAAATCCTCAGAGAGCTCCAAATATCCACCTGCAGATTCTACCAAAAGTGTATTTGGAAACTGCTCCATCAAAAGGCATGTTCAGCTCTGTGAGTGAAACTCCATCATCACAAAGAATATTCTGAGAATGCTTCCGTTTGCCTTTTATATGAAGTTCCTTCCTGTACTACCGTAGGCCTCAAAGCAGTCCAAATCTCCATTTGCAGATTCTATAAAAAGAGTGATTCCAATCTGCTCTATCAATAGGATTGTTCAACTCCATGAGTTGAATGCCATCCTCACAAAGTAGTTTCTGAGAATGCTTCTATCTGGTTTTTGTGTGAAGATATTTCCTTTTCCACCACAGGCCTCAAAGCCCTCCAAACGTCCACTTGCAGATTCTCGAAAAAGAGTGTTTCATAGCTGCTCTTTCAAAAGGAAAGTTCAACTCTGGGAGTTGAATACAAACATCACAAAATAGTTTCCGAGAATGCTTCTGTTTAGTTTTTATGTGAAGATGATCCCGTTTCCAGTGAAATCTTCAAAGAGGTCCACATATCCCCTTGCAGATTCCAAAGAAAGAGGGTTTCAAAACTGCTCCATCAGAGGATTGTTCAACTCTGTGAGTTGAATGCAGTCATCGCAGAAAACTTTCTGAGAATGCTTCTGTCTAGGTTTGATGTGAAGATATAGACGTTTCAAACGAAGGCTACAAAGTGGTCAAAATATACACTTGCAGATTCTACTACAAGGGTGTTGCAAACCTGAACTATCAAAGGAAGGTTCAACTCTGTGAGTTGAATACAAACATCACAAAGAATGTTCTGAGTTTGCTTCCGTTCAGTTATGGGAAGTTGATCCCGTTTCCAACGAAATCCTCAGAGAGGTCCAAATATCCCCTCGCAGATTCTACAAAACGTGTGTTTGGAAACTGCTCCATCATAACGAATGTTCAGCTCCCTGAGTTAAACTCCATCGTCACAAAGAATTTTCTGAGAGTGCTACCGTCTGGTTTTTATATGAAGTTCTTTCCTTCACTACCACAGGCCTCAAAGCGGTCCAAATCTCCACTTGCAGATTCTACAAAAAGAGTGTTTGCAAACTGCTCTATCAAAAGGAATGTTCAACTCTGGGAGTTGAATGCAATCATCACAGAGCAGTTTCTGAGAATGCTTCTATGTCGTTTTTAGGAGAAGATATTTCCTTTTCCAACACAGTCCTCCAAGCCCGCTAAATAGCCACTTGCACATTGTAGAAAAAGTGTGTCAAAGCTGCGCTATCAAAGGGAAAGTTCAACTCTGTGAGGTGAATGCAAACATCCCAAAGAAGTTTGCTGAGAATGCTTCCGTTTAGCTTTTAGGTGAAGATTATCCCGTTTCCAACGAAACCTTCAAAGTAGGTCCAAATATCCCCTTGCGGATCCCACAGAAAGAGTGTTTCGAAACTGCTGTTTCAAAAGGAATCTTCAACTCTGTGAGTTGAATGCAATCATCACAAAGAAGTTTCTGACAATGCTTCTCTCTCGTCTTTCTGTGAAGATAAAGGAAAAGGCTTTCAGGCCTTTTCCACCACAGGCCTGAAAGCGCTCCAAATGTCCACTTGCAGATTCTGCGAAAAGAATATTTCAAAACTGCTCTATGAAAAGCAATGTTAAACTCTGTGGCTCGAACACAAACATCACAAAGCAGTTTCTGAGAATGCTTCAGTTTAGTTTTTCTGTGGAAATATTCCCGTTTCCAAAGAAATCTTCAAAGAGGTCCACGTATCCACTTACAGATTCTACAAAAAGACAGTTTCAAAACTGCTCCATCAAAAGGAGGGTTCAACTGTGTGACTTGAATGCAATCATCACTCAGAAGTTTCTGAGAATGCTTCTCTTTAGTTTTTACGTGAACATATACCCGTTTCGAACGAAGGCCACCCAGTGGTCCAAATATCCACTTGCAGATTATACAGAAAGAGTGTTTCGAACCTGAACTCTCAAAGGCAGGTTCATCTCTGCAAGTTAAATGCATTCATCATGAAGAACTTTCTCAGAGTGTTTGTGTTTAGTTATGGGAAATTATTCCCGTTTCCAACGAAATCCTCAGAGAGCTCCAAATATCCACCTGCTGATTCTACCAAAAGTGTATTTGGAAACTGCTCCATCAAAAGGCATGTTCAGGTCTGTGAGTGAAACTCCATCATCACAAAGAATATTCTGAGAATGCTTCCGTTTGCCTTTTATATGAAGTTCCTTCCTATACGACCGTAGGCCTCAAAGCAGTCCAAATCTCCATTTGCAGATTCTACAAAAAGAGTGATTCCAATCTGCTCTATCAATAGGATTGTTCAACTCCATGAGTTGAATGCCATCCTCACAAAGTAGTTTCTGAGAATGCTTCTATCTAGTTTTATGTGAAGATATTTCCTTTTCCACCACAGGCCTCAAAGCCCTCCAAACGTCCACTTGCAGATTCTCGAAAAAGAGTGTTTCATAGCTGCTCTTTCAAAAGGAAAGTTCAACTCTGGGAGTTGAATACAAACATCACAAAGTAGTTTCCGAGAATGCTTCTGTTTAGTTTTTATGTGAAGATGATCCCGTTTCCAGTGAAATCTTCAAAGAGGTCCACATATCCCCTTGCAGATTCCAAAGAAAGAGGGTTTCAAAACTGCTCCATCAGAAGGATTGTTCAACTCTGTGAGTTGAATGCAGTCATCGCAGAAAACTTTCTGAGAATGCTTCTGTCTAGGTTTGATGTGAAGATATAGACGTTTCAAATGAAGGCTACAAAGTGGTGAAAATATACACTTGCAGATTCTACTACAAGGGTGTTGCAAACCTGAACTATCAAAGGAAGGTTCAACTCTGTGAGTTGAATACAAACATCACAAAGAATGTTCTGAGTTTGCTTCCGTTCAGTTATGGGAAGTTGATCCCGTTTCCAACGAAATCCTCAGAGAGGTCCAAATATCCCCTTGCAGATTCTACAAAACGTGTGTTTGGAAACTGCTCCATCATAACGAATGTCCAGCTCCCTGAGTTAAACTCCATCGTCACAAAGAATTTTCTGAGAGTGCTAACCGTCTGGTTTTTATATGAAGCTCTTTCCTTCACTATCACAGGCCTCAAAGCGGTCCAAATCTCCACTTCCAGATTCTACAAAAAGAGTGTTTGCAAACTGCTCTATCAAAAGGAATGTTCAACTCTGGGAGTTGAATGCAATCATCACAGAGCAGTTTCTGAGAATGCTTCTATGTCGTTTTTAGGAGAAGATATTTCCTTTTCCAACACAGTCCTCCAAGCCCGCTAAATAGCCACTTGCACATTGTAGAAAAAGTGTGTCAAAGCTGCGCTATCAAAGGGAAAGTTCAACTCTGTGAGGTGAATGCAAACATCCCAAAGAAGTTTCTGAGAATGCTTCCGTTTAGCTTTTAGGTGAAGATTATCCCGTTTCCAACGAAACCTTCAAAGAGGTCCAAATATCCCCTTGCGGATCCCACAGAAAGAGTGTTTCGAAACTGCTGTTTCAAAAGGAATCTTCAACTCTGTGAGTTGAATGCAATCATCACAAAGAAGTTTCTGACAATGCTTCTCTCTCGTCTTTCTGTGAAGATAAAGGAAAAGGCTTTCAGGCCTTTTCCACCACAGGCCTGAAAGCGCTCCAAATGTCCACTTGCAGATTCTGCGAAAAGAATATTTCAAAACTGCTCTATGAAAAGCAATGTTAAACTCTGTGGCTTGAACACAAACATCACAAAGCGGTTTCTGAGAATGCTTCAGTTTAGTTTTTCTGTGGAAATATTCCCGTTTCCAAAGAAATCTTCAAAGAGGTCCACGTATCCACTTACAGATTCTACAAAAAGACAGTTTCAAAACTGCTCCATCAAAAGGAGGGTTCAACTGTGTGACTTGAATGCAATCATCACTCAGAAGTTTCTGAGAATGCTTCTCTTTAGTTTTTACGTGAACATATAACCTTTTCGAACCAAGGCCAGCCAGTGGTCCAAATATCCACTTGCAGATTCTACAGAAAGAATGTTTCGAACCTGAACTCTCAAAGGCAGGTTCATCTCTGCGAGTTAAATGCATTCATCATGAAGAACTTTCTCAGAGTGTTTGTGTTTAGTTATGGGAAATTATTCCCGTTTCCAACGAAATCCTCAGAGAGCTCCAAATATCCACCTGCAGATTCTACCAAAAGTGTATTTGGAAACTGCTCCATCAAAAGGCATGTTCAGCTCTGTGAGTGAAACTCCATCATCACAAAGAATATTCTGAGAATGCTTCCGTTTGCCTTTTATATGAAGTTCCTTCCTATACTACCATAGGCCTCAAAGCAGTCCAAATCTCCATTTGCAGATTCTACAAAAAGAGTGATTCCAATCTGCTCTATCAATAGGATTGTTCAACTCCATGAGTTGAATGCCATCCTCACAAAGTAGTTTCTGAGAATGCTTCTATCTAGTTTTTATGTGAAGATATTTCCTTTTCCACCACAGGCCTCAAAGCCCTCCAAACGTCCACTTGCAGATTCTCGAAAAAGAGTGTTTCATAGCTGCTCTTTCAAAAGGAAAGTTCAACTCTGGGAGTTGAATACAAACATCCCAAAGTAGTTTCCGAGAATGCTTCTGTTTAGTTTTTATGTGAAGATGATCCCGTTTCCAGTGAAATCTTCAAAGAGGTCCACATATCCCCTTGCAGATTCCAAAGAAAGAGGGTTTCAAAACTGCTCCATCAGAAGGATTGTTCAACTCTGTGAGTTGAATGCAGTCATCGCAGAAAACTTTCTGAGAATGCTTCTGTCTAGGTTTGATGTGAAGATATAGACGTTTCAAACGAAGGCTACAAAGTGGTCAAAATATACACTTGCAGATTCTACTACAAGGGTGTTGCAAACCTGAACTATCAAAGGAAGGTTCAACTCTGTGAGTTGAATACAAACGTCACAAAGAATGTTCTGAGTTTGCTTCCGTTCAGTTATGGGAAGTTGATCCCGTTTCCAACGAAATCCTCAGAGAGGTCCAAATATCCCCTTGCAGATTCTACAAAACGTGTGTTTGGAAACTGCTCCATCATAACGAATGTTCAGCTCCCTGAGTTAAACTCCATCGTCACAAAGAATTTTCTGAGAGTGCTACCGTCTGGTTTTTATATGAAGTTCTTTCCTTCACTACCACAGGCCTCAAAGCGGTCCAAATCTCCACTTGCAGATTCTACAAAAAGAGTGTTTGCAAACTGCTCTATCAAAAGGAATGTTCAACTCTGGGAGTTGAATGCAATCATCACAGAGCAGTTTCTGAGAATGCTTCTATGTCGTTTTTAGGAGAAGATATTTCCTTTTCCAACACAGTCCTCCAAGCCCGCTAAATAGCCACTTGCACATTGTAGAAAAAGTGTGTCAAAGCTGCGCTATCAAAGGGAAAGTTCAACTCTGTGAGGTGAATGCAAACATCCCAAAGAAGTTTCTGAGAATGCTTCCGTTTAGCTTTTAGGTGAAGATTATCCCGTTTCCAACGAAACCTTCAAAGAGGTCCAAATATCCCCTTGCGGATCCCACAGAAAGAGTGTTTCGAAACTGCTGTTTCAAAAGGAATCTTCAACTCTGTGAGTTGAATGCAATCATCACAAAGAAGTTTCTGACAATGCTTCTCTCTCGTCTTTCTGTGAAGATAAAGGAAAAGGCTTTCAGGCCTTTGCCACCACAGGCCTGAAAGCGCTCCAAATGTCCACTTGCAGATTCTGCCAAAAGAATATTTCAAAACTGCTCTATGAAAAGCAATGTTAAACTCTGCGGCTCGAACACAAACATCACAAAGCGGTTTCTGAGAATGCTTCAGTTTAGTTTTTCTGTGGAAATATTCCCGTTTCCAAAGAAATCTTCAAAGAGGTCCACGTATCCACTTACAGATTCTACAAAAAGACAGTTTCAAAACTGCTCCATCAAAAGGAGGGTTCAACTGTGTGACTTGAATGCAATCATCACTCAGAAGTTTCTGAGAATGCTTCTCTTTAGTTTTTACGTGAACATATACCCGTTTCGAACGAAGGCCACCCAGTGGTCCAAATATCCACTTGCAGATTATACAGAAAGAGTGTTTCGAACCTGAACTCTCAAAGGCAGGTTCATCTCTGCGAGTTAAATGCATTCATCATGAAGAACTTTCTCAGAGTGTTTGTGTTTAGTTATGGGAAATTATTCCCGTTTCCAACGAAATCCTCAGAGAGCTCCAAATATCCACCTGCAGATTCTACCAAAAGTGTATTTGGAAACTGCTCCATCAAAAGGCATGTTCAGCTCTGTGAGTGAAACTCCATCATCACAAAGAATATTCTGAGAATGCTTCCGTTTGCCTTTTATATGAAGTTCCTTCCTGTACTACCGTAGGCCTCAAAGCAGTCCAAATCTCCATTTGCAGATTCTATAAAAAGAGTGATTCCAATCTGCTCTATCAATAGGATTGTTCAACTCCATGAGTTGAATGCCATCCTCACAAAGTAGTTTCTGAGAATGCTTCTATCTGGTTTTTGTGTGAAGATATTTCCTTTTCCACCACAGGCCTCAAAGCCCTCCAAACGTCCACTTGCAGATTCTCGAAAAAGAGTGTTTCATAGCTGCTCTTTCAAAAGGAAAGTTCAACTCTGGGAGTTGAATACAAACATCACAAAGTAGTTTCCGAGAATGCTTCTGTTTAGTTTTTATGTGAAGATGATCCCGTTTCCAGTGAAATCTTCAAAGAGGTCCACATATCCCCTTGCAGATTCCAAAGAAAGAGGGTTTCAAAACTGCTCCATCAGAAGGATTGTTCAACTCTGTGAGTTGAATGCAGTCATCGCAGAAAACTTTCTGAGAATGCTTCTGGCTAGGTTTGATGTGAAGATATAGACGTTTCAAACGAAGGCTACAAAGTGGTCAAAATATACACTTGCAGATTCTACTACAAGGGTGTTGCAAACCTGAACTATCAAAGGAAGGTTCAACTCTGTGAGTTGAATACAAACATCACAAAGAATGTTCTGAGTTTGCTTCCGTTCAGTTATGGGAAGTTGATCCCGTTTCCAACGAAATCCTCAGAGAGGTCCAAATATCCCCTCGCAGATTCTACAAAACGTGTGTTTGGAAACTGCTCCATCATAACGAATGTTCAGCTCCCTGAGTTAAACTCCATCGTCACAAAGAATTTTCTGAGAGTGCTACCGTCTGGTTTTTATATGAAGTTCTTTCGTTCACTACCACAGGCCTCAAAGCGGTCCAAATCTCCACTTGCAGATTCTACAAAAAGAGTGTTTGCAAACTGCTCTATCAAAAGGAATGTTCAACTCTGGGAGTTGAATGCAATCATCACAGAGCAGTTTCTGAGAATGCTTCTATGTCGTTTTTAGAAGATATTTCCTTTTCCAACACAGTCCTCCAAGCCCGCTAAATAGCCACTTGCACATTGTAGAAAAAGTGTGTCAAAGCTGCGCTATCAAAGGGAAAGTTCAACTCTGTGAGGTGAATGCAAACATCCCAAAGAAGTTTCTGAGAATGCTTCCGTTTAGCTTTTAGGTGAAGATTATCCCGTTTCCAACGAAATCTTCAAAGAGTTCCAAATATCCCCTTGCGGATCCCACAGAAAGAGTGTTTCGAAACTGCTGTTTCAAAAGGAATCTTCAACTCTGTGAGTTGAATGCAATCATCACAAAGAAGTTTCTGACAATGCTTCTCTCTCGTCTTTCTGTGAAGATAAAGGAAAAGGCTTTCAGGCCTTTTCCACCACAGGCCTGAAAGCGCTCCAAATGTCCACTTGCAGATTCTGCCAAAAGAATATTTCAAAACTGCTCTATGAAAAGCAATGTTAAACTCTGCGGCTCGAACACAAACATCACAAAGCAGTTTCTGAGAATGCTTCAGTTTAGTTTTTCTGTGGAAATATTCCCGTTTCCAAAGAAATCTTCAAAGAGGTCCACGTATCCACTTACAGATTCTACAAAAAGACAGTTTCAAAACTGCTCAATCAAAAGGAGGGTTCAACTGTGTGACTTGAATGCAATCATCACTCAGAAGTTTCTGAGAACGCTTCTCTTTAGTTTTTACGTGAACATATACCCGTTTCGAACGAAGGCCAGCCAGTGGTCCAAATATCCACTTGCAGATTCTACAGAAAGAGTGTTTCGAATCTGAACTCTCAAAGGCAGGTTCATCTCTGCGAGTTCAATGCATTCATCATGAAGAACTTTCTCAGCGTGTTTGTGTTTAGTTATGGGAAATTATTCCCGTTTCCAACGAAATCCTCAGAGAGCTCAAATATCCACCTGCAGATTCTACCAAAAGTGTATTTGGAAACTGCTCCATCAAAAGGCATGTTCAGCTATGTGAGTGAAACACCATCATCACAAAGAATATTCTGAGAATGCTTCCGTTTGCCTTTTATATGAAGCTCCTTCCTATACTACCGTAGGCCTCAAAGCAGTCCAAATCTCCTTTTGCAGATTCTACAAAAAGAGTGATTCCAATCTGCTCTATCAATAGGATTGTTCAACTCCATGAGTTGAATGCCATCCTCACAAAGTCGTTTCTGAGAATGCTTCTATCTAGTTTTTATGTGAAGATATTTCCTTTTCCACCACAGGCCTCAAAGCCCTCCAAACGTCCACTTGCAGATTCTCGAAAAAGAGTGTTTCATAGCTGCTCTTTCAAAAGGAAAGTTCAACTCTGGGAGTTGAATACAAACATCACAAAGTAGTTTCCGAGAATGCTTCTGTTTAGTTTTTATGTGAAGATGATCCCGTTTCCAGTGAAATCTTTCAAAGAGGTCCACATATCCCCTTGCAGATTCCAAAGAAAGAGGGTTTCAAAACTGCTCCATCAGAAGGATTGTTCAACTCTGTGAGTTGAATGCAGTCATCGCAGAAAACTTTCTGAGAATGCTTCTGTCTAGGTTTGATGTGAAGATATAGACGTTTCAAACGAAGGCTACAAAGTGGTCAAAATATACACTTGCAGATTCTACTACAAGGGTGTTGCAAACCTGAACTATCAAAGGAAGGTTCAACTCTGTGAGTTGAATACAAACATCACAAAGAATGTTCTGAGTTTGCTTCCGTTCAGTTATGGGAAGTTGATCCCGTTTCCAACGAAATCCTCAGAGAGGTCCAAATATCCCCTTGCAGATTCTACAAAACGTGTGTTTGGAAACTGCTCCATCATAACGAATGTTCAGCTCCCTGAGTTAAACTCCATCGTCACAAAGAATTTTCTGAGAGTGCTACCGTCTGGTTTTTATATGAAGTTCTTTCCTTCACTACCACAGGCCTCAAAGTGGTCCAAATCTCCACTTGCAGATTCTACAAAAAGAGTGTTTGCAAACTGCTCTATCAAAAGGAATGTTCAACTCTGGGAGTTGAATGCAATCATCACAGAGCAGTTTCTGAGAATGCTTCTATGTCGTTTTTAGGAGAAGATATTTCCTTTTCCAACACAGTCCTCCAAGCCCGCTAAATAGCCACTTGCACATTGTAGAAAAAGTGTGTCAAAGCTGCGCTATCAAAGGGAAAGTTCAACTCTGTGAGGTGAATGCAAACATCCCAAAGAAGTTTCTGAGAATGCTTCCGTTTAGCTTTTAGGTGAAGATTATCCCGTTTCCAACGAAACCTTCAAAGAGGTCCAAATATCCCCTTGCGGATCCCACAGAAAGAGTGTTTCGAAACTGCTGTTTCAAAAGGAATCTTCAACTCTGTGAGTTGAATGCAATCATCACAAAGAAGTTTCTGACAATGCTTCTCTCTCGTCTTTCTGTGAAGATAAAGGAAAAGGCTTTCAGGCCTTTTCCACCACAGGCCTGAAAGCGCTCCAAATGTCCACTTGCAGATTCTGTGAAAAGAATATTTCAAAACTGCTCTATGAAAAGCAATGTTAAACTCTGTGGCTCGAACACAAACATCACAAAGCAGTTTCTGAGAATGCTTCAGTTTAGTTTTTCCGTGGAAATATTCCCGTTTCCAAAGAAATCTTCAAAGAGGTCCACGTATCCACTTACAGATTCTACAAAAAGACAGTTTCAAAACTGCTCCATCAAAAGGAGGGTTCAACTATGTGACTTGAATGCAATCATCACTCAGAAGTTTCTGAGAATGCTTCTTTTTAGTTTTTATGTGAACATATACCCGTTTCGAACGAAGGCCACCCAGTGGTCCAAATATCCACTTGCAGATTCTACAGAAAGAGTGTTTCGAACCTGAACTCTCAAAGGCAGGTTCATCTCTGCGAGTTAAATGCATTCATCATGAAGAACTTTCTCAGAGTGTTTGTGTTTAGTTATGGGAAATTATTCCCGTTTCCAACGAAATCCTCAGAGAGCTCCAAATATCCACCTGCAGATTCTACCAAAAGTGTATTTGGAAACTGCTCCATCAAAAGGCATGTTCAGCTCTGTGAGTGAAACTCCATCATCACAAAGGATATTCTGAGAATGCTTCCGTTTGCCTTTTATATGAAGTTCCTTCCTATACTACCGTAGGCCTCAAAGCAGTCCAAATCTCCATTTGCAGATTCTACAAAAAGAGTGATTCCAATCTGCTCTATCAATAGGATTGTTCAACTCCATGAGTTGAATGCCATCCTCACAAAGTCGTTTCTGAGAATGCTTCTATCTGGTTTTTGTGTGAAGATATTTCCTTTTCCACCACAGGCCTCAAAGCCCTCCAAACGTCCACTTGCAGATTCTCGAAAAAGAGTGTTTCATAGCTGCTCTTTCAAAAGGAAAGTTCAACTCTGGGAGTTGAATACAAACATCACAAAGTAGTTTCCGAGAATGCTTCTGTTTAGTTTTTATGTGAAGATGATCCCGTTTCCAGTGAAATCTTCAAAGAGGTCCACATATCCCCTTGCAGATTCCAAAGAAAGAGGGTTTCAAAACTGCTCCATCAGAAGGATTGTTCAACTCTGTGAGTTGAATGCAGTCATCGCAGAAAACTTTCTGAGAATGCTTCTGGCTAGGTTTGATGTGAAGATATAGACGTTTCAAACGAAGGCTACAAAGTGGTCAAAATATACACTTGCAGATTCTACTACAAGGGTGTTGCAAACCTGAACTATCAAAGGAAGGTTCAACTCTGTGAGTTGAATACAAACATCACAAAGAATGTTCTGAGTTTGCTTCCGTTCAGTTATGGGAAGTTGATCCCGTTTCCAACGAAATCCTCAGAGAGGTCCAAATATCCCCTCGCAGATTCTACAAAACGTGTGTTTGGAAACTGCTCCATCATAACGAATGTTCAG
This sequence comes from Homo sapiens, assembly GCF_000001405.40. NCBI lineage: Eukaryota > Metazoa > Chordata > Mammalia > Primates > Hominidae > Homo > Homo sapiens. The sequence goes on along the minus strand of NC_000023.11, from coordinate 59,261,437 downwards.
CTCCCTGAGTTAAACTCCATCGTCACAAAGAATTTTCTGAGAGTGCTACCGTCTGGTTTTTATATGAAGTTCTTTCGTTCACTACCACAGGCCTCAAAGCGGTCCAAATCTCCACTTGCAGATTCTACAAAAAGAGTGTTTGCAAACTGCTCTATCAAAAGGAATGTTCAACTCTGGGAGTTGAATGCAATCATCACAGAGCAGTTTCTGAGAATGCTTCTATGTCGTTTTTAGAAGATATTTCCTTTTCCAACACAGTCCTCCAAGCCCGCTAAATAGCCACTTGCACATTGTAGAAAAAGTGTGTCAAAGCTGCGCTATCAAAGGGAAAGTTCAACTCTGTGAGGTGAATGCAAACATCCCAAAGAAGTTTCTGAGAATGCTTCCGTTTAGCTTTTAGGTGAAGATTATCCCGTTTCCAACGAAACCTTCAAAGAGGTCCAAATATCCCCTTGCGGATCCCACAGAAAGAGTGTTTCGAAACTGCTGTTTCAAAAGGAATCTTCAACTCTGTGAGTTGAATGCAATCATCACAAAGAAGTTTCTGACAATGCTTCTCTCTCGTCTTTCTGTGAAGATAAAGGAAAAGGCTTTCAGGCCTTTTCCACCACAGGCCTGAAAGCGCTCCAAATGACCACTTGCAGATTCTGCCAAAAGAATATTTCAAAACTGCTCTATGAAAAGCAATGTTAAACTCTGTGGCTCGAACACAAACATCACAAAGCAGTTTCTGAGAATGCTTCAGTTTAGTTTTTCTGTGGAAATATTCCCGTTTCCAAAGAAATCTTCAAAGAGGTCCACGCATCCACTTACAGATTCTACAAAAAGACAGTTTCAAAACTGCTCAATCAAAAGGAGGGTTCAACTGTGTGACTTGAATGCAATCATCACTCAGAAGTTTCTGAGAACGCTTCTCTTTAGTTTTTACGTGAACATATACCCGTTTCGAACGAAGGCCAGCCAGTGGTCCAAATATCCACTTGCAGATTCTACAGAAAGAGTGTTTCGAACCTGAACTCTCAAAGGCAGGTTCATCTCTGCGAGTTAAATGCATTCATCATGAAGAACTTTCTCAGCGTGTTTGTGTTTAGTTATGGGAAATTATTCCCGTTTCCAACGAAATCCTCAGAGAGCTCCAAATATCCACCTGCAGATTCTACCAAAAGTGTATTTGGAAACTGCTCCATCAAAAGGCATGTTCAGCTCTGTGAGTGAAACTCCATCATCACAAAGAATATTCTGAGAATGCTTCCATTTGCCTTTTATATGAAGTTACTTCCTATACTACCGTAGGCCTCAAAGCATTCCAAATCTCCATTTGCAGATTCTACAAAAAGAGTGATTCCAATCTGCTCTATCAATAGGACTGTTCAACTCCATGAGTTGAATGCCGTCCTCACAAAGTAGTTTCTGAGAATGCTTCTATCTAGTTTTTATGTGAAGATATTTCCTTTTCCACCACAGGCCTCAAAGCCCTCCAAACGTCCACTTGCAGATTCTCGAAAAAGAGTGTTTCATAGCTGCTCTTTCAAAAGGAAAGTTCAACTCTGGGAGCTGAATACAAACATCACAAAGTAGTTTCCGAGAATGCTTCTGTTTAGTTCTTATGTGAAGATGATCCCGTTTCCAGTGAAATCTTCAAAGAGGTCCACATATCCCCTTGCAGATTCCAAAGAAAGAGGGTTTCAAAACTGCTCCATCAAAAGGATTGTTCAACTCTGTGAGTTGAATGCAGTCATCACAGAAAACTTTCTGAGAATGCTTCTGTCTCGGTTTGATGTGAAGATATAGACGTTTCAAACGAAGGCTACAAAGTGGTCAAAATATACACTTGCAGATTCTACTACAAGGGTGATGCAAACCTGAACTATCAAAGGAAGGTTCAACTCTGTGAGTTGAATACAAACATCACAAAGAATGTTCTGAGTTTGCTTCCGTTCAGTTATGGGAAGTTGATCCCGTTTCCAACGAAATCCTCAGAGAGGTCCAAATATCCCCTTGCAGATTCTACAAAACGTGTGTTTGGAAACTGCTCCATCATAACGAATGTTCAGCTCCCTGAGTTAAACTCCATCGTCACAAAGAATTTTCTGAGAGTGCTACCGTCTAGTTTTTATATGAAGTTCTTTCCTTTACTACCACAGGCCTCAAAGCGGTCCAAATCTCCACTTGCAGATTCTACAAAAAGAGTGTTTGCAAACTGCTCTATCAAAAGGAATGTTCAACTCTGGGAGTTGAATGCAATCATCACAGAGCAGTTTCTGAGAATGCTTCTATGTCGTTTTTAGGAGAAGATATTTCCTTTTCCAACACAGTCCTCCAAGCCCGCTACATATCCACTTGCACATTGTAGAAAAAGTGTGTCGAAGCTGCGCTATCAAAGGGAAAGTTCAACTCTGTGAGGTGAATGCAAACATCCCAAAGAAGTTTCTGAGAATGCTTCCGTTTTGCTTTTAAGTGAAGATTATCCAGTTGGCAACGAAATCTTCAAAGAGGTCCAAATATCCCCTTGCGGATCCCACAGAAAGAGTGTTTCGAAACTGCTGTTTCAAAAGGAATCTTCAACTCTGTGAGTTGAATGCAATCATCACAAAGAAGTTTCTGACAATGCTTCTCTCTCGTCTTTCTGTGAAGATAAAGGAAAAGGCTTTCAGGCCTTTTCCACCACAGGCCTGAAAGCGCTCCAAATGTCCACTTGCAGATTCTGCCAAAAGAATATTTCAAAACTGCTCTATGAAAAGCAATGTTAAACTACTGTGGCTCGAACACAAACATCACAAAGCAGTTTCTGAGAATGCTTCAGTTTAGTTTTTCTGTGGAAATATTCCCGTTTCCAAAGAAATCTTCAAAGGGGGTCCACGTATCCACTTACAGATTCTACAAAAAGACAGTTTCAAAACTGCTCCATCAAAAGGAGGGTTCAACTGTGTGACTTGAATGCAATCATCACTCAGAAGTTTCTGAGAATGCTTCTCTTTAGTTTTTACGTGAACATATACCCGTTTCGAACGAAGGCCAGCCAGTGGTCCAAATATCCACTTGCAGATTCTACAGAAAGAGTGTTTCGAACCTGAACTCTCAAAGGCAGGTTCATCTCTGCGAGTTAAATGCATTCATCATGAAGAACTTTCTCAGAGTGTTTGTGTTTAGTTATGGGAAATTATTCCCGTTTCCAACGAAATCCTCAGAGAGCTCCAAATATCCACCTGCAGATTCTACCAAAAGTGTATTTGGAAACTGCTCCATCAAAAGGCATGTTCAGCTCTGTGAGTGAAACTCCATCATCACAAAGAATATTCTGAGAATGCTTCCGTTTGCCTTTTATATGAAGTTCCTTCCTATACGACCGTAGGCCCCAAAGCAGTCCAAATCTCCATTTGCAGATTCTACAAAAAGAGTGATTCCAATCTGCTCTATCAATAGGATTGTTCAACTCCATGAGTTGAATGCCATCCTCACAAAGTCGTTTCTGAGAATGCTTCTATCTAGTTTTTATGTGAAGATATTTCCTTTTCCACCACAGGCCTCAAAGCCCTCCAAACGTCCGCTTGCAGATTCTCGAAAAAGAGTGTTTCATAGCTGCTCTTTCAAAAGGAAAGTTCAACTCTGGGAGTTGAATACAAACATCACAAAGTAGTTTCCGAGAATGCTTCTGTTTAGTTCTTATGTGAAGATGATCCCGTTTCCAGTGAAATCTTCAATGAGGTCCACATATCCCCTTGCAGATTCCAAAGAAAGAGGGTTTCAACACTGCTCCATCAAAAGGATTGTTCAACTCTGTGAGTTGAATGCAGTCATCGCAGAAAACTTTCTGAGAATGCTTCTGTCTAGGTTTGATGTGAAGATATAGACGTTTCAAACGAAGGCTACAAAGTGGTCAAAATATACACTTGCAGATTCTACTACAAGGGTGTTGCAAACCTGAACTCTCAAAGGAAGGTTCAACTCTGTGAGTTGAATACAAACATCACAAAGAATGTTCTGAGTTTGCTTCCGTTCAGTTATGGGAAGTTGATCCCGTTTCCAACGAAATCCTCAGAGAGGTCCAAATATCCCCTTGCAGATTCTGCAAAACGTGTGTTTGGAAACTGCTCCATCATAACGAATGTTCAGCTCTCTGAGTTAAACTCCATCGTCACAAAGAATTTTCTGAGAGTGCTACCGTCTAGATTTTATATGAAGTTCTTTCCTTTACTACCACAGGCCTCAAAGCGGTCCAAATCTCCACTTGCAGATTCTACAAAAAGAGTGTCTGCAAACTGCTCTATCAAAAGGAATGTTCAACTCTGGGAGTTGAATGCAATCATCACAGAGCAGTTTCTGAGAATGCTTCTATGTCGTTTTTAGGAGAAGATATTTCCTTTTCCAACACAGTCCTCCAAGCCCGCTAAATAGCCACTTGCACATTGTAGAAAAAGTGTGTCGAAGCTGCGCTATCAAAGGGAAAGTTCAACTCTGTGAGGTGAATGCAAACATCCCAAAGAAGTTTCTGAGAATGCTTCCGTTTAGCTTTTAGGTGAAGATTATCCCGTTTCCAACGAAACCTTCAAAGAGGTCCAAATATCCCCTTGCGGATCCCACAGAAAGAGTGTTTCGAAACTGCTGTTTCAAAAGGAATGTTCAACTCTGTGAGTTGAATGCAATCATCACAAAGAAGTTTCTGACAATGCTTCTCTCTCGTCTTTCTGTGAAGATAAAGGAAAAGGCTTTCAGGCCTTTTCCACCACAGGCCTGAAAGCGCTCCAAATGTCCACTTGCAGATTCTGCGAAAAGAATATTTCAAAACTGCTCTATGAAAAGCAATGTTAAACTCTGTGGCTCGAACACAAACATCACAAAGCGGTTTCTGAGAATGCTTCAGTTTAGTTTTTCTGTGGAAATATTCCCGTTTCCAAAGAAATCTTCAAAGAGGTCCACGTATCCACTTACAGATTCTACAAAAAGACAGTTTCAAAACTGCTCCATCAAAAGGAGGGTTCAACTGTGTGACTTGAATGCAATCATCACTCAGAAGTTTCTGAGAATGCTTCTCTTTAGTTTTTACGTGAACATATACCCGTTTCGAACGAAGGCCACCCAGGGGTCCAAATATCCACTTGCAGATTCTACAGAAAGAGTGTTTCGAACCTGAACTCTCAAAGGCAGGTTCATCTCTGCGAGTTAAATGCATTCATGATGAAGAACTTTCTCAGAGTGTTTGTGTTTAGTTATGGGAAATTATTCCCGTTTCCAACGAAATCCTCAGAGAGCTCCAAATATCCACCTGCAGATTCTACCAAAAGTGTATTTGGAAACTGCTCCATCAAAAGGCATGTTCAGCTCTGTGAGTGAAACTCCATCATCACAAAGAATATTCTGAGAATGCTTCCGTTTGCCTTTTATATGAAGTTCCTTCCTATACGACCGTAGGCCTCAAAGCAGTCCAAATCTCCATTTGCAGATTCTACAAAAAGAGTGATTCCAATCTGCTCTATCAATAGGATTGTTCAACTCCATGAGTTGAATGCCATCCTCACAAAGTAGTTTCTGAGAATGCTTCTATCTAGTTTTTATGTGAAGATATTTCGTTTTCCACCACAGGCCTCAAAGCCCTCCAAACGTCCACTTGCAGATTCTCGAAAAAGAGTGTTTCATAGCTGCTCTTTCAAAAGGAAAGTTCAACTCTGGGAGTTGAATACAAACATCACAAAGTAGTTTCCGAGAATGCTTCTGTTTAGTTTTTATGTGAAGATGATCCCGTTTCCAGTGAAATCTTCAAAGAGGTCCACATATCCCCTTGCAGATTCCAAAGAAAGAGGGTTTCAAAACTGCTCCATCAGAAGGATTGTTCAACTCTGTGAGTTGAATGCAGTCATCGCAGAAAACTTTCTGAGAATGCTTCTGTCTAGGTTTGATGTGAAGATATAGACGTTTCAAACGAAGGCTACAAAGTGGTCAAAATATACACTTGCAGATTCTACTACAAGGGTGTTGCAAACCTGAACTATCAAAGGAAGGTTCAACTCTGTGAGTTGAATACAAACATCACAAAGAATGTTCTGAGTTTGCTTCCGTTCAGTTATGGGAAGTTGATCCCGTTTCCAACGAAATCCTCAGAGAGGTCCAAATATCCCCTTGCAGATTCTACAAAACGTGTGTTTGGAAACTGCTCCATCATAACGAATGTTCAGCTCCCTGAGTTAAACTCCATCGTCACAAAGAATTTTCTGAGAGTGCTACCGTCTGGTTTTTATATGAAGTTCTTTCCTTCACTACCACTGGCCTCAAAGCGGTCCAAATCTCCACTTGCAGATTCTACAAAAAGAGTGTTTGCAAACTGCTCTATCAAAAGGAATGTTCAACTCTGGGAGTTGAATGCAATCATCACAGAGCAGTTTCTGAGAATGCTTCTATGTCGTTTTTAGGAGAAGATATTTCCTTTTCCAACACAGTCCTCCAAGTCCGCTAAATAGCCACTTGCACATTGTAGAAAAAGTGTGTCAAAGCTGCGCTATCAAAGGGAAAGTTCAACTCTGAGAGGTGAATGCAAACATCCCAAAGAAGTTTCTGAGAGTGCTTCCGTTTAGCTTTTAGGTGAAGATTATCCCGTTTCCAACGAAACCTTCAAAGAAGTCCAAATATCCCCTTGCGGATCCCACAGAAAGAGTGTTTCGAAACTGCTGTTTCAAAAGGAATCTTCAACTCTGTGAGTTGAATGCAATCATCACAAAGAAGTTTCTGACAATGCTTCTCTCTCGTCTTTCTGTGAAGATAAATAAATGCTTTCAGGCCTTTGCCACCACAGGCCTGAAAGCGCTCCAAATGTCCACTTGCAGATTCTGCGAAAAGAATATTTCAAAACTGCTTTGTGAAAAGCAATGTTAAACTCTGTGGCTCGAACAAACACATCACAAAGCGGTTTCTGAGAATGCTTCAGTTTAGTTTTTCTGTGGAAATATTCCCGTTTCCAAAGAAATCTTCAAAGAGGTCCACGTATCCACTTACAGATTCTACAAAAAGACAGTTTCAAAACTGCTCCATCAAAAGGAGGGTTCAACTGTGTGACTTGAATGCAATCATCACTCAGAAGTTTCTGAGAATGCTTCTCTTTAGTTTTTACGTGAACATATACCCGTTTCGAACGAAGGCCACCCAGTGGTCCAAATATCCACTTGCAGATTCTACAGAAAGAGTGTTTCGAACCTGAACTCTCAAAGGCAGGTTCATCTCTGCGAGTTAAATGCATTCATCATGAAGAACTTTCTCAGAGTGTTTGTGTTTAGTTATGGGAAATTATTCCCGTTTCCAACGAAATCCTCAGAGAGCTCCAAATATCCACCTGCAGATTCTACCAAAAGTGTATTTGGAAACTGCTCCATCAAAAGGCATGTTCAGCTCTGTGAGTGAAACTCCATCATCACAAAGAATATTCTGAGAATGCTTCCGTTTGCCTTTTATATGAAGTTCCTTCCTGTACTACCGTAGGCCTCAAAGCAGTCCAAATCTCCATTTGCAGATTCTACAAAAAGAGTGATTCCAATCTGCTCTATCAATAGGATTGTTCAACTCCATTAGTTGAATGCCATCCTCACAAAGTAGTTTCTGAGAATGCTTCTATCTGGTTTTTGTGTGAAGATATTTCCTTTTCCACCACAGGCCTCAAAGCCCTCCAAACGTCCACTTGCAGATTCTCGAAAAAGAGTGTTTCATAGCTGCTCTTTCAAAAGGAAAGTTCAACTCTGGGAGTTGAATACAAACATCACAAAGTAGTTTCCGAGAATGCTTCAGTTTAGTTTTTATGTGAAGATGATCCCGTTTCCAGTGAAATCTTCAAAGAGGTCCACATATCCCCTTGAAGATTCCAAAGAAAGAGGGTTTCAAAACTGCTCCATCAGAAGGATTGTTCAACTCTGTGAGTTGAATGCAGTCATCGCAGAAAACTTTCTGAGAATGCTTCTGTCTAGGTTTGATGTGAAGATATAGATGTTTCAAACGAAGGCTACAAAGTGGTCAAAATATACACTTGCAGATTCTACTACAAGGGTGTTGCAAACCTGAACTATCAAAGGAAGGTTCAACTCTGTGAGTTGAATACAAACATCACAAAGAATGTTCTGAGTTTGCTTCCGTTCAGTTATGGGAAGTTGATCCCGTTTCCAACGAAATCCTCAGAGAGGTCCAAATATCCCCTTGCAGATTCTACAAAACGTGTGTTTGGAAACTGCTCCATCATAACGAATGTTCAGCTCCCTGAGTTAAACTCCATCGTCACAAAGAATTTTCTGAGAGTGCTACCGTCTGGTTTTTATATGAAGTTCTTTCCTTCACTACCACAGGCCTCAAAGCGGTCCAAATCTCCACTTGCAGATTCTACAAAAAGAGTGTTTGCAAACTGCTCTATCAAAAGGAATGTTCAACTCTGGGAGTTGAATGCAATCATCACAGAGCAGTTTCTGAGAATGCTTCTATGTCGTTTTTAGGAGAAGATATTTCCTTTTCCAACACAGTCCTCCAAGCCCGCTAAATAGCCACTTGCACATTGTAGAAAAAGTGTGTCAAAGCTGCGCTATCAAAGGGAAAGTTCAACTCTGTGAGGTGAATGCAAACATCCCAAAGAAGTTTCTGAGAATGCTTCCGTTTAGCTTTTAGGTGAAGATTATCCCGTTTCCAACGAAACCTTCAAAGAGGTCCAAATATCCCCTTGCGGATCCCACAGAAAGAGTGTTTCGAAACTGCTGTTTCAAAAGGAATCTTCAACTCTGTGAGTTGAATGCAATCATCACAAAGAAGTTTCTGACAATGCTTCTCTCTCGTCTTTCTGTGAAGATAAAGGAAAAGGCTTTCAGGCCTTTGCCACCACAGGCCTGAAAGCGCTCCAAATGTCCACTTGCAGATTCTGCCAAAAGAATATTTCAAAACTGCTCTATGAAAAGCAATGTTAAACTCTGTGGCTGGAACACAAACATCACAAAGCGGTTTCTGAGAATGTTTCAGTTTAGTTTTTCTGTGGAAATATTCCCGTTTCCAAAGAAATCTTCAAAGAGGTCCACGTATCCACTTACAGATTCTACAAAAAGACAGTTTCAAAACTGCTCCATCAAAAGGAGGGTTCAACTGTGTGACTTGAATGCAATCATCACTCAGAAGTTTCTGAGAATGCTTCTCTTTAGTTTTTACGTGAACATATACCCGTTTCGAACGAAGGCCAGCCAGTGGTCCAAATATCCACTTGCAGATTCTACAGAAAGAGTGTTTCGAACCTGAACTCTCAAAGGCAGGTTCATCTCTGCGAGTTAAATGCATTCATCATGAAGAACTTTCTCAGAGTGTTTGTGTTTAGTTATGGGAAATTATTCCCGTTTCCAACGAAATCCTCAGAGAGCTCCAAATATCCACCTGCAGATTCTACCAAAAGTGTATTTGGAAACTGCTCCATCAAAAGGCATGTTCAGCTCTGTGAGTGAAACTCCATCATCACAAAGAATATTCTGAGAATGCTTCCGTTTGCCTTTTATATGAAGTTCCTTCCTGTACTACCATAGGCCTCAAAGCAGTCCAAATCTCCATTTGCAGATTCTATAAAAAGAGTGATTCCAATCTGCTCTATCAATAGGATTGTTCAACTCCATGAGTTGAATGCCATCCTCACAAAGTAGTTTCTGAGAATGCTTCTATCTGGTTTTTGTGTGAAGATATTTCCTTTTCCACCACAGGCCTCAAAGCCCTCCAAACGTCCACTTGCAGATTCTCGAAAAAGAGTGTTTCATAGCTGCTCTTTCAAAAGGAAAGTTCAACTCTGGGAGTTGAATACAAACATCACAAAATAGTTTCCGAGAATGCTTCTGTTTAGTTTTTATGTGAAGATGATCCCGTTTCCAGTGAAATCTTCAAAGAGGTCCACATATCCCCTTGCAGATTCCAAAGAAAGAGGGTTTCAAAACTGCTCCATCAAAAGGATTGTTCAACTCTGTGAGTTGAATGCAGTCATCGCAGAAAACTTTCTGAGAATGCTTCTGTCTAGGTTTGATGTGAAGATATAGACGTTTCAAACGAAGGCTACAAAGTGGTCAAAATATACACTTGCAGATTCTACTACAAGGGTGTTGCAAACCTGAACTATCAAAGGAAGGTTCAACTCTGTGAGTTGAATACAAACATCACAAAGAATGTTCTGAGTTGGCTTCCGTTCAGTTATGGGCAGTTGATCCCGTTTCCAGCGAAATCCTCAGAGAGGTCCATATATCCCCTTGCAGATTCTACAAAACGTGTGTTTGGAAACTGTTCCATCATAACGAATGTTCAGCTCCCTGAGTTAAACTCCATCGTCACAAAGAATTTTCTGAGAGTGCTACCGTCTGGTTTTTATATGAAGTTCTTTCCTTTACTACCATAGGCCTCAAAGCGGTCCAAATCTCCACTTGCAGATTCTACAAAAAGAGTGTTTGCAAACTGCTCTATCAAAAGGAATGTTCAACTCTGGGAGTTGAATGCAATCATCACAGAGCAGTTTCTGAGAATGCTTCTATGTCGTTTTTAGGAGAAGATATTTCCTTTTCCAACACAGTCCTCCAAGCCCGCTAAATAGCCACTTGCACATTGTAGAAAAAGTGTGTCAAAGCTGCGCTATCAAAGGGAAAGTTCAACTCTGAGAGGTGAATGCAAACATCCCAAAGAAGTTTCTGAGAATGCTTCCGTTTAGCTTTTAGGTGAAGATTATCCCGTTTCCAACGAAACCTTCAAAGAGGTCCAAATATCCCCTTGCGGATCCCACAGAAAGAGTGTTTCGAAACTGCTGTTTCAAAAGGAATCTTCAACTCTGTGAGTTGAATGCAATCATCACAAAGAAGTTTCTGACAATGCTTCTCTCTCGTCTTCCTGTGAAGATAAAGGAAAAGGCTTTCAGGCCTTTTCCACCACAGGCCTGAAAGCGCTCCAAATGTCCACTTGCAGATTCTGCCAAAAGAATATTTCAAAACTGCTCTATGAAAAGCAATGTTAAACTCTGTGGCTCGAACACAAACATCACAAAGCAGTTTCTGAGAATGCTTCAGTTTAGTTTTTCTGTGGAAATATTCCCGTTTCCAAAGAAATCTTCAAAGAGGTCCACGTATCCACTTACAGATTCTACAAAAAGACAGTTTCAAAACTGCTCCATCAAAAGGAGGGTTCAACTGTGTGACTTGAATGCAATCATCACTCAGAAGTTTCTGAGAATGCTTCTCTTTAGTTTTTACGTGAACATATACCCGTTTCGAACGAAGGCCACCCAGTGGTCCAAATATCCACTTGCAGATTCTACAGAAAGAGTGTTTCGAACCTGAACTCTCAAAGGCAGGTTCATCTCTGCGAGTTAAATGCATTCATCATGAAGAACTTTCTCAGAGTGTTTGTGTTTAGTTATGGGAAATTATTCCCGTTTCCAACGAAATCCTCAGAGAGCTGCAAATATCCACCTGCAGATTCTACCAAAAGTGTATTTGGAAACTGCTCCATCAAAAGGCATGTTCAGCTCTGTGAGTGAAACTCCATCATCACAACGAATATTCTGAGAATGCTTCCGTTTACCTTTTATATGAAGTTCCTTCCTATACGACCGTAGGCCTCAAAGCAGTCCAAATCTCCATTTGCAGATTCTACAAAAAGAGTGATTCCAATCTGCTCTATCAATAGGATTGTTCAACTCCATGAGTTGAATGCCATCCTCACAAAGTAGTTTCTGAGAATGCTTCTATCTAGTTTTTATGTGAAGATATTTCCTTTTCCACCACAGGCCTCAAAGCCCTCCAAACGTCCACTTGCAGATTCTCGAAAAAGAGTGTTTCATAGCTGCTCTTTCAAAAGGAAAGTTCAACTCTGGGAGTTGAATACAAACATCACAAAGTAGTTTCCGAGAATGCTTCTGTTTAGTTTTTATGTGAAGATGATCCCGTTTCCAGTGAAATCTTCAAAGAGGTCCACATATCCCCTTGCAGATTCCAAAGAAAGAGGGTTTCAAAACTGCTCCATCAAAAGGATTGTTCAACTCTGTGAGTTGAATGCAGTCATCGCAGAAAACTTTCTGAGAATGCTTCTGTCTAGGTTTGATGTGAAGATATAGACGTTTCAAACGAAGGCTACAAAGTGGTCAAAATATACACTTGCAGATACTACTACAAGGGTGTTGCAAACCTGAACTATCAAAGGAAGGTTCAACTCTGTGAGTTGAATACAAACATCACAAAGAATGTTCTGAGTTTGCTTCCGTTCAGTTATGGGAAGTTGATCCCGTTTCCAACGAAATCCTCAGAGAGGTCCAAATATCCCCTTGCAGATTCTACAAAACGTGTGTTTGGAAACTGCTCCATCATAACGAATGTTCAGCTCCCTGAGTTAAACTCCATCGTCACAAAGAATTTTCTGAGAGTGCTACCGTCTGGTTTTTATATGAAGTTCTTTCCTTCACTACCACAGGCCTCAAAGCGGTCCAAATCTCCACTTGCAGATTCTACAAAAAGAGTGTTTGCAAACTGCTCTATCAAAAGGAATGTTCAACTCTGGGAGTTGAATGCAATCATCACAGAGCAGTTTCTGAGAATGCTTCTATGTCGTTTTTAGGAGAAGATATATCCTTTTCCAACACAGTCCTCCAAGCCCGCTATGTATCCACTTGCACATTGTAGAAAAAGTGTGTCGAAGCTGTGCTATCAAAGGGAAAGTTCAACTCTGTGAGGTGAATGCAAACATCCCAAAGAAGTTTCTGAGAATGCTTCCGTTTAGCTTTAAGTGAAGATTATTCCGTTTCCAACGAAATCTTCAAAGAGGTCCAAATATCCCCTTGCGGATCCCACAGAAAGAGTGTTTCGAAACTGCTGTTTCAAAAGGAATCTTCAACTCTGTGAGTTGAATGCAATCATCACAAAGAAGTTTCTGACAATGCTTCTCTCTCGTCTTTCTGTGAAGATAAAGGAAAAGGCTTTCAGGCCATTTCCACCACAGGCCTGAAAGCGCTCCAAATGTCCACTTGCAGATTCTGCCAAAAGAATATTTCAAAACTGCTCTATGAAAAGCAATGTTAAACTCTGCGGCTCGAACACAAACATCACAAAGCAGTTTCTGAGAATGCTTCAGTTTAGTTTTTCTGTGGAAATATTCCCGTTTCCAAAGAAATCTTCAAAGAGGTCCACGCATCCACTTACAGATTCTACAAAAAGACAGTTTAAAAACTGCTCAATCAAAAGGAGGGTTCAACTGTGTGACTTGAATGCATTCATCACTCAGAAGTTTCTGAGAACGCTTCTCTTTAGTTTTTACGTGAACATATACCCGTTTCGAATGAAGGCCAGCCAGTGGTCCAAATATCCACTTGCAGATTCTACAGAAAGAGTGTTTTGAACCTGAACTCTCAAAGGCAGGTTCATCTCTGCGAGTTAAATGCATTCATCATGAAGAACTTTCTCAGCGTGTTTGTGTTTAGTTATGGGAAATTATTCCCGTTTCCAACGAAATCCTCAGAGAGCTCCAAATATCCACCTGCAGATTGTACCAAAAGTGTATTTGGAAACTGCTCCATGAAAAGGCATGTTCAGCTCTGTGAGTGAAACTCCGTCATCACAAAGAATATTCTGAGAATGCTTCCGTTTGCCTTTTATATGAAGTTCCTTCCTATACTACCGTAGGCCTCAAAGCAGTCCAAATCTCCATTTGCAGATTCTACAAAAAGAGTGATTCCAATCTGCTCTATCAATAGGATTGTTCAACTCCATGAGTTGAATGCCATCCTCACAAAGTAGTTTCTGAGAATGCTTCTATGTAGTTTTTATGTGAAGATATTTCCTTTTCCACCACAGGCCTCAAAGCCCTCCAAACGTCCACTTGCAGATTCTCGAAAAAGAGTGTTTCATAGCTGCTCTTTCAAAAGGAAAGTTCAACTCTGGGAGTTGAATACAAACATCACAAAGTAGTTTCCGAGAATGCTTCTGTTTAGTTCTTATGTGAAGATGATCCCGTTTCCAGTGAAATCTTCAAAGAGGTCCACATATCCCCTTGCAGATTCCAAAGAAAGAGGGTTTCAAAACTGCTCCATCAAAAGGATTGTTCAACTCTGTGAGTTGAATGCAGTCATCGCAGAAAACTTTCTGAGAATGCTTCTGTTTAGGTTTGATGTGAAGATATAGACGTTTCAAACGAAGGCTACAAAGTGGTCAAAATATACACTTGCAGATTCTACTACAAGGGTGATGCAAACCTCAACTATCAAAGGAAGGTTCAACTCTGTGAGTTGAATACAAACATCACAAAGAATGTTCTGAGTTTGCTTCCGTTCAGTTATGGGAAGTTGATCCCGTTTCCAACGAAATCCTCAGAGAGGTCCAAATATCCCCTTGCAGATTCTACAAAACGTGTGTTTGGAAACTGCTCCATCATAACGAATGTTCAGCTCTCTGAGTTAAACTCCATCGTCACAAAGAATTTTCTGAGAGTGCTACCGTCTAGTTTTTATATGAAGTTCTTTCCTTTACTACCACAGGCCTCAAAGCGGTCCAAATCTCCACTTGCAGATTCTACAAAAAGAGTGTTTGCAAACTGCTCTATCAAAAGGAATGTTCAACTCTGGGAGTTGAATGCAATCATCACAGAGCAGTTTCTGAGAATGCTTCTATGTCGTTTTTAGGAGAAGATATTTCCTTTTCCAACACAGTGCTCCAAGCCCGCTAAATATCCACTTGCACATTGTAGAAAAAGTGTGTCGAAGCTGCGCTATCAAAGGGAAAGTTCAACTCTGTGAGGTGAATGCAAACATCCCAAAGAAGTTTCTGAGAATGCTTCCGTTTAGCTTTTAGGTGAAGATTATCCCGTTTCCAACGAAACCTTCAAAGAGGTCCAAATATCCCCTTGCGGATCCCACAGAAAGAGTGTTTCGAAACTGCTGTTTCAAAAGGAATCTTCAACTCTGTGAGTTGAAAGCAATCATCACAAAGAAGTTTCTGACAATGCTTCTCTCTCGTCTTTCTGCGAAGATAAAGGAAAAGGCTTTCAGGCCTTTTCCACCACAGGCCTGAAAGCGCTCCAAATGTCCACTTGCAGATTCTGCCAAAAGAATATTTCAAAACTGCTCTATGAAAAGCAATGTTAAACTCTGTGGCTCGAACACAAACATCAGAAAGCAGTTTCTGAGAATGCTTCAGTTTAGTTTTTCTGTGGAAATATTCCCGTTTCCAAAGAAATCTTCAAAGAGGTCCACGCATCCACTTACAGATTCTACAAAAAGACAGTTTCAAAACTGCTCAATCAAAAGGAGGGTTCAACTGTGTGACTTGAATGCAATCATCACTCAGAAGTTTCTGAGAACGCTTCTCTTTAGTTTTTACGTGAACGTATACCCGTTTCGAACGAAGTCCAGCCAGTGGTACAAATATCCACTTACAGATTCTACAGAAAGAGTGTTTCGAACCTGAACTCTCAAAGGCAGGTTCATCTCTGCGAGTTAAATGCATTCATCATGAAGAACTTTCTCAGCGTGTTTGTGTTTAGTTATGGGAAATTATTCCCGTTTCCAACGAAATCCTCAGAGAGCTCCAAATATCCACCTGCAGATTCTACCAAAAGTGTATTTGGAAACTGCTCCATCAAAAGGCATGTTCAGCTCTGTGAGTGAAACTCCATCATCACAAAGAATATTCTGAGAATGCTTCCGTTTGCCTTTTATATGAAGTTCCTTCCTATACTACCGTAGGCCTCAAAGCAGTCCAAATCTCCATTTGCAGATTCTACAAAAAGAGTGATTCCAATCTGCTCTATCAATAGGACTGTTCAACTCCATGAGTTGAATGCCATCCTCACAAAGTCGTTTCTGAGAATGCTTCTATCTAGTTTTTATGTGAAGATATTTCCTTTTCCACCACAGGCCTCAAAGCCCTCCAAACGTCCACTTGCAGATTCTCGAAAAAGAGTGTTTCATAGCTGCTCTTTCAAAAGGAAAGTTCAACTCTGGGAGTTGAATACAAACATCACAAAGTAGTTTCCGAGAATGCTTCTGTTTAGTTCTTATGTGAAGATGATCCCGTTTCCAGTGAAATCTTCAAAGAGGTCCACATATCCCCTTGCAGATTCCAAAGAAAGAGGGTTTCAAAACTGCTCCATCAAAAGGATTGTTCAACTCTGTGAGTTGAATGCAGTCATCGCAGAAAACTTTCTGAGAATGCTTCTGTCTAGGTTTGATGTGAAGTTATAGACGTTTAAAACGAAGGCTACAAAGTGGTCAAAACATACACTTACAGATTCTACTACAAGGGTGTTGCAAACCTGAACTATCAAAGGAAGGTTCAACTCTGTGGGTTGAATACAAACATCGCAAAGAATGTTCTGAGTTTGCTTCCGTTCAGTTATGGGAAGTTGATCCCGTTTACAACGAAATCCTCAGAGAGGTCCAAATATCCCCTTGCAGATTCTTCAAAACGTGTGTTTGGAAACTGCTCCATCATAACGAATGTTCAGCTCCCTGAGTTAAACTCCATCGTCACAAAGAATTTTCTGAGAGTGCTACCGTCTAGTTTTTATATGAAGTTCTTTCCTTTACTACCACAGGCCTCAAAGCGGTCCAAATCTCCACTTGCAGATTCTACAAAAAGAGTGTCTGCAAACTGCTCTATCAAAAGGAATGTTCAACTCTGGGAATTGAATGCAATCATCACAGAGCAGTTTCTGAGAATGCTTCTATGTCGTTTTTAGGAGAAGATATTTCCTTTTCCAACACAGTCTTCCAAGCCCGCTTAATAGCCACTTGCACATTGTAGAAAAAGTGTGTCGAAGCTGCGCTATCAAAGGGAAAGTTCAACTCTGTGAGGTGAATGCAAACATCCCAAAGAAGTTTCTGAGAATGCTTCCGTTTAGCTTTTAGGTGAAGATTATCCCGTTTCCAACGAAACCTTCAAAGAGGTCCAAATATCCCCTTGCGGATCCCACAGAAAGAGTGTTTAGAAACTGCTGTTTCAAAAGGAATCTTCAACTCTGTGAGTTGAATGCAATCATCACAAAGAAGTTTCTGACAATGCTTCTCTCTCGTCTTTCTGTGAACATAAAGGAAAAGGCGTTCAGGCCTTTGCCACCACAGGCCTGAAAGCGCTCCAAATGTCCACTTGCAGATTCTGCCAAAAGAATATTTCAAAACTGCTCTATGAAAAGCAATGTTAAACTCTGTGGCTCGAACACAAACATCACAAAGCGGTTTCTGAGAATGCTTCAGTTTAGTTTTTCTGTGGAAATATTCCCGTTTCCAAAGAAATCTTCAAAGAGGTCCACGTATCCACTTACAGATTCTACAAAAAGACAGTTTCAAAACTGCTCCATCAAAAGGAGGGTTCAACTGTGTGACTTGAATGCAATCATCACTCAGAAGTTTCTGAGAATGCTTCTCTTTAGTTTTTAGGTGAACATATACCCGTTTCGAACGAAGGCCACCCAGTGGTCCAAATATCCACTTGCAGATTCTACAGAAAGAGTGTTTCGAACCTGAACTCTCAAAGGCAGGTTCATCTCTGCGAGTTAAATGCATTCATCATGAAGAACTTTCTCAGAGTGTTTGTGTTTAGTTATGGGAAATTATTCCCGTTTCCAACGAAATCCTCAGAGAGCTCCAAATATCCACCTGCAGATTCTACCAAAAGTGTATTTGGAAACTGCTCCATCAAAAGGCATGTTCAGCTCTGTGAGTGAAACTCCATCATCACAAAGAATATTCTGAGAATGCTTCCGTTTGCCTTTTATATGAAGTTCCTTCCTGTACTACCGTAGGCCTCAAAGCAGTCCAAATCTCCATTTGCAGATTCTATAAAAAGAGTGATTCCAATCTGCTCTATCAATAGGATTGTTCAACTCCATGAGTTGAATGCCATCCTCACAAAGTAGTTTCTGAGAATGCTTCTATCTGGTTTTTGTGTGAAGATATTTCCTTTTCCACCACAGGCCTCAAAGCCCTCCAAACGTCCACTTGCAGATTCTCGAAAAGGAGTGTTTCATAGCTGCTCTTTCAAAAGGAAAGTTCAACTCTGGGAGTTGAATACAAACATCACAAAATAGTTTCCGAGAATGCTTCTGTTTAGTTTTTATGTGAAGATGATCCCGTTTCCAGTGAAATCTTCAAAGAGGTCCACATATCCCCTTGCAGATTCCAAAGAAAGAGGGTTTCAAAACTGCTCCATCAGAGGATTGTTCAACTCTGTGAGTTGAATGCAGTCATCGTAGAAAACTTTCTGAGAATGCTTCTGTCTAGGTTTGATGTGAAGATATAGACGTTTCAAACGAAGGCTACAAAGTGGTCAAAATATACACTTGCAGATTCTACTACAAGGGTGTTGCAAACCTGAACTATCAAAGGAAGGTTCAACTCTGTGAGTTGAATACAAACATCACAAAGAATGTTCTGAGTTTGCTTCCGTTCAGTTATGGGAAGTTGATCCCGTTTCCAACGAAATCCTCAGAGAGGTCCAAATATCCCCTCGCAGATTCTACAAAACGTGTGTTTGGAAACTGCTCCATCATAACGAATGTTCAGCTCCCTGAGTTAAACTCCATCGTCACAAAGAATTTTCTGAGAGTGCTACCGTCTGGTTTTTATATGAAGTTCTTTCCTTCACTACCACAGGCCTCAAAGCGGTCCAAATCTCCACTTGCAGATTCTACAAAAAGAGTGTTTGCAAACTGCTCTATCAAAAGGAATGTTCAACTCTGGGAGTTGAATGCAATCATCACAGAGCAGTTTCTGAGAATGCTTCTATGTCGTTTTTAGGAGAAGATATTTCCTTTTCCAACACAGTCCTCCAAGCCCGCTAAATAGCCACTTGCACATTGTAGAAAAAGTGTGTCAAAGCTGCGCTATCAAAGGGAAAGTTCAACTCTGTGAGGTGAATGCAAACATCCCAAAGAAGTTTCTGAGAATGCTTCCGTTTAGCTTTTAGGTGAAGATTATCCCGTTTCCAACGAAACCTTCAAAGAGGTCCAAATATCCCCTTGCGGATCCCACAGAAAGAGTGTTTCGAAACTGCTGTTTCAAAAGGAATCTTCAACTCTGTGAGTTGAATGCAATCATCACAAAGAAGTTTCTGACAATGCTTTCTCTCTCGTCTTTCTGTGAAGATAAAGGAAAAGGCTTTCAGGCCTTTTCCACCACAGGCCTGAAAGCGCTCCAAATGTCCACTTGCAGATTCTGCGAAAAGAATATTTCAAAACTACTCTATGAAAAGCAATGTTAAACTCTGTGGCTGGAACACAAACATCACAAAGCGGTTTCTGAGAATGCTTCAGTTTAGTTTTTCTGTGGAAATATTCCCGTTTCCAAAGAAATCTTCAAAGAGGTCCACGTATCCACTTACAGATTCTACAAAAAGACAGTTTCAAAACTGCTCCATCAAAAGGAGGGTTCAACCGTGTGACTTGAATGCAATCATCACTCAGAAGTTTCTGAGAATGCTTCTCTTTAGTTTTTACGTGAACATATACCCGTTTCGAACGAAGGCCACCCAGTGGTCCAAATATCCACTTGCAGATTATACAGAAAGAGTGTTTCGAACCTGAACTCTCAAAGGCAGGTTCATCTCTGCAAGTTAAATGCATTCATCATGAAGAACTTTCTCAGAGTGTTTGTGTTTAGTTATGGGAAATTATTCCCGTTTCCAACGAAATCCTCAGAGAGCTCCAAATATCCACCTGCTGATTCTACCAAAAGTGTATTTGGAAACTGCTCCATCAAAAGGCATGTTCAGCTCTGTGAGTGAAACTCCATCATCACAAAGAATATTCTGAGAATGCTTCCGTTTGCCTTTTATATGAAGTTCCTTCCTATACGACCGTAGGCCTCAAAGCAGTCCAAATCTCCATTTGCAGATTCCACAAAAAGAGTGATTCCAATCTGCTCTATCAATAGGATTGTTCAACTCCATGAGTTGAATGCCATCCTCACAAAGTAGTTTCTGAGAATGCTTCTATCTAGTTTTATGTGAAGATATTTCCTTTTCCACCACAGGCCTCAAAGCCCTCCAAACGTCCACTTGCAGATTCTCGAAAAAGAGTGTTTCATAGCTGCTCTTTCAAAAGGAAAGTTCAACTCTGGGAGTTGAATACAAACATCACAAAGTAGTTTCCGAGAATGCTTCTGTTTAGTTCTTATGTGAAGATGATCCCGTTTCCAGTGAAATCTTCAAAGAGGTCCACATATCCCCTTGCAGATTCCAAAGAAAGAGGGTTTCAAAACTGCTCCATCAAAAGGATTGTTCAACTCTGTGAGTTGAATGCAGTCATCGCAGAAAACTTTCTGAGAATGCTTCTGTCTAGGTTTGATGTGAAGATATAGACGTTTCAAACGAAGGCTACAAAGTGGTCAAAATATACACTTGCAGATTCTACTACAAGGGTGTTGCAAACCTGAACTATCAAAGGAAGGTTCAACTCTGTGAGTTGAATACAAACATCACAAAGAATGTTCTGAGTTTGCTTCCGTTCAGTTATGGGAAGTTGATCCCCTTCCCAACGAAATCCTCAGAGAGGTCCAAATATCCCCTTGCAGATTCTACAAAACGTGTGTTTGGAAACTGCTCCATCATAACGAATGTTCAGCTCTCTGAGTTAAACTCCATCGTCACAAAGAATTTTCTGAGAGTGCTACCGTCTAGTTTTTATATGAAGTTCTTTCCTTTACTACCACAGGCCTCAAAGCGGTCCAAATCTCCACTTGCAGATTCTACAAAAAGAGTGTCTGCAAACTGCTCTATCAAAAGGAATGTTCAACTCTGGGAGTTGAATGCAATCATCACAGAGCAGTTTCTGAGAAGGCTTCTATGTCGTTTTTAGGAGAAGATATTTCCTTTTCCAACACAGTCCTCCAAGCCCGCTAAATAGCCACTTGCACATTGTAGAAAAAGTGTGTCGAAGCTGCGCTATCAAAGGGAAAGTTCAACTCTGTGAGGTGAATGCAAACATCCCAAAGAAGTTTCTGAGAATGCTTCCGTTTAGCTTTTAGGTGAAGATTATCCCGTTTCCAACGAAAGCTTCAAAGAGGTCCAAATATCCCCTTGCGGATCCCACAGAAAGAGTGTTTCGAAACTGCTGTTTCAAAAGGAATCTTCAACTCTGTGAGTTGAATGCAATCATCACAAAGAAGTTTCTGACAATGCTTCTCTCTCGTCTTTCTGTGAAGATAAAGGAAATGGCTTTCAGGTCTTTTCCACCACAGGCCTGAAAGCGCTCCAAATGTCCACTTGCAGATTCTGCCAAAAGAATATTTCAAAACTGCTCTATGAAAAGCAATGTTAAACTCTGCGGCTCGAACACAAACATCACAAAACAGTTTCTGAGAATGCTTCAGTTTAGTTTTTCTGTGGAAATATTCCCGTTTCCAAAGAAATCTTCAAAGAGGTCCACGTATCCACTTACAGATTCTACAAAAAGACAGTTTCAAAACTGCTCAATCAAAAGGAGGGTTCAACTGTGTGACTTGAATGCAATCATCACTCAGAAGTTTCTGAGAATGCTTCTCTTTAGTTTTTACGTGAACATATACCCGTTTCGAACGAAGGCCACCCAGTGGTCCAAATATCCACTTGCAGATTCTACAGAAAGAGTGTTTCGAACCTGAACTCTCAAAGGCAGGTTCATCTCTGCGAGTTAAATGCATTCGTCATGAAGAACTTTCTCAGCGTGTTTGTGTTTAGTTATGGGAAATTATTCCCTTTCCCAAAGAAATCCTCAGAGAGGTCCAAATGTCCACCTGCAGATTCTACCAAAAGTGTATTTGGAAACTGCTCCATCAACAGGCATGTTCAGCTCTGTGAGTGAAACTCCATCATCACAAAGAATATTCTGAGAATGCTTCCGTTTGCCTTTTATATGAAGTTCCTTCCTATACGACCGTAGGCCTCAAAGCAGTGCAAATCTCCATTTGCAGATTCTACAAAAAGAGTGATTCCAATCTGCTCTATCAATAGGATTGTTCAACTCCATGAGTTGAATGCCATCCTCACAAAGTCGTTTCTGAGAATGCTTCTATCTAGTTTTTATGTGAAGATATTTCCATTTCCACCACAGGCCTCAAAGCCCTCCAAACGTCCACTTGCAGATTCTCGAAAAAGAGTGTTTCATAGCTGCTCTTTCAAAAGGAAAGTTCAACTCTGGGAGTTGAATACAAACATCACAAAGTAGTTTCCGAGAATGCTTCTGTTTAGTTTTTATGTGAAGATGATCCCGTTTCCAGTGAAATCTTCAAAGAGGTCCACATATCCCCTTGCAGATTCCAAAGAAAGAGGGTTTCAAAACTGCTCCATCAGAAGGATTGTTCAACTCTGTGAGTTGAATGCAGTCATCGCAGAAAACTTTCTGAGAATGCTTCTGTCTAGGTTTGATGTGAAGATATAGACGTTTCAAATGAAGGCTACAAAGTGGTCAAAATATACACTTGCAGATTCTACTACAAGGGTGTTGCAAACCTGAACTATCAAAGGAAGGTTCAACTCTGTGAGTTGAATACAAACATCACAAAGAATGTTCTGAGTTTGCTTCCGTTCAGTTATGGGAAGTTGATCCCGTTTCCAACGAAATCCTCAGAGAGGTCCAAATATCCCCTTGCAGATTCTACAAAACGTGTGTTTGGAAACTGCTCCATCATAACGAATGTTCAGCTCCCTGAGTTAAACTCCATCGTCACAAAGAATTTTCTGAGAGTGCTACCGTCTGGTTTTTATATGAAGTTCTTTCCTTCACTACCACTGGCCTCAAAGCGGTCCAAATCTCCACTTGCAGATTGTACAAAAAGAGTGTTTGCAAACTGCTCTATCAAAAGGAATGTTCAACTCTGGGAGTTGAATGCAATCATCACAGAGCAGTTTCTGAGAATGCTTCTATGTCGTTTTTAGGAGAAGATATTTCCTTTTCCAACACAGTCCTCCAAGCCCGCTAAATAGCCACTTGCACATTGTAGAAAAAGTGTGTCAAAGCTGCGCTATCAAAGGGAAAGTTCAACTCTGTGAGGTGAATGCAAACATCCCAAAGAAGTTTCTGAGAATGCTTCCGTTTAGCTTTTAGGTGAAGATTATCCCGTTTCCAACGAAACCTTCAAAGAGGTCCAAATATCCCCTTGCGGATCCCACAGAAAGAGTGTTTCGAAACTGCTGTTTCAAAAGGAATCTTCAACTCTGTGAGTTGCATGCAATCATCACAAAGAAGTTTCTGACAATGCTTCTCTCTCGTCTTTCTGTGAAGATAAAGGAAAAGGCTTTCAGGCCTTTTCCACCACAGGCCTGAAAGCGCTCCAAATGTCCACTTGCAGATTCTGCCAAAAGAATATTTCAAAACTGCTCTATGAAAAGCAATGTTAAACTCTGTGGCTCGAACACAAACATCACAAAGCAGTTTCTGAGAATGCTTCAGTTTAGTTTTTCTGTGGAAATATTCCCGTTTCCAAAGAAATCTTCAAAGAGGTCCACGTATCCACTTACAGATTCTACAAAAAGACAGTTTCAAAACTGCTCCATCAAAAGGAGGGTTCAACTGTGTGACTTGAATGCAATCATCACTCAGAAGTTTCTGAGAATGCTTCTCTTTAGTTTTTACGTGAACATATACCCGTTTCGAACGAAGGCCACCCAGTGGTCCAAATATCCACTTGCAGATTCTACAGAAAGAGTGTTTCGAACCTGAACTCTCAAAGGCAGGTTCATCTCTGTGAGTTAAATGCATTCATCATGAAGAACTTTCTCAGAGTGTTTGTGTTTAGTTATGGGAAATTATTCCCGTTTCCAACGAAATCCTCAGAGAGCTCCAAATATCCACCTGCAGATTCTACCAAAAGTGTATTTGGAAACTGCTCCATCAAAAGGCATGTTCAGCTCTGTGAGTGAAACTCCATCATCACAAAGAATATTCTGAGAATGCTTCCGTTTGCCTTTTATATGAAGTTCCTTCCTGTACTACTGTAGGCCTCAAAGCAGTCCAAATCTCCATTTGCAGATTCTACAAAAAGAGTGATTCCAATCTGCTCTATCAATAGGATTGTTCAACTCCATGAGTTGAATGCCATCCTCACAAAGTAGTTTCTGAGAATGCTTCTATCTAGTTTTTATGTGAAGATATTTCCTTTTCCACCACAGGCCTCAAAGCCCTCCAAACGTCCACTTGCAGATTCTCGAAAAAGAGTGTTTCATAGCTGCTCTTTCAAAAGGAAAGTTCAACTCTGGGAGTTGAATACAAACATCACAAAGTAGTTTCCGAGAATGCTTCTGTTTAGTTTTTATGTGAAGATGATCCCGTTTCCAGTGAAATCTTCAAAGAGGTCCACATATCCCCTTGCAGATTCCAAAGAAAGAGGGTTTCAAAACTGCTCCATCAAAAGGATTGTTCAACTCTGTGAGTTGAATGCAGTCATCGCAGAAAACTTTCTGAGAATGCTTCTGTCTAGGTTTGATGTGAAGATATAGACGTTTCAAACGAAGGCTACAAAGTGGTCAAAATATACACTTGCAGATTCTACTACAAGGGTGTTGCAAACCTGAACTATCAAAGGAAGGTTCAACTCTGTGAGTTGAATACAAACATCACAAAGAATGTTCTGAGTTTGCTTCTGTTCAGTTATGGGAAGTTGATCCCGTTTCCAGCGAAATCCTCAGAGAGGTCCAAATATCCCCTTGCAGATTCTACAAAACGTGTGTTTGGAAACTGCTCCATCATAACGAATGTTCAGCTCCCTGAGTTAAACTCCATCGTCACAAAGAATTTTCTGAGAGTGCTACCGTCTGGTTTTTATATGAAGTTCTTTCCTTTACTACCATAGGCCTCAAAGCGGTCCAAATCTCCACTTGCAGATTCTACAAAAAGAGTGTTTGCAAACTGCTCTATCAAAAGGAATGTTCAACCCTGGGAGTTGAATGCAATCATCACAGAGCAGTTTCTGAGAATGCTTCTATGTCGTTTTTAGGAGAAGATATTTCCTTTTCCAACACAGTCCTCCACGCCCGCTAAATATCCACTTGCACATTGTAGAAAAAGTGTGTCAAAGCTGCGCTATCAAAGGGAAAGTTCAACTCTGTGAGGTGAATGCAAACATCCCAAAGAAGTTTCTGAGAGTGCTTCCGTTTAGCTTTTAGGTGAAGATTATCCCGTTTCCAACGAAACCTTCAAAGAGGTCCAAATATCCCCTTGCGGATCCCACAGAAAGAGTGTTTCGAAACTGCTGTTTCAAAAGGAATCTTCAACTCTGTGAGTTGAATGCAATCATCACAAAGAAGTTTCTGACAATGCTTCTCTCTCGTCTTTCTGTGAAGATAAAGGAAAAGGCTTTCAGGCCTTTTCCACCACAGGCCTGAAAGCGCTCCAAATGTCCACTTGCAGATTCTGCCAAAAGAATATTTCAAAACTGCTCTATGAAAAGCAATGTTAAACTCTGTGGCTCGAACACAAACATCACAAAGCAGTTTCTGAGAATGCTTCAGTTTAGTTTTTCTGTGGAAATATTCCCGTTTCCAAAGAAATCTTCAAAGAGGTCCACGTATCCACTTACAGATTCTACAAAAAGACAGTTTCAAAACTGCTCCATCAAAAGGAGGGTTCAACTGTGTGACTTGAATGCAATCATCACTCAGAAGTTTCTGAGAATGCTTCTCTTTAGTTTTTACGTGAACATATACCCGTTTCGAACGAAGGCCACCCAGTGGTCCAAATATCCACTTGCAGATTCTACAGAAAGAGTGTTTCGAACCTGAACTCTCAAAGGCAGGTTCATCTCTGCGAGTTAAATGCATTCATCATGAAGAACTTTCTCAGAGTGTTTGTGTTTAGTTATGGGAAATTATTCCCGTTTCCAACGAAATCCTCAGAGAGCTCCAAATATCCACCTGCAGATTCTACCAAAAGTGTATTTGGAAACTGCTCCATCAAAAGGCATGTTCAGCTCTGTGAGTGAAACTCCATCATCACAAAGAATATTCTGAGAATGCTTCCATTTGCCTTTTATATGAAGTTCCTTCCTATACTACCGTAGGCCTCAAAGCAGTCCAAATCTCCATTTGCAGATTCTTCAAAAAGAGTGATTCCAATCTGCTCTATCAATAGGACTGTTCAACTCCATGAGTTGAATGCCATCCTCACAAAGTAGTTTCTGAGAATGTTTCCATCTAGTTTTTATGTGAAGATATTTCCTTTTCCACCACAGGCCTCAAAGCCCTCCAAACGTCCACTTGCAGATTCTCGAAAAAGAGTGTTTCATAGCTGCTCTTTCAAAAGGAAAGTTCAACTCTGGGAGCTGAATACAAACATCACAAAGTAGTTTCCGAGAATGCTTCTGTTTAGTTCTTATGTGAAGATGATCCCGTTTCCAGTGAAATCTTCAAAGAGGTCCACATATCCCCTTGCAGATTCCAAAGAAAGAGGGTTTCAAAACTGCTCCATCAAAAGGATTGTTCAACTCTGTGAGTTGAATGCAGTCATCGCAGAAAACTTTCTGAGAATGCTTCTGTCTAGGTTTGATGTGAAGATATAGACGTTTCAAACGAAGGCTACAAAGTGGTCAAAATATACACTTGCAGATTCTACTACAAGGGTGTTGCAAACCTGAACTATCAAAGGAAGGTTCAACTCTGTGAGTTGAATACAAACATCACAAAGAATGTTCTGAGTTTGCTTCCGTTCAGTTATGGGAAGTTGATCCCGTTTCCAACGAAATCCTCAGAGAGGTCCAAATATCCCCTTGCAGATTCTACAAAACGTGTGTTTGGAAACTGCTCCATCATAACGAATGTTCAGCTCTCTGAGTTAAACTCCATCGTCACAAAGAATTTTCTGAGGGTGCTACCGTCTGGTTTTTATATGAAGTTCTTTCCTTCACTACCACAGGCCTCAAAGCGGTCCAAATCTCCACTTGCAGATTCTACAAAAAGAGTGTTTGCAAACTGCTCTATCAAAAGGAATGTTCAACTCTGGGAGTTGAATGCAATCATCACAGAGCAGTTTCTGAGAATGCTTCTATGTCGTTTTTAGGAGAAGATATTTCCTTTTCCAACACAGTCCTCCAAGTCCGCTAAATATCCACTTGCACATTGTAGAAAAAGTGTGTCGAAGCTGCGCTATCAAAGGGAAAGTTCAACTCTGTGAGGTGAATGCAAACATCCCAAAGAAGTTTCTGAGAATGCTTCCGTTTAGCTTTTAGGTGAAGATTATCCCGTTTCCAACGAAATCTTCAAAGAGGTCCAAATATCCCCTTGCGGATCCCACAGAAAGAGTGTTTCGAAACTGCTGTTTCAGAAGGAATCTTCAACTCTGTGAGTTGAATGCAATCATCACAAAGAAGTTTCTGACAATGCTTCTCTCTCGTCTTTCTGTGAAGATAAAGGAAAAGGCTTTCAGGCCTTTTCCACCACAGGCCTGAAAGCGCTCCAAATGTCCACTTGCAGATTCTGCCAAAAGAATATTTCAAAACTGCTCTATGAAAAGCAATGTTAAACTCTGCGGCTCGAACACAAACATCACAAAGCAGTTTCTGAGAATGCTTCAGTTTAGTTTTTCTGTGGAAATATTCCCGTTTCCAAAGAAATCTTCAAAGAGGTCCACGCATCCACTTACAGATTCTACAAAAAGACAGTTTCAAAACTGCTCAATCAAAAGGAGGGTTCAACTGTGTGACTAGAATGCAATCATCACTCAGAAGTTTCTGAGAACGCTTCTCTTTAGTTTTTACGTGAACATATACCCGTTTCGAACGAAGGCCAGCCAGTGGTCCAAATATCCACTTGCAGATTCTACAGAAAGAGTGTTTCGAACCTGAACTCTCAAAGGCAGGTTCATCTCTGCGAGTTAAATGCATTCATCATGAAGAACTTTCTCAGCGTGTTTGTGTTTAGTTATGGGAAATTATTCCCGTTTCCAACGAAATCCTCAGAGAGCTCCAAATATCCACCTGCAGATTCTACCAAAAGTGTATTTGGAAACTGCTCCATCAAAAGGCATGTTCAGCTCTGTGAGTGAAACTCCATCATCACAAAGAATATTCTGAGAATGCTTCCGTTTGCCTTTTATATGAAGTTCCTTCCTATACTACCGTAGGCCTCAAAGCAGTCCAAATCTCCATTTGCAGATTCTACAAAAAAAGTGATTCCAATCTGCTCTATCAATAGGACTGTTCAACTCCATGAGTTGAATGCCATCCTCACAAAGTCGTTTCTGAGAATGCTTCTATCTAGTTTTTATGTGAAGATATTTCCTTTTCCCCCACAGGCCTCAAAGCCCTCCAAACGTCCACTTGCAGATTCTCGAAAAAGGGTGTTTCATAGCTGCTCTTTCAAAAGGAAAGTTCAACTCTGGGAGGTGAATACAAACATCACAAAGTAGTTTCTGAGAATGCTTCTGTTTAGTTCTTATGTGAAGATGATCCCGTTTCCAGTGAAATCTTCAAAGAGGTCCACATATCCCCTTGCAGATTCCAAAGAAAGAGGGTTTCAAAACTGCTCCATCAAAAGGATTGTTCAACTCTGTGAGTTGAATGCAGTCATCGCAGAAAACTTTCTGAGAATGCTTCTGTCTAGGTTTGATGTGAAGATATAGACGTTTCAAACGAAGGCTACAAAGTGGTCAAAATATACACTTGCAGATTCTACTACAAGGGTGATGCAAACCTGAACTATCAAAGGAAGGTTCAACTCTGTGAGTTGAATACAAACATCACAAAGAATGTTCTGAGTTTGCTTCCGTTCAGTTATGGGAAGTTGATCCCGTTTCCAACGAAATCCTCAGAGAGGTCCAAATATCCCCCTGCAGATTCTACAAAACGTGTGTTTGGAAACTGCTCCATCATAACGAATGTTCAGCTCTCTGAGTTAAACTCCATCGTCACAAAGAATTTTCTGAGAGTGCTACCATCTAGTTTTTATATGAAGTTCTTTCCTTTACTACCACAGGCCTCAAAGCGGTCCAAATCTCCACTTGCAGATTCTGCAAAAAGAGTATTTGCAAACTGCTCTATCAAAAGGAATGTTCAACTCTGGGAGTTGAATGCAATCATCACAGAGCAGTTTCTGAGAATGCTTGTATGTCGTTTTTAGGAGAAGATATTTCCTTTTCCAACACAGTCCTCCAAGCCCGCTAAATATCCACTTGCACATTGTAGAAAAAGTGTGTCGAAGCTGCGCTATCAAAGGGAAAGTTCAACTCTGTGAGGTGAATGCAAACATCCCAAAGAAGTTTCTGAGAATGCTTCCGTTTAGCTTTTAGGTGAAGATTATCCCGTTTCCAACGAAATCTTCAAAGAGTTCCAAATATCCCCTTGCGGATCCCACAGAAAGAGTGTTTCGAAACTGCTGTTTCAAAAGGAATCTTCAACTCTGTGAGTTGAATGCAATCATCACAAAGAAGTTTCTGACAATGCTTCTCTCTCGTCTTTCTGTGAAGATAAAGGAAAAGGCTTTCAGGCCTTTTCCACCACAGGCCTGAAAGCGCTCCAAATGTCCACTTGCAGATTCTGCCAAAAGAATATTTCAAAACTGCTCTATGAAAAGCAATGTTAAACTCTGCGGCTCGAACACAAACATCACAAAGCAGTTTCTGAGAATGCTTCAGTTTAGTTTTTCTGTGGAAATATTCCCGTTTCCAAAGAAATCTTCAAAGAGGTCCACGTATCCACTTACAGATTCTACAAAAAGACAGTTTCAAAACTGCTCAATCAAAAGGAGGGTTCAACTGTGTGACTTGAATGCAATCATCACTCAGAAGTTTCTGAGAACGCTTCTCTTTAGTTTTTACGTGAACATATACCCGTTTCGAACGAAGGCCAGCCAGTGGTCCAAATATCCACTTGCAGATTCTACAGAAAGAGTGTTTCGAACCTGAACTCTCAAAGGCAGGTTCATCTCTGCGAGTTAAATGCATTCATCATGAAGAACTTTCTCAGCGTGTTTGTGTTTATTTATGGGAAATTATTCCCGTTTCCAACGAAATCCTCAGAGAGCTCCAAATATCCACCTGCAGATTCTACCAAAAGTGTATTTGGAAACTGCTCCATCAAAAGGCATGTTCAGCTCTGTGAGTGAAACTCCATCATCACAAAGAATATTCTGAGAATGCTTCCGTTTGCCTTTTATATGAAGTTCCTTCCTATACTACCGTAGGCCTCAAAGCAGTCCAAATCTCCATTTGCAGATTCTACAAAAAGAGTGATTCCAATCTGCTCTATCAATAGGACTGTTCAACTCCATGAGTTGAATGCCATCCTCACAAAGTAGTTTCTGAGAATGCTTCTATCTAGTTTTTATGTGAAGATATTTCCTTTTCCACCACAGGCCTCAAAGCCCTCCAAACGTCCACTTGCAGATTCTCGAAAAAGAGTGTTTCATAGCTGCTCTTTCAAAAGGAAAGTTCAACTCTGGGAGTTGAATACAAACATCACAAAGTAGTTTCCGAGAATGCTTCTGTTTAGTTCTTATGTGAAGATGATCCCGTTTCCAGTGAAATCTTCAAAGAGGTCCACATATCCCCTTGCAGATTCCAAAGAAAGAGGGTTTCAAAACTGCTCCATCAAAAGGATTGTTCAACTCTGTGAGTTGAATGCAGTCATCGCAGAAAACTTTCTGAGAATGCTTCTGTCTAGGTTTGATGTGAAGATATAGACGTTTCAAACGAAGGCTACAAAGTGGTCAAAATATACACTTGCAGATTCTACTACAAGGGTGATGCAAACCTGAACTATCAAAGGAAGGTTCAACTCTGTGAGTTGAATACAAACATCACAAAGAATGTTCTGAGTTTGCTTCCGTTCAGTTATGGGAAGTTGATCCCGTTTCCAACGAAATCCTCAGAGAGGTCCAAATATCCCCTTGCAGATTCTACAAAACGTGTGTTTGGAAACTGCTCCATCATAACGAATGTTCAGCTCTCTGAGTTAAACTCCATCGTCACAAAGAATTTTCTGAGAGTGCTACCGTCTAGTTTTTATATGAAGTTCTTTCCTTTACTACCACAGGCCTCAAAGCGGTCCAAATCTCCACTTGCAGATTCTACAAAAAGAGTGTTTGCAAACTGCTCTATCAAAAGGAATGTTCAACTCTGGGAGTTGAATGCAATCATCACAGAGCAGTTTCTGAGAATGCTTCTATGTCGTTTTTAGGAGAAGATATTTCCTATTCCAACACAGTCCTCCAAGCCCGCTAAATATCCACTTGCACATTGTAGAAAAAGTGTGTCGAAGCTGCGCTATCAAAGGGAAAGTTCAACTCTGTGAGGTGAATGCAAACATCCCAAAGAAGTTTCTGAGAATGCTTCCGTTTAGCTTTTAGGTGAAGATTATCCCGTTTCCAACGAAATCTTCAAAGAGGTCCAAATATCCCCTTGCGGATCCCACAGAAAGAGTGTTTCGAAACTGCTGTTTCAAAAGGAATCTTCAACTCTGTGAGTTGAATGCAATCATCACAAAGAAGTTTCTGACAATGCTTCTCTCTCGTCTTTCTGTGAAGATAAAGGAAAAGGCTTTCAGGCCTTTTCCACCACAGGCCTGAAAGCGCTCCAAATGTCCACTTGCAGATTCTGCCAAAAGAATATTTCAAAACTGCTCTATGAAAAGCAATGTTAAAATCTGTGGCTCGAACACAAACATCACAAAGCAGTTTCTGAGAGTGCTTCAGTTTAGTTTTTCTGTGGAAATATTCCCGTTTCCAAAGAAATCTTCAAAGAGGTCCACGTATCCACTTACAGATTCTACAAAAAGACAGTTTCAAAACTGCTCAATCAAAAGGAGGGTTCAACCGTGTGACTTGAAAGCAATCATCACTCAGAAGTTTCTGAGAATGCTTCTCTTTAGTTTTTACGTGAACATATACCCGTTTCGAACGAAGGCCAGCCAGTGGTCCAAATATCCACTTGCAGATTCTACAGAAAGAGTGTTTCGAACCTGAACTCTCAAAGGCAGGTTCATCTCTGCGAGTTCAATGCATTCATCATGAAGAACTTTCTCAGTGTGTTTGTGTTTAGTTATGGGAAATTATTCCCGTTTCCAACGAAATCCTCAGAGAGGTCCAAATATCCACCTGCAGATTCTACCAAAAGTGTATTTGGAAACTGCTCCATCAAAAGGCATGTTCAGCTCTGTGAGTGAAACTCCATCATCACAAAGAATATTCTGAGAATGCTTCCGTTTGCCTTTTATATGAAGTTCCTTCCTATACTACCGTAGGCCTCAAAGCAGTCCAAATCTCCATTTGCAGATTCTACAAAAAGAGTGATTCCAATCTGCTCTATCAATAGGATTGTTCAACTCCATGAGTTGAATGCCATCCTCACAAAGTCGTTTCTGAGAATGCTTCTATCTAGTTTTTATGTGAAGATATTTCCTTTTCCACCACAGGCCTCAAAGCCTTCCAAACGTCCACTTGCAGATTCTCGAAAAAGAGTGTTTCATAGCTGCTCTTTCAAAAGGAAAGTTCAACTCTGGGAGTTGAATACAAACATCACAAAGTAGTTTCCGAGAATGCTTCTGTTTAGTTCTTATGTGAAGATGATCCCGTTTCCAGTGAAATCTTCAAAGAGGTCCACATATCCCCTTGCAGATTCCAAAGAAAGAGGGTTTCAAAACTGCTCCATCAAAAGGATTGTTCAACTCTGTGAGTTGAATGCAGTCATCGCAGAAAACTTTCTGAGAATGCTTCTGTCTAGGTTTGATGTGAAGATATAGACGTTTCAAACGAAGGCTACAATGTGGTCAAAATATACACTTGCAGATTCTACTACAAGGGTGTTGCAAACCTCAACTATCAAAGGAAGGTTCAACTCTGTGAGATGAATGCAAACATCACAAAGAATGTTCTGAGTTTGCTTCCGTTTAGTTATGGGAAATTGATACCGTTTCCAACGAAATCCTCAGAGAGGTCCAAATATCCCCTTGCAGATTCTACAAAACGTGTGTTTGGAAACTGCTCCATCATAACGAATGTTCAGCTCTCTGAGTTAAACTCCATCGTCACAAAGAATTTTCTGAGAGTGCTACCGTCTAGTTTTTATATGAAGTTCTTTCCTTTACTACCACAGGCCTCAAAGCGGTCCAAATCTCCACTTGCAGATTCTACAAAAAGAGTGTTTGCAAACTGCTCTATCAAAAGGAATGTTCAACTCTGGGAGTTGAATGCAATCATCACAGAGCAGTTTCTGAGAATGCTTCTATGTGGTTTTTAGGAGAAGATATTTCCTTTTCCAACACATTCCTCCAAGCCCGCTAAATATCCACTTGCACATTGTAGAAAAAGTGTGTCGAAGCTGCGCTATCAAAGGGAAAGTTCAACTCTGTGAGGTGAATGCAAACATCCCAAAGAAGTTTCTGAGAATGCTTCCGTTTAGCTTTTAGGTGAAGATTATCCCGTTTCCAACGAAATCTTCAAAGAGGTCCAAATATCCCCTTGCGGATCCCACAGAAAGAGTGTTTCGAAACTGCTGTTTCAAAAGGAATCTTCAACTCTGTGAGTTGAATGCAATCATCACAAAGAAGTTTCTGACAATGCTTCTCTCTCGTCTTTCTGTGAAGATAAAGGAAAAGGCTTTCAGGCCTTTTCCACCACAGGCCTGAAAGCGCTCCAAATGTCCACTTGCAGATTCTGCCAAAAGAATATTTCAAAGCTGCTCTACGAAAAGCAATGTTAAACTCTGTGGCTCGAACACAAACATCACAAAGCAGTTTCTGAGAATGCTTCAGTTTAGTTTTTCTGTGGAAATATTCCCGTTTCCAAAGAAATCTTCAAAGAGGTCCACGCATCCACTTACAGATTCTACAAAAAGACAGTTTCAAAACTGCTCAATCAAAAGGAGGGTTCAACTGTGTGACTTGAATGCAATCATCACTCAGAAGTTTCTGAGAACGCTTCTCTTTAGTTTTTACGTGAACATATACCCGTTTCGAACGAAGGCCAGCCAGTGGTCCAAATATCCACTTGCAGATTCTACAGAAAGAGTGTTTCGAACCTGAACTCTCAAAGGCAGGTTCATCTCTGCGAGTTCAATGCATTCATCATGAAGAACTTTCTCAGCGTGTTTGTGTTTAGTTATGGGAAATTATTCCCGTTTCCAACGAAATCCTCAGAGAGCTCCAAATATCCACCTGCAGATTCTACCAAAAGTGTATTTGGAAACTGCTCCATCAAAAGGCATGTTCAGCTCTGTGAGTGAAACTCCATCATCACAAAGAATATTCTGAGAATGCTTCCGTTTGCCTTTTATATGAAGTTCCTTCCTATACGACCGTAGGCCTCAAAGCAGTCCAAATCTCCATTTGCAGATTCTACAAAAAGAGTGATTCCAATCTGCTCTATCAATAGGATTGTTCAACTCCATGAGTTGAATGCCATCCTCACAAAGTAGTTTCTGAGAATGCTTCTATCTAGTTTTTATGTGAAGATATTTCCTTTTCCACCACAGGCCTCAAAGCCCTCCAAACGTCCACTTGCAGATTCTCGAAAAAGAGTGTTTCATAGCTGCTCTTTCAAAAGGAAAGTTCAACTCTGGGAGTTGAATACAAACATCACAAAGTAGTTTCCGAGAATGCTTCTGTTTAGTTTTTATGTGAAGATGATCCCGTTTCCAGTGAAATCTTCAAAGAGGTCCACATATCCCCTTGCAGATTCCAAAGAAAGAGGGTTTCAAAACTGCTCCATCAGAAGGATTGTTCAACTCTGTGAGTTGAATGCAGTCATCGCAGAAAACTTTCTGAGAATGCTTCTGTCTAGGTTTGTGGTGAAGATATAGACGTTTCAAACGAAGGCTACAAAGTGGTCAAAATATACACTTGCAGATTCTACTACAAGGGTGTTGCAAACCTCAACTATCAAAGGAAGGTTCAACTCTGTGAGTTGAATACAAACATCACAAAGAATGTTCTGAGTTTGCTTCCGTTCAGTTATGGGAAGTTGATCCCGTTTCCAACGAAATCCTCAGAGAGGTCCAAATATCCCCTTGCAGATCCTACAAAACGTGTGTTTGGAAACTGCTCCATCATAACGAATGTTCAGCTCTCTGAGTTAAACTCCATCGTCACAAAGAATTTTCTGAGAGTGCTACCGTCTGGTTTTTATATGAAGTTCTTTCCTTTACTACCACAGGCCTCAAAGCGGTCCAAATCTCCACTGGCAGATTCTACAAAAAGAGTGTTTGCAAACTGCTCTATCAAAAGGAATGTTCAACTCTGGGAGTTTAATGCAATCATCACAGAGCAGTTTCTGAGAATGCTTCTATGTCGTTTTTAGGAGAAGATATTTCCTTTTCCAACACAGTCCTCCAAGCCCGCTAAATATCCACTTGCACATTGTAGAAAAAGTGTGTCGAAGCTGCGCTATCAAAGGGAAAGTTCAACTCTGTGAGGTGAATGCAAACATCCCAAAGAAGTTTCTGAGAATGCTTCCGTTTAGCTTTTAGGTGAAGATTATCCCGTTTCCAACGAAATCTTCAAAGAGGTCCAAATATCCCCTTGCGGATCCCACAGAAAGAGTGTTTCGAAACTGCTGTTTCAAAAGGAATCTTCAACTCTGTGAGTTGAATGCAGTCATCACAAAGAAGTTTCTGACAATGCTTCTCTCTCGTCTTTCTGTGAAGATAAAGGAAAAGGCTTTCAGGCCTTTTCCACCACAGGCCTGAAAGCGCTCCAAATGTCCACTTGCAGATTCTGCCAAAAGAATATTTCAAAACTGCTCTATGAAAAGCAATGTTAAACTCTCTGGCTCGAACACAAACATCACAAAGCAGTTTCTGAGAATGCTTCAGTTTAGTTTTTCTGTGGAAATATTCCCGTTTCCAAAGAAATCTTCAAAGAGGTCCATGCATCCACTTACAGATTCTACAAAAAGACAGTTTCAAAACTGCTCAATCAAAAGGAGGGTTCAACTGTGTGACTTGAATGCAATCATCACTCAGAAGTTTCTGAGAACGCTTCTCTTTAGTTTTTACGTGAACGTATACCCGTTTCGAACGAAGGCCAGCCAGTGGTCCAAATATCCACTTGCAGATTCTACAGAAAGAGTGTTTCGAACCTGAACTCTCAAAGGCAGGTTCATCTCTGCGAGTTAAATGCATTCATCATGAAGAACTTTCTCAGCGTGTTTGTGTTTAGTTATGGGAAATTATTCCCGTTTCCAACGAAATCCTCAGAGAGCTCCAAATATCCACCTGCAGATTCTACCAAAAGTGTATTTGGAAACTGCTCCATCAAAAGGCATGTTCAGCTCTGTGAGTGAAACTCCATCATCACAAAGAATATTCTGAGAATGCTTCCGTTTGCCTTTTATATGAAGTTCCTTCCTATACTACCGTAGGCCTCAAAGCAGTCCAAATCTCCATTTGCAGATTCTACAAAAAGAGTGATTCCAATCTGCTCTATCAATAGGACTGTTCAACTCCATGAGTTGAATGCCATCCTCACAAAGTCGTTTCTGAGAATGCTTCTATCTAGTTTTTATGTGAAGATATTTCCTTTTCCACCACAGGCCTCAAAGCCCTCCAAACGTCCACTTGCAGATTCTCGAAAAAGAGTGTTTCATAGCTGCTCTTTCAAAAGGAAAGTTCAACTCTGGGAGCTGAATACAAACATCACAAAGTAGTTTCTGAGAATGCTTCTGTTTAGTTCTTATGTGAAGATGATCCCGTTTCCAGTGAAATCTTCAAAGAGGTCCACATATCCCCTTGCAGATTCCAAAGAAAGAGGGTTTCAAAACTGCTCCATCAAAAGGATTGTTCAACTCTGTGAGTTGAATGCAGTCATCGCAGAAAACTTTCTGAGAATGCTTCTGTCTAGGTTTGATGTGAAGATATAGACGTTTCAAACGAAGGCTACATAGTGGTCAACATATACACTTGCAGATTCTACTACAAGGGTGATGCAAACCTCAACTATCAAAGGAAGGTTCAACTCTGTGAGTTGAATACAAACATCACAAAGAATGTTCTGAGTTTGCTTCCGTTCAGTTATGGGAAGTTGATCCCGTTTCCAACGAAATCCTCAGAGAGGTCCAAATATCCCCTTGCAGATTCTACAAAACGTGTGTTTGGAAACTGCTCCATCATAACGAATGTTCAGCTCTCTGAGTTAAACTCCATCGTCACAAAGAATTTTCTGAGAGTGCTACCGTCTAGTTTTTATATGAAGTTCTTTCCTTTACTACCACAGGCCTCAAAGCGGTCCAAATCTCCACTTGCAGATTCTACAAAAAGAGTGTCTGCAAACTGCTCTATCAAAAGGAATGTTCAACTCTGGGAGTTGAATGCAATCATCACAGAGCAGTTTCTTAGAATGCTTCTATGTCGTTTTTAGGAGAAGATATTTCCTTTTCCAACACAGTCCTCCAAGCCCGCTAAATATCCACTTGCACATTGTAGAAAAAGTGTGTCGAAGCTGCGCTATCAAAGGGAAAGTTCAACTCTGTGAGGTGAATGCAAACATCCCAAAGAAGTTTCTGAGAATGCTTCCGTTTAGCTTTTAGGTGAAGATTATCCCGTTTCCAACGAAATCTTCAAAGAGGTCCAAATATCCCCTTGCGGATCCCACAGAAAGAGTGTTTCGAAACTGCTGTTTCAAAAGGAATCTTCAACTCTGTGAGTTGAATGCAATCATCACAAAGAAGTTTCTGACAATGCTTCTCTCTCGTCTTTCTGTGAAGATAAAGGAAAAGGCTTTCAGGCCTTTTCCACCACAGGCCTGAAAGCGCTCCAAATGTCCACTTGCAGATTCTGCCAAAAGAATATTTCAAAACTGCTCTATGAAAAGCAATGTTAAACTCTGCGGCTCGAACACAAACATCACAAAGCAGTTTCTGAGAAAGCTTCAGTTTAGTTTTTCTGTGGAAATATTCCCGTTTCGAAAGAAATCTTCAAAGAGGTCCACGTATCCACTTACAGATTCTACAAAAAGACAGTTTCAAAACTGCTCAATCAAAAGGAGGGTTCAACCGTGTGACTTGAATGCAATCATCACGCAGAAGTTTCTGAGAACGCTTCTCTTTAGTTTTTACGTGAACATATACCCGTTTCGAACGAAGGCCACCCAGTGGTCCAAATATCCACTTGCAGATTCTACAGAAAGAGTGTTTCGAACCTGAACTCTCAAAGGCAGGTTCATCTCTGCGAGTTCAATGCATTCATCATGAAGAACTTTCTCAGCGTGTTTGTGTTTAGTTATGGGAAATTATTCCCGTTTCCAACGAAATCCTCAGAGACGTCCAAATATCCACCTGCAGATTCTACCAAAAGTGTATTTTGAAACTGCTCCATCAAAAGGCATGTTCAGCTCTGTGAGTGAAACTCCATCATCACAAAGAATATTCTGAGAATGCTTCCGTTTGCCTTTTATATGAAGTTCCTTCCTATACGACCGTAGGCCTCAAAGCAGTCCAAATCTCCATTTGCAGATTCTACAAAAAGAGTGATTCCAATCTGCTCTATCAATAGGATTGTTCAACTCCATGAGTTGAATGCCATCCTCACAAAGCCGTTTCTGAGAATGCTTCTATCTAGTTTTTATGTGAAGATATTTCCTTTTCCACCACAGGCCTCAAAGCCCTCCAAACGTCCACTTGCAGATTCTCGAAAAAGAGTGTTTCATAGCTGCTCTTTCAAAAGGAAAGTTCAACTCTGGGAGTTGAATACAAACATCACAAAGTAGTTTCCGAGAATGCTTCTGTTTAGTTCTTATGTGAAGATGATCCCGTTTCCAGTGAAATCTTCAAAGAGGTCCACATATCCCCTTGCAGATTCCAAAGAAAGAGGGTTTCAAAACTGCTCCATCAAAAGGATTGTTCAACTCTGTGAGTTGAATGCAGTCATCGCAGAAAACTTTCTGAGAATGCTTCTGTCTAGGTTTGAGGTGAAGATATAGACGTTTCAAACGAAGGCTACAAAGTGGTCAAAATATACACTTGCAGATTCTACTACAAGGGTGTTGCAAACCTCAACTATCAAAGGAAGGTTCAACTCTGTGAGTTGAATACAAACATCACAAAGAATGTTCTGAGTTTGCTTCCGTTCAGTTATGGGAAGTTGATCCCGTTTCCAACGAAATCCTCAGAGAGGTCCAAATATCCCCTTGCAGATTCTACAAAACGTGTGTTTGGAAACTGCTCCATCATAACGAATGTTCAGCTCTCTGAGTTAAACTCCATCGTCACAAAGAATTTTCTGAGAGTGCTACCGTCTGGTTTTTATATGAAGTTCTTTCCTTTACTACCACAGGCCTCAAAGCGGTCCAAATCTCCACTTGCAGATTCTACAAAAAGAGTGTTTGCAAACTGCTCTATCAAAAGGAATGTTCAACTCTGGGAGTTGAATGCAATCATCACAGAGCAGTTTCTGAGAATGCTTCTATGTCGTTTTTAGGAGAAGATATTTCCTTTTCCAACACAGTCCTCCAAGCCCGCTAAATATCCACTTGCACATTGTAGAAAAAGTGTGTCGAAGCTGCGCTATCAAAGGGAAAGTTCAACTCTGTGAGGTGAATGCAAACATCCCAAAGAAGTTTCTGAGAATGCTTCCGTTTAGCTTTTAGGTGAAGATTATCCCGTTTCCAACGAAATCTTCAAAGAGGTCCAAATATCCCCTTGCGGATCCCACAGAAAGAGTGTTTCGAAACTGCTGTTTCAAAAGGAATCTTCAACTCTGTGGGTTGAATGCAATCATCACAAAGAAGTTTCTGACAATGCTTCTCTCTCGTCTTTCTGTGAAGATAAAGGAAAAGGCTTTCAGGCCTTTTCCACCACAGGCCTGAAAGCGCTCCAAATGTCCACTTGCAGATTCTGCCAAAAGAATATTTCAAAACTGCTCTATGAAAAGCAATGTTAAACTCTGCGGCTCGAACACAAACATCACAAAGCAGTTTCTGAGAATGCTTCAGTTTAGTTTTTCTGTGGAAATATTCCCATTTCCAAAGAAATCTTCAAAGAGGTCCACGTATCCACTTACAGATTCTACAAAAAGACAGTTTCAAAACTGCTCAATCAAAAGGAGGGTTCAACCGTGTGACTTGAATGCAATCATCACTCAGAAGTTTCTGAGAATGCTTCTCTTTAGTTTTTACGTGAACATATACCCGTTTCGAACGAAGGCCACCCAGTGGTCCAAATATCCACTTGCAGATTCTACAGAAAGAGTGTTTCGAACCTGAACTCTCAAAGGCAGGTTCATCTCTGCGAGTTCAATGCATTCATCATGAAGAACTTTCTCAGAGTGTTTGTGTTTAGGTATGGGAAATTATTCCCGTTTCCAACGAAATCCTCAG
Organism: Homo sapiens; assembly: GCF_000001405.40. Classification (NCBI taxonomy): domain Eukaryota; kingdom Metazoa; phylum Chordata; class Mammalia; order Primates; family Hominidae; genus Homo; species Homo sapiens. The sequence continues at coordinate 59,221,227 of NC_000023.11, read as the reverse complement.
AGAGGTCCAAATATCCACCTGCAGATTCTACCAAAAGTGTATTTGGAAACTGCTCCATCAAAAGGCATGTTCAACTCTGTGAGTCAAACTCCATCATCACAAAGAATATTCTGAGAATGCTTCCGTTTGCCTTTTATATGAAGTTCCTTCCTATACTACCGTAGGCCTCAAAGCAGTCCAAATCTCCATTTGCAGATTCTACCAAAAGAGTGATTCCAATCTGCTCTATCAATAGGATTGTTCAACTCCATGAGTTGAATGCCATCCTCACAAAGTCGTTTCTGAGAATGCTTCTATCTAGTTTTTATGTGAAGATATTTCCTTTTCCACCACAGGCCTCAAAGCCCTCCAAACGTCCACTTGCAGATTCTCGAAAAAGAGTGTTTCATAGCCGCTCTTTCAAAAGGAAAGTTCAACTCTGGGAGTTGAATACAAACATCACAAAGTAGTTTCCGAGAATGCTTCTGTTTAGTTCTTATGTGAAGATGATCCCGTTTCCAGTGAAATCTTCAAAGAGGTCCACATATCCCCTTGCAGATTCCAAAGAAAGAGGGTTTCAAAACTGCTCCATCAAAAGGATTGTTCAACTCTGTGAGTTGAATGCAGTCATCGCAGAAAACTTTCTGAGAATGCTTCTGTCTAGGTTTGAGGTGAAGATATAGACGTTTCAAACGAAGGCTACAAAGTGGTCAAAATATACACTTGCAGATTCTACTACAAGGGTGTTGCAAACCTGAACTATCAAAGGAAGGTTCAACTCTGTGAGTTGAATACAAACATCACAAAGAATGTTCTGAGTTTGCTTCCGTTCAGTTATGGGAAGTTGATCCCGTTTCCAACGAAATCCTCAGAGAGGTCCAAATATCCCCTTGCAGATTCTACAAAACGTGTGTTTGGAAACTGCTCCATCATAACGAATGTTCAGCTCTCTGAGTTAAACTCCATCGTCACAAAGAATTTTCTGAGAGTGCTACCGTCTGGTTTTTATATGAAGTTCTTTCCTTTACTACCACAGGCCTCAAAGCGGTCCAAATCTCCACTTGCAGATTCTACAAAAACAGTGTTTGCAAACTGCTCTATCAAAAGGAATGTTCAACTCTGGGAGTTGAATGCAATCATCACAGAGCAGTTTCTGAGAATGCTTCTATGTCGTTTTTAGGAGAAGATATTTCCTTTTCCAACACAGTCCTCCAAGCCCGCTAAAGGTCCACTTGCACACTTTAGAAAAAGTGTGTCGAAGCTGCGCTATCAAAGGGAAAGTTCAACTCTGTGAGGTGAATGCAAACATCCCAAAGAAGTTTCTGAGAATGCTTCCGTTTAGCTTTTAGGTGAAGATTATCCCGTTTCCAACGAAACCTTCAAAGAGGTCCAAATATCCCCTTGCGGATCCCACAGAAAGAGTGTTTCGAAACTGCTGTTTCAAAAGGAATCTTCAACTCTGTGAGTTGAATGCAATCATCACAAAGAAGTTTCTGACAATGCTTCTCTCTCGTCTTTCTGTGAAGATAAAGGAAAAGGCTTTCAGGCCTTTGCCACCACAGGCCTGAAAGCGCTCCAAATGTCCACTTGCAGATTCTGCCAAAAGAATATTTCAAAACTGCTCTATGAAAAGCAATGTTAAACTCTGTGGCTCGAACACAAACATCACAAAGCGGTTTTTGAGAATGTTTCAGTTTAGTTTTTCTGTGGAAATATTCCCGTTTCCAAAGAAATCTTCAAAGAGGTCCACGTATCCACTTACAGATTCTACAAAAAGACAGTTTCAAAACTGCTCCATCAAAAGGAGGGTTCAACTGTGTGACTTGAATGCAATCATCACTCAGAAGTTTCTGAGAATGCTTCTCTTTAGTTTTTAGGTGAACATATACACGTTTCGAACGAAGGCCACCCAGTGGTCCAAATATCCACTTGCAGATTATACAGAAAGAGTGTTTCGAACCTGAACTCTCAAAGGCAGGTTCATCTCTGCGAGTTAAATGCATTCATCATGAAGAACTTTCTCAGAGTGTTTGTGTTTAGTTATGGGAAATTATTCCCGTTTCCAACGAAATCCTCAGAGAGCTCCAAATATCCACCTGCAGATTCTACCAAAAGTGTATTTGGAAACTGCTCCATCAAAAGGCATGTTCAGCTCTGTGAGTGAAACTCCATCATCACAAAGAATATTCTGAGAATGCTTCCGTTTGCCTTTTATATGAAGTTCCTTCCTGTACTACCGTAGGCCTCAAAGCAGTCCAAATCTCCATTTGCAGATTCTATAAAAAGAGTGATTCCAATCTGCTCTATCAATAGGATTGTTCAACTCCATGAGTTGAATGCCATCCTCACAAAGTAGTTTCTGAGAATGCTTCTATCTGGTTTTTGTGTGAAGATATTTCCTTTTCCACCACAGGCCTCAAAGCCCTCCAAACGTCCACTTGCAGATTCTCGAAAAAGAGTGTTTCATAGCTGCTCTTTCAAAAGGAAAGTTCAACTCTGGGAGTTGAATACAAACATCACAAAGTAGTTTCCGAGAATGCTTCTGTTTAGTTTTTATGTGAAGATGATCCCGTTTCCAGTGAAATCTTCAAAGAGGTCCACATATCCCCTTGCAGATTCCAAAGAAAGAGGGTTTCAAAACTGCTCCATCAGAAGGATTGTTCAACTCTGTGAGTTGAATGCAGTCATCGCAGAAAACTTTCTGAGAATGCTTCTGGCTAGGTTTGATGTGAAGATATAGACGTTTCAAACGAAGGCTACAAAGTGGTCAAAATATACACTTGCAGATTCTACTACAAGGGTGTTGCAAACCTGAACTATCAAAGGAAGGTTCAACTCTGTGAGTTGAATACAAACATCACAAAGAATGTTCTGAGTTTGCTTCCGTTCAGTTATGGGAAGTTGATCCCGTTTCCAACGAAATCCTCAGAGAGGTCCAAATATCCCCTCGCAGATTCTACAAAACGTGTGTTTGGAAACTGCTCCATCATAACGAATGTTCAGCTCCCTGAGTTAAACTCCATCGTCACAAAGAATTTTCTGAGAGTGCTACCGTCTGGTTTTTATATGAAGTTCTTTCCTTCACTACCACAGGCCTCAAAGCGGTCCAAATCTCCACTTGCAGATTCTACAAAAAGAGTGTTTGCAAACTGCTCTATCAAAAGGAATGTTCAACTCTGGGAGTTGAATGCAATCATCACAGAGCAGTTTCTGAGAATGCTTCTATGTCGTTTTTAGGAGAAGATATTTCCTTTTCCAACACAGTCCTCCAAGCCCGCTAAATAGCCACTTGCACATTGTAGAAAAAGTGTGTCAAAGCTGTGCTATCAAAGGGAAAGTTCAACTCTGTGAGGTGAATGCAAACATCCCAAAGAAGTTTCTGAGAATGCTTCCGTTTAGCTTTTAGGTGAAGATTATCCCGTTTCCAACGAAACCTTCAAAGAGGTCCAAATATCCCCTTGCGGATCCCACAGAAAGAGTGTTTCGAAACTGCTGTTTCAAAAGGAATCTTCAACTCTGTGAGTTGAATGCAATCATCACAAAGAAGTTTCTGACAATGCTTCTCTCTCGTCTTTCTGTGAAGATAAAGGAAAAGGCTTTCAGGCCTTTTCCACCACAGGCCTGAAAGCGCTCCAAATGTCCACTTGCAGATTCTGTGAAAAGAATATTGCAAAACTGCTCTATGAAAAGCAATGTTAAACTCTGTGGCTCGAACACAAACATCACAAAGCAGTTTCTGAGAATGCTTCAGTTTAGTTTTTCTGTGGAAATATTCCCGTTTCCAAAGAAATCTTCAAAGAGGTCCACGTATCCACTTACAGATTCTACAAAAAGACAGTTTCAAAACTGCTCCATCAAAAGGAGGGTTCAACTGTGTGACTTGAATGCAATCATCACTCAGAAGTTTCTGAGAATGCTTCTCTTTAGTTTTTACGTGAACATATACCCGTTTCGAACGAAGGCCACCCAGTGGTCCAAATATCCACTTGCAGATTCTACAGAAAGAGTGTTTCGAACCTGAACTCTCAAAGGCAGGTTCATCTCTGCGAGTTAAATGCATTCATCATGAAGAACTTTCTCAGAGTGTTTGTGTTTAGTTATGGGAAATTATTCCCGTTCCCAACGAAATCCTCAGAGAGGTCCAAATGTCCACCTGCAGATTCTACCAAAAGTGTATTTGGAAACTGCTCCATCAACAGGCATGTTCAGCTCTGTGAGTGAAACTCCATCATCACAAAGAATATTCTGAGAATGCTTCCGTTTGCCTTTTATATGAAGTTCCTTCCTATACGACCGTAGGCCTCAAAGCAGTGCAAATCTCCATTTGCAGATTCTACAAAAAGAGTGATTCCAATCTGCTCTATCAATAGGATTGTTCAACTCCATGAGTTGAATGCCATCCTCACAAAGTCGTTTCTGAGAATGCTTCTATCTAGTTTTTATGTGAAGATATTTCCTTTTCCACCACAGGCCTCAAAGCCCTCCAAACGTCCACTTTCAGATTCTCGAAAAAGAGTGTTTCATAGCTGCTCTTTCAAAAGGAAAGTTCAACTCTGGGAGTTGAATACAAACATCACAAAGTAGTTTCCGAGAATGCTTTCTGTTTAGTTCTTATGTGAAGATGATCCCGTTTCCAGTGAAATCTTCAAAGAGGTCCACATATCCCCTTGCAGATTCCAAAGAAAGAGGGTTTCAAAACTGCTCCATCAAAAGGATTGTTCAACTCTGTGAGTTGAATGCAGTCATCGCAGAAAACTTTCTGAGAATGCTTCTGTCTAGGTTTGAGGTGAAGATATAGACGTTTCAAACGAAGGCTACAAAGTGGTCAAAATATACACTTGCAGATTCTACTACAAGGGTGTTGCAAACCTCAACTATCAAAGGAAGGTTCAACTCTGTGAGTTGAATACAAACATCACAAAGAATGTTCTCAGTTTGCTTCTGTTCAGTTATGGGAAGTTGATCCCGTTTCCAACGAAATCCTCAGAGAGGTCCAAATATCCCCTTGCAGATTCTACAAAACGTGTGTTTGGAAACTGCTCCATCATAACGAATGTTCAGCTCTCTGAGTTAAACTCCATCGTCACAAAGAATTTTCTGAGAGTGCTACCGTCTGGTTTTTATATGAAGTTCTTTCCTTTACTACCACAGGCCTCAAAGCGGTCCAAATCTCCAGTTGCAGATTCTACAAAAACAGTGTTTGCAAACTGCTCTATCAAAAGGAATGTTCAACTCTGGGAGTTGAATGCAATCATCACAGAGCAGTTTCTGAGAATGCTTCTATGTCGTTTTTAGGAGAAGATATTTCCTTTTCCAACACAGTCCTCCAAGCCCGCTAAATATCCACTTGCACATTGTAGAAAAAGTGTGTCGAAGCTGCGCTATCAAAGGGAAAGTTCAACTCTGTGAGGTGAATGCAAACATCCCAAAGAAGTTTCTGAGAATGCTTCCGTTTAGCTTTTAGGTGAAGATTATCCCGTTTCCAAAGAAACCTTCAAAGAGGTCCAAATATCCCCTTGCGGATCCCACAGAAAGAGTGTTTCGAAACTGCTGTTTCAAAAGGACTCTTCAACTCTGTGAGTTGAATGCAATCATCACAAAGAAGTTTCTGACAATGCTTCTCTCTCGTCTTTCTGTGAAGATAAAGGAAAAGGCTTTCAGGCCTTTTCCACCACAGGCCTGAAAGCACTCCAAATGTCCACTTGCAGATTCTGCCAAAACAATATTTCAAAACTGCTCTATGAAAAGCAATGTTAAACTCTGCGGCTCGAACACAAACATCACAAAGCGGTTTCTGAGAATGCTTCAGTTTAGTTTTTCTGTGGAAATATTCCCGTTTCCAAAGAAATCTTCAAAGAGGTCCACGTATCCATTTACAGATTCTACAAAAAGACAGTTTCAAAACTGCTCAATCAAAAGGAGGGTTCAACCGTGTGACTTGAATGCAATCATCAGTCAGAAGTTTCTGAGAATGCTTCTCTTTAGTTTTTACGTGAACATATACCCGTTTCGAACGAAGGCCACCCAGTGGTCCAAATATCCACTTGCAGATTCTACAGAAAGAGTGTTTCGAACCTGAACTCTCAAAGGCAGGTTCATCTCTGCGAGTTCAATGCATTCAACATGAAGAACTTTCTCAGCGTGTTTGTGTTTAGGTATGGGAAATTATTGCCGTTTCCAACGAAATCCTCAGAGAGGTCCAAATATCCACCTGCAGATTCTACCAAAAGTGTATTTGGAAACTGCTCCATCAAAAGGCATGTTCAGCTCTGTGAGTGAAACTCCATCATCACAAAGAATATTCTGAGAATGCTTCCATTTGCCTTTTATATGAAGTTCCTTCCTATACTACCGTAGGCCTCAAAGCAGTCCAAATCTCCATTTGCAGATCCTACAAAAAGAGTGATTCCAATCTGCTCTATCAATAGGATTGTTCAACTCCATGAGTTGAATGCCATCCTCACAAAGTAGTCTCTGAGAATGCTTCTATCTAGTTTTTATGTGAAGATATTTCCTTTTCCACCACAGCCTCAAAGCCCTCCAAACGTCCACTTGCAGATTCTCGAAAAAGAGTGTTTCATAGCTGCTCTTTCAAAAGGAAAGTTCAACTCTGGGTGTTGAATACAAACATCACAAAGTAGTTTCCGAGAATGCTTCTGTTTAGTTCTTATGTGAAGATGATCCCGTTTCCAGTGAAATCTTCAAAGAGGTCCACATATCCCCTTGCAGATTCCAAAGAAAGAGGGTTTCAAAACTGCTCCATCAAAAGGATTGTTCAACTCTGTGAGTTGAATGCAGTCATCGCAGAAAACTTTCTGAGAATGCTTCTGTCTAGGTTTGAGGTGAAGATATAGACGTTTCAAACGAAGGCTACAAAGTGGTCAAAATATACACTTGCAGATTCTACTACAAGGGTGTTGCAAACCTGAACTATCAAAGGAAGGTTCAACTCTGTGAGTTGAATACAAACATCACAAAGAATGTTCTGAGTTTGCTTCCGTTCAGTTATGGGAAGTTGATCCCGTTTCCAACGAAATCCTCAGAGAGGTCCAAATATCCCCTTGCAGATTCTACAAAACGTGTGTTTGGAAACTGCTCCATCATAACGAATGTTCAGCTCTCTGAGTTAAACTCCATCGTCACAAAGAATTTTCTGAGAGTGCTACCGTCTGGTTTTTATATGAAGTTCTTTCCTTTACTACCACAGGCCTCAAAGCGGTCCAAATCTCCACTTGCAGATTCTACAAAAAGAGTGTTTGCAAACTGCTCTATCAAAAGGAATGTTCAACTCTGGGAGTTGAATGCAATCATCACAGAGCAGTTTCTGAGAATGCTTCTATGTCGTTTTTAGGAGAAGATATTTCCTTTTCCAACACAGTCCTCCAAGCCCGCTAAATAGCCACTTGCACATTGTAGAAAAAGTGTGTCGAAGCTGCGCTATCAAAGGGAAAGTTCAACTCTGTGAGGTGAATGCAAACATCCCAAAGAAGTTTCTGAGAATGCTTCCGTTTAGCTTTTAGGTGAAGATTATCCCGTTTCCAACGAAACCTTCAAAGAGGTCCAAATATCCCCTTGCGGATCCCACAGAAAGAGTGTTTCGAAACTGCTGTTTCAAAAGGAATCTTCAACTCTGTGAGTTGAATGCAATCATCACAAAGAAGTTTCTGACAATGCTTCTCTCTCGTCTTTCTGTGAAGATAAAGGAAAAGGCTTTCAGGCCTTTGCCACCACAGGCCTGAAAGCGCTCCAAATGTCCACTTGCAGATTCTGCGAAAAGAATATTTCAAAACTGCTCTATGAAAAGCAATGTTAAACTCTGTGGCTCGAACACAAACATCACAAAGAGGTTTCTGAGAATGCTTCAGTTTAGTTTTTCTGTGGAAATATTCCCGTTTCCAAAGAAATCTTCAAAGAGGTCCACGTATCCACTTACAGATTCTACAAAAAGACAGTTTCAAAACTGCTCCATCAAAAGGAGGGTTCAACTGTGTGACTTGAATGCAATCATCACTCAGAAGTTTCTGAGAATGCTTCTCTTTAGTTTTTACGTGAACATATACCCGTTTCGAACGAAGGCCACCCAGTGGTCCAAATATCCACTTGCAGATTATACAGAAAGAGTGTTTCGAACCTGAACTCTCAAAGGCAGGTTCATCTCTGCGAGTTAAATGCATTCATCATGAAGAACTTTCTCAGAGTGTTTGTGTTTAGTTATGGGAAATTATTCCCGTTTCCAACGAAATCCTCAGAGAGGTCCAAATATCCACCTGCAGATTCTACCAAAAGTGTATTTGGAAACTGCTCCATCAAAAGGCATGTTCAGCTCTGTGAGTGAAACTCCATCATCACAAAGAATATTCTGAGAATGCTTCCGTTTGCCTTTTATATGAAGTTCCTTCCTATACGACCGTAGGCCTCAAAGCAGTCCAAATCTCCATTTGCAGATTCTACAAAAAGAGTGATTCCAATCTGCTCTATCAATAGGATTGTTCAACTCCATGAGTTGAATGCCATCCTCACAAAGTAGTTTCTGAGAATGCTTCTATCTAGTTTTTATGTGAAGATATTTCCTTTTCCACCACAGGCCTCAAAGCCCTCCAAACGTCCACTTGCAGATTCTCGAAAAAGAGTGTTTCATAGCTGCTCTTTCAAAAGGAAAGTTCAACTCTGGGAGTTGAATACAAACATCACAAAGTAGTTTCCGAGAATGCTTCTGTTTAGTTTTTATGTGAAGATGATCCCGTTTCCAGTGAAATCTTCAAAGAGGTCCACATATCCCCTTGCATATTGCAAAGAAAGAGGGTTTCAAAACTGCTCCATCAGAAGGATTGTTCAACTCTGTGAGTTGAATGCAGTCATCGCAGAAAACTTTCTGAGAATGCTTCTGTCTAGGTTTGATGTGAAGATATAGACGTTTCAAACGAAGGCTACAAAGTGGTCAAAATATACACTTGCAGATTCTACTACAAGGGTGTTGCAAACCTGAACTATCAAAGGAAGGTTCAACTCTGTGAGTTGAATACAAACATCACAAAGAATGTTCTGAGTTTGCTTCTGTTCAGTTATGGGATGTTGATCCCGTTTCCAACGAAATCCTCAGAGAGGTCCAAATATCCCCTTGCAGATTCTACAAAACGTGTGTTTGGAAACTGCTCCATCATAACGAATGTTCAGCTCCCTGAGTTAAACTCCATCGTCACAAAGAATTTTCTGAGAGTGCTACCGTCTGGTTTTTATATGAAGTTCTTTCCTTCACTACCACAGGCCTCAAAGCGGTCCAAATCTCCACTTGCAGATTCTACAAAAAGAGTGTTTGCAAACTGCTCTATCAAAAGGAATGTTCAACTCTGGGAGTTGAATGCAATCATCACAGAGCAGTTTCTGAGAATGCTTCTATGTCGTTTTTAGGAGAAGATATTTCCTTTTCCAACACAGTCCTCCAAGCCCGCTAAATAGCCACTTGCACATTGTAGAAAAAGTGTGTCAAAGCTGCGCTATCAAAGGGAAAGTTCAACTCTGTGAGGTGAATGCAAACATCCCAAAGAAGTTTCTGAGAATGCTTCCGTTTAGCTTTTAGGTGAAGATTATCCCGTTTCCAACGAAACCTTCAAAGAGGTCCAAATATCCCCTTGCGGATCCCACAGAAAGAGTGTTTCGAAACTGCTGTTTCAAAAGGAATCTTCAACTCTGTGAGTTGAATGCAATCATCACAAAGAAGTTTCTGACAATGCTTCTCTCTCGTCTTTCTGTGAAGATAAAGGAAAAGGCTTTCAGGCCTTTTCCACCACAGGCCTGAAAGCGCTCCAAATGTCCACTTGCAGATTCTGCGAAAAGAATATTTCAAAACTGATCTATGAAAAGCAATGTTAAACTCTGTGGCTCGAACACAAACATCACAAAGCAGTTTCTGAGAATGCTTCAGTTTAGTTTTTCTGTGGAAATATTCCCGTTTCCAAAGAAATCTTCAAAGAGGTCCACGTATCCACTTACAGATTCTACAAAAAGACAGTTTCAAAACTGCTCCATCAAAAGGAGGGTTCAACTGTGTGACTTGAATGCAATCATCACTCAGAAGTTTCTGAGAATGCTTCTCTTTAGTTTTTACGTGAACATATACCCGTTTCGAACGAAGGCCACCCAGTGGTCCAAATATCCACTTGCAGATTATACAGAAAGAGTGTTTCGAACCTGAACTCTCAAAGGCAGGTTCATCTCTGCGAGTTAAATGCATTCATCATGAAGAACTTTCTCAGAGTGTTTGTGTTTAGTTATGGGAAATTATTCCCGTTTCCAACGAAATCCTCAGAGAGCTCCAAATATCCACCTGCAGATTCTACCAAAAGTGTATTTGGAAACTGCTCCATCAAAAGGCATGTTCAGCTCTGTGAGTGAAACTCCATCATCACAAAGAATATTCTGAGAATGCTTCCGTTTGCCTTTTATATGAAGTTCCTTCCTGTACTACCGTAGGCCTCAAAGCAGTCCAAATCTCCATTTGCAGATTCTATAAAAAGAGTGATTCCAATCTGCTCTATCAATAGGATTGTTCAACTCCATGAGTTGAATGCCATCCTCACAAAGTAGTTTCTGAGAATGCTTCTATCTGGTTTTTGTGTGAAGATATTTCCTTTTCCACCACAGGCCTCAAAGCCCTCCAAACGTCCACTTGCAGATTCTCGAAAAAGAGTGTTTCATAGCTGCTCTTTCAAAAGGAAAGTTCAACTCTGGGAGTTGAATACAAACATCACAAAATAGTTTCCGAGAATGCTTCTGTTTAGTTTTTATGTGAAGATGATCCCGTTTCCAGTGAAATCTTCAAAGAGGTCCACATATCCCCTTGCAGATTCCAAAGAAAGAGGGTTTCAAAACTGCTCCATCAGAAGGATTGTTCAACTCTGTGAGTTGAATGCAGTCATCGCAGAAAACTTTCTGAGAATGCTTCTGTCTAGGTTTGATGTGAAGATATAGACGTTTCAAACGAAGGCTACAAAGTGGTCAAAATATACACTTGCAGATTCTACTACAAGGGTGTTGCAAACCTGAACTATCAAAGGAAGGTTCAACTCTGTGAGTTGAATACAAACATCACAAAGAATGTTCTGAGTTTGCTTCCGTTCAGTTATGGGAAGTTGATCCCGTTTCCAACGAAATCCTCAGAGAGGTCCAAATATCCCCTTGCAGATTCTACAAAACGTGTGTTTGGAAACTGCTCCATCATAACGAATGTTCAGCTCCCTGAGTTAAACTCCATCGTCACAAAGAATTTTCTGAGATTGCTACCGTCTGGTTTTTATATGAAGTTCTTTCCTTCACTACCACAGGCCTCAAAGCGGTCCAAATCTCCACTTGCAGATTCTACAAAAAGAGTGTTTGCAAACTGCTCTATCAAAAGGAATGTTCAACTCTGGGAGTTGAATGCAATCATCACAGAGCAGTTTCTGAGAATGCTTCTATGTCGTTTTTAGGAGAAGATATTTCCTTTTCCAACACAGTCCTCCAAGCCCGCTAAATAGCCACTTGCACATTGTAGAAAAAGTGTGTCAAAGCTGCGCTATCAAAGGGAAAGTTCAACTCTGTGAGGTGAATGCAAACATCCCAAAGAAGTTTCTGAGAATGCTTCCGTTTAGCTTTTAGGTGAAGATTATCCCGTTTCCAACGAAACCTTCAAAGAGGTCCAAATATCCCCTTGCGGATCCCACAGAAAGAGTGTTTCGAAACTGCTGTTTCAAAAGGAATCTTCAACTCTGTGAGTTGAATGCAATCATCACAAAGAAGTTTCTGACAATGCTTCTCTCTCGTCTTTCTGTGAAGATAAAGGAAAAGGCTTTCAGGCCTTTTCCACCACAGGCCTGAAAGCGCTCCAAATGTCCACTTGCAGATTCTGCGAAAAGAATATTTCAAAACTGCTCTATGAAAAGCAATGTTAAACTCTGTGGCTCGAACACAAACATCACAAAGCAGTTTCTGAGAATGCTTCAGTTTAGTTTTTCTGTGGAAATATTCCCGTTTCCAAAGAAATCTTCAAAGAGGTCCACGTATCCACTTACAGATTCTACAAAAAGACAGTTTCAGAACTACTCCATCAAAAGGAGGGTTCAACTATGTGACTTGAATGCAATCATCACTCAGAAGTTTCTGAGAATGCTTCTTTTTAGTTTTTATGTGAACATATACCCGTTTCGAACGAAGGCCACCCAGTGGTCCAAATATCCACTTGCAGATTCTACAGAAAGAGTGTTTCGAACCTGAACTCTCAAAGGCAGGTTCATCTCTGCGAGTTAAATGCATTCATCATGAAGAACTTTCTCAGAGTGTTTGTGTTTAGTTATGGGAAATTATTCCCGTTTCCAACGAAATCCTCAGAGAGCTCCAAATATCCACCTGCAGATTCTACCAAAAGTGTATTTGGAAACTGCTCCATCAAAAGGCATGTTCAGCTCTGTGAGTGAAACTCCATCATCACAAAGAATATTCTGAGAATGCTTCCGTTTGCCTTTTATATGAAGTTCCTTCCTATACTACCGTAGGCCTCAAAGCAGTCCAAATCTCCATTTGCAGATTCTACAAAAAGAGTGATTCCAATCTGCTCTATCAATAGGATTGTTCAACTCCATGAGTTGAATTCCATCCTCACAATGTCGTTTGTGAGAATGCTTCTATCTAGTTTTTATGTGAAGATATTTCCTTTTCCACCACAGGCCTCAAAGCCCTCCAAACGTCCACTTGCAGATTCTCGAAAAAGAGTGTTTCATAGCTGCTCTTTCAAAAGGAAAGTTCAACTCTGGGAGTTGAATACAAACATCCCAAAGTAGTTTCCGAGAATGCTTATATTTAGTTTTTATGTGAAGATGATCCCGTTTCCAGTGAAATCTTCAAAGAGGTCCACATATCCCCTTGCAGATTCCAAAGAAAGAGGGTTTCAAAACTGCTCCATCAGAAGGATTGTTCAACTCTGTGAGTTGAATGCAGTCATCGCAGAAAACTTTCTAAGAATGCTTCTGTCTAGGTTTGATGTGAAGATATAGACGTTTCAAACGAAGGCTACAAAGTGGTCAAAATATACACTTGCAGATTCTACTACAAGGGTGTTGCAAACCTGAACTATCAAAGGAAGGTTCAACTCTGTGAGTTGAATACAAACATCACAAAGAATGTTCTGAGTTTGCTTCCGTTCAGTTATGGGAAGTTGATCCCGTTTCCAACGAAATCCTCAGAGAGGTCCAAATATCCCCTTGCAGATTCTACAAAACGTGTGTTTGGAAACTGCTCCATCATAACGAATGTTCAGCTCCCTGAGTTAAACTCCATCGTCACAAAGAATTTTCTGAGAGTGCTACCGTCTGGTTTTTATATGAAGTTCTTTCCTTCACTACCACAGGCCTCAAAGCGGTCCAAATCTCCACTTGCAGATTCTACAAAAAGAGTGTTTGCAAACTGCTCTATCAAAAGGAATGTTCAACTCTGGGAGTTGAATGCAATCATCACAGAGCAGTTTCTGAGAATGCTTCTATGTCGTTTTTAGGAGAAGATATTTCCTTTTCCAACACAGTCCTCCAAGCCCGCTAAATAGCCACTTGCACATTGTAGAAAAAGTGTGTCAAAGCTGCGCTATCAAAGGGAAAGTTCAACTCTGTGAGGTGAATGCAAACATCCCAAAGAAGTTTCTGAGAATGCTTCCGTTTAGCTTTTAGGTGAAGATTATCCCGTTTCCAACGAAACCTTCAAAGAGGTCCAAATATCCCCTTGTGGATCCCACAGAAAGAGTGTTTCGAAACTGCTGTTTCAAAAGGAATCTTCAACTCTGTGAGTTGAATGCAATCATCACAAAGAAGTTTCTGACAATGCTTCTCTCTCGTCTTTCTGTGAAGATAAAGGAAAAGGCTTTCAGGCCTTTTCCACCACAGGCCTGAAAGCGCTCCAAATGTCCACTTGCAGATTCTGCCAAAAGAATATTTCAAAACTGCTCTATGAAAAGCAATGTTAAACTCTGTGGCTCGAACACAAACATCACAAAGCAGTTTCTGAGAATGCTTCAGTTTAGTTTTTCTGTGGAAATATTCCCGTTTCCAAAGAAATCTTCAAAGAGGTCCACGTATCCACTTACAGATTCTACAAAAAGACAGTTTCAAAACTGCTCCATCAAAAGGAGGGTTCAACTGTGTGACTTGAATGCAATCATCACTCAGAAGTTTCTGAGAATGCTTCTCTTTAGTTTTTACGTGAACATATACCCGTTTCGAACGAAGGCCAGCCAGTGGTCCAAATATCCACTTGCAGATTCTACAGAAAGAGTGTTTCGAACCTGAACTCTCAAAGGCAGGTTCATCTCTGCGAGTTCAATGCATTCATCATGAAGAACGTTCTCAGCGTGTTTGTGTTTAGTTATGGGAAATTATTCCCTTTTCCAACGAAATCCTCAGAGAGCTCCAAATATCCACCTGCAGATTCTACCAAAAGTGTATTTGGAAACTGCTCCATCAAAAGGCATGTTCAGCTCTGTGAGTGAAACTCCATCATCACAAAGAATATTCTGAGAATGCTTCCGTTTGCCTTTTATATGAAGTTCCTTCCTATACTACCGTAGGCCTCAAAGCAGTCCAAATCTCCATTTGCAGATTCTACAAAAAGAGTGATTCCAATCTGCTCTATCAATAGGATTGTTCAACTCCATGAGTTGAATGCCATCCTCACAAAGTCGTTTCTGAGAATGCTTCTATCTAGTTTTTATGTGAAGATATTTCCTTTTCCACCACAGGCCTCAAAGCCCTCCAAACGTCCACTTGCAGATTCTCGAAAAAGAGTGTTTCATAGCTGCTCTTTCAAAAGGAAAGTTCAACTCTGGGAGTTGAATACAAACATCACAAAGTAGTTTCCGAGAATGCTTCTGTTTAGTTTTTATGTGAAGATGATCCCGTTTCCAGTGAAATCTTCAAAGAGGTCCACATATCCCCTTGCAGATTCCAAAGAAAGAGGGTTTCAAAACTGCTCCATCAGAAGGATTGTTCAACTCTGTGAGTTGAATGCAGTCATCGCAGAAAACTTTCTGAGAATGCTTCTGTCTAGGTTTGATGTGAAGATATAGACGTTTCAAACGAAGGCTACAAAGTGGTCAAAATATACACTTGCAGATTCTACTACAAGGGTGTTGCAAACCTGAACTATCAAAGGAAGGTTCAACTCTGTGAGTTGAATACAAACATCACAAAGAATGTTCTGAGTTTGCTTCCGTTCAGTTATGGGAAGTTGATCCCGTTTCCAACGAAATCCTCAGAGAGGTCCAAATATCCCCTTGCAGATTCTACAAAACGTGTGTTTGGAAACTGCTCCATCATAACGAATGTTCAGCTCCCTGAGTTAAACTCCATCGTCACAAAGAATTTTCTGAGAGTGCTACCGTCTGGTTTTTATATGAAGCTCTTTCCTTCACTACCACAGGCCTCAAAGCGGTCCAAATCTCCACTTGCAGATTCTACAAAAAGAGTGTTTGCAAACTGCTCTATCAAAAGGAATGTTCAACTCTGGGAGTTGAATGCAATCATCACAGAGCAGTTTCTGAGAATGCTTCTATGTCGTTTTTAGGAGAAGATATTTCCTTTTCCAACACAGTCCTCCAAGCCAGCTAAATAGCCACTTGCACATTGTAGAAAAAGTGTGTCAAAGCTGCGCTATCAAAGGGAAAGTTCAACTCTGTGAGGTGAATGCAAACATCCCAAAGAAGTTTCTGAGAATGCTTCCGTTTAGCTTTTAGGTGAAGATTATCCCGTTTCCAACGAAACCTTCAAAGAGGTCCAAATATCCCCTTGCGGATCCCACAGAAAGAGTGTTTCGAAACTGCTGTTTCAAAAGGAATCTTCAACTCTGTGAGTTGAATGCAATCATCGCAAAGAAGTTTCTGACAATGCTTCTCTCTCGTCTTTCTGTGAAGATAAAGGAAAAGGCTTTCAGGCCTTTTCCACCACAGGCCTGAAAGCGCTCCAAATGTCCACTTGCAGATTCTGCGAAAAGAATATTTCAAATCTGCTCTATGAAAAGCAATGTTAAACTCTGTGGCTCGAACACAAACATCACAAAGCGGTTTCTGAGAATGCTTCAGTTTAGTTTTTCTGTGGAAATATTCCCGTTTCCAAAGAAATCTTCAAAGAGGTCCACGTATCCACTTACAGATTCTACAAAAAGACAGTTTCAAAACTGCTCCATCAAAAGGAGGGTTCAACTGTGTGACTTGAATGCAATCATCACTCAGAAGTTTCTGAGAATGCTTCTCTTTAGTTTTTACGTGAACATATACCCGTTTCGAACGAAGGCCACCCAGTGGTCCAAATATCCACTTGCAGATTATACAGAAAGAGTGTTTCGAACCTGAACTCTCAAAGGCAGGTTCATCTCTGCGAGTTAAATGCATTCATCATGAAGAACTTTCTCAGAGTGTTTGTGTTTAGTTATGGGAAATTATTCCCGTTTCCAACGAAATCCTCAGAGAGCTCCAAATATCCACCTGCAGATTCTACCAAAAGTGTATTTGGAAACTGCTCCATCAAAAGGCATGTTCAGCTCTGTGAGTGAAACTCCATCATCACAAAGAATATTCTGAGAATGCTTCCGTTTGCCTTTTATATGAAGTTCCTTCCTGTACTACCGTAGGCCTCAAAGCAGTCCAAATCTCCATTTGCAGATTCTACAAAAAGAGTGATTCCAATCTGCTCTATCAATAGGATTGTTCAACTCCATGAGTTGAATGCCATCCTCACAAAGCAGTTTCTGAGAATGCTTCTATCTGGTTTTTGTGTGAAGATATTTCCTTTTCCACCACAGGCCTCAAAGCCCTCTAAACGTCCACTTGCAGATTCTCGAAAAAGAGTGTTTCATAGCTGCTCTTTCAAAAGGAAAGTTCAACTCTGGGAGTTGAATACAAACATCACAAAATAGTTTCCGAGAATGCTTCTGTTTAGTTTTTATGTGAAGATGATCCCGTTTCCAGTGAAATCTTCAAAGAGGTCCACATATCCCCTTGCAGATTCCAAAGAAAGAGGGTTTCAAAACTGCTCCATCAGAAGGATTGTTCAACTCTGTGAGTTGAATGCAGTCATCGCAGAAAACTTTCTGAGAATGCTTCTGTCTAGGTTTGATGTGAAGATATAGACGTTTCAAACGAAGGCTACAAAGTGGTCAAAATATACACTTGCAGATTCTACTACAAGGGTGTTGCAAACCTGAACTATCAAAGGAAGGTTCAACTCTGTGAGTTGAATACAAACATCACAAAGAATGTTCTGAGTTTGCTTCCGTTCAGTTATGGGAAGTTGATCCCGTTTCCAACGAAATCCTCAGAGAGGTCCAAATATCCCCTCGCAGATTCTACAAAACGTGTGTTTGGAAACTGCTCCATCATAACGAATGTTCAGCTCCCTGAGTTAAACTCCATCGTCACAAAGAATTTTCTGAGAGTGCTACCGTCTGGTTTTTATATGAAGTTCTTTCCTTCACTACCACAGGCCTCAAAGCGGTCCAAATCTCCACTTGCAGATTCTACAAAAAGAGTGTTTGCAAACTGCTCTATCAAAAGGAATGTTCAACTCTGGGAGTTGAATGCAATCATCACAGAGCAGTTTCTGAGAATGCTTCTATGTCGTTTTTAGGAGAAGATATTTCCTTTTCCAACACAGTCCTCCAAGCCCGCTAAATAGCCACTTGCACATTGTAGAAAAAGTGTGTCGAAGCTGCGCTATCAAAGGGAAAGTTCAACTCTGTGAGGTGAATGCAAACATCCCAAAGAAGTTTCTGAGAATGCTTCCGTTTAGCTTTTAGGTGAAGATTATCCCGTTTCCAACGAAACCTTCAAAGAGGTCCAAATATCCCCTTGCGGATCCCACAGAAAGAGTGTTTCGAAACTGCTGTTTCAAAAGGAATCTTCAACTCTGTGAGTTGAATGCAATCATCACAAAGAAGTTTCTGACAATGCTTCCCTCTCGTCTTTCTGTGAAGATAAAGGAAAAGGCTTTCAGGCCTTTTCCACCACAGGCCTGAAAGCGCTCCAAATGTCCACTTGCAGATTCTGCCAAAAGAATATTTCAAAACTGCTCTATGAAAAGCAATGTTAAACTCTGTGGCTCGAACACAAACATCACAAAGCAGTTTCTGAGAATGCTTCAGTTTAGTTTTTCTGTGGAAATATTCCCGTTTCCAAAGAAATCTTCAAAGAGGTCCACGTATCCACTTACAGATTCTACAAAAAGACAGTTTCAAAACTGCTCCATCAAAAGGAGGGTTCAACTGTGTGACTTGAATGCAATCATCACTCAGAAGTTTCTGAGAATGCTTCTCTTTAGTTTTTACGTGAACATATACCCGTTTCGAACGAAGGCCAGCCAGTGGTCCAAATATCCACTTGCAGATTCTACAGAAAGAGTGTTTCGAACATGAACTCTCAAAGGCAGGTTCATCTCTGCGAGTTAAATGCATTCATCATGAAGAACTTTCTCAGAGTGTTTGTGTTTAGTTATGGGAAATTATTCCCGTTTCCAACGAAAGCCTCAGAGAGCTCCAAATATCCACCTGCAGATTCTACCAAAAGTGTATTTGGAAACTGCTCCATCAAAAGGCATGTTCAGCTCTGTGAGTGAAACTCCATCATCACAAAGAATATTCTGAGAATGCTTCCGTTTGCCTTTTATATGAACTTCCTTCCTGTACTACCGTAGGCCTCAAAGCAGTCCAAATCTCCATTTGCAGATTCTACAAAAAGAGTGATTCCAATCTGCTCTATCAATAGGATTGTTCAACTCCATGAGTTGAATGCCATCCTCACAATGTCGTTTCTGAGAATGCTTCTATCTAGTTTTTATGTGAAGATATTTCCTTTTCCACCACAGGCCTCAAAGCCCTCCAAACGTCCACTTTCAGATTCTCGAAAAAGAGTGTTTCATAGCTGCTCTTTCAAAAGGAAAGTTCAACTCTGGGAGTTGAATACAAACATCACAAAGTAGTTTCCGAGAATGCTTCTGTTTAGTTTTTATGTGAAGATGATCCCGTTTCCAGTGAAATCTTCAAAGAGGTCCACATATCGCCTTGCAGATTCCAAAGAAAGAGGGTTTCAAAACTGCTCCATCAGAAGGATTGTTCAACTCTGTGAGTTGAATGCAGTCATCGCAGAAAACTTTCTGAGAATGCTTCTGTCTAGGTTTGATGTGAAGATATAGACGTTTCAAACGAAGGCTACAACGTGGTCAAAATATACACTTGCAGATTCTACTACAAGGGTGTTGGAAACCTGAAGTATCAAAGGATGGTTCAACTCTGTGAGTTGAATACAAACATCACAAAGAATGTTCTGAGTTTGCTTCCGTTCAGTTATGGGAAGTTGATCCCGTTTCCAACGAAATCCTCAGAGAGGTCCAAATATCCCCTCGCAGATTCTACAAAACGTTTGTTTGGAAACTGCTCCATCATAACGAATGTTCAGCTCCCTGAGTTAAACTCCATCGTCACAAAGAATTTTCTGAGAGTGCTACCGTCTGGTTTTTATATGAAGTTCTTTCCTTCACTACCACAGGCCTCAAAGCGGTCCAAATCCCCACTTGCAGATTCTACAAAAAGAGTGTTTGCAAACTGCTCTATCAAAAGGAATGTTCAACTCTGGGAGTTGAATGCAATCATCACAGAGCAGTTTCTGAGAATGCTTCTATGTCGTTTTTAGGAGAAGATATTTCCTTTTCCAACACAGTCCTCCAAGCCCGCTAAATAGCCACTTGCACATTGTAGAAAAAGTGTGTCAAAGCTGCGCTATCAAAGGGAAAGTTCAACTCTGTGAGGTGAATGCAAACATCCCAAAGAAGTTTCTGAGAATGCTTCCGTTTAGCTTTTAGGTGAAGATTATCCCGTTTCCAACGAAACCTTCAAAGAGGTCCAAATATCCCCTTGCGGATCCCACAGAAAGAGTGTTTCGAAACTGCTGTTTCAAAAGGAATCTTCAACTCTGTGAGTTGAATGCAATCATCACAAAGAAGTTTCTGACAATGCTTCTCTCTCGTCTTTCTGTGAAGATAAAGGAAAAGGCTTTCAGGCCTTTTCCACCACAGGCCTGAAAGCGCTCCAAATGTCCACTTGCAGATTCTGCCAAAAGAATATTTCAAAACTGCTCTATGAAAAGCAATGTTAAACTCTGTGGCTGGAACACAAACATCACAAAGCGGTTTCTGAGAATGTTTCAGTTTAGTTTTTCTGTGGAAATATTCCCGTTTCCAAAGAAATCTTCAAAGAGGTCCACGTATCCACTTACAGATTCTACAAAAAGACAGTTTCAAAACTGCTCCATCAAAAGGAGGGTTCAACTGTGTGACTTGAATGCAATCATCACTCAGAAGTTTCTGAGAATGCTTCTCTTTAGTTTTTACGTGAACATATACCCGTTTCGAACGAAGGCCACCCAGTGGTCCAAATATCCACTTGCAGATTATACAGAAAGAGTGTTTCGAACCTGAACTCTCAAAGGCAGGTTCATCTCTGCGAGTTAAATGCATTCATCATGAAGAACTTTCTCAGAGTGTTTGTGTTTAGTTATGGGAAATTATTCCCGTTTCCAACGAAATCCTCAGAGAGCTCCAAATATCCACCTGCAGATTCTACCAAAAGTGTATTTGGAAACTGCTCCATCAAAAGGCATGTTCAGCTCTGTGAGTGAAACTCCATCATCACAAAGAATATTCTGAGAATGCTTCCGTTTGCCTTTTATATGAAGTTCCTTCCTATACGACCGTAGGCCTCAAAGCAGTCCAAATCTCCATTTGCAGATTCTACAAAAAGAGTGATTCCAATCTGCTCTATCAATAGGATTGTTCAACTCCATGAGTTGAATGCCATCCTCACAAAGTCGTTTCTGAGAATGCTTCTATCTAGTTTTTATGTGAAGATATTTCCTTTTCCACCACAGGCCTCAAAGCCCTCCAAACGTCCACTTGCAGATTCTCGAAAAAGAGTGTTTCATAGCTGCTCTTTCAAAAGGAAAGTTCAACTCTGGGAGTTGAATACAAACATCACAAAGTAGTTTCCGAGAATGCTTCTGTTTAGTTTTTATGTGAAGATGATCCCGTTTCCAGTGAAATCTTCAAAGAGGTCCACATATCCCCTTGCAGATTCCAAAGAAAGAGGGTTTCAAAACTGCTCCATCAGAAGGATTGTTCAACTCTGTGAGTTGAATGCAGTCATCGCAGAAAACTTTCTGAGAATGCTTCTGTCTAGGTTTGATGTGAAGATATAGACGTTTCAAACGAAGGCTACAAAGTGGTCAAAATATACACTTGCAGATTCTACTACAAGGGTGTTGCAAACCTGAACTATCAAAGGAAGGTTCAACTCTGTGAGTTGAATACAAACATCACAAAGAATGTTCTGAGTTTGCTTCCGTTCAGTTATGGGAAGTTGATCCCGTTTCCAACGAAATCCTCAGAGAGGTCCAAATATCCCCTCGCAGATTCTACAAAACGTGTGTTTGGAAACTGCTCCATCATAACGAATGTTCAGCTCCCTGAGTTAAACTCCATCGTCACAAAGAATTTTCTGAGAGTGCTACCGTCTGGTTTTTATATGAAGTTCTTTCCTTCACTACCACAGGCCTCAAAGCGGTCCAAATCTCCACTTGCAGATTCTACAAAAAGAGTGTTTGCAAACTGCTCTATCAAAAGGAATGTTCAACTCTGGGAGTTGAATGCAATCATCACAGAGCAGTTTCTGAGAATGCTTCTATGTCGTTTTTAGGAGAAGATATTTCCTTTTCCAACACAGTCCTCCAAGCCCGCTAAATAGCCACTTGCACATTGTAGAAAAAGTGTGTCAAAGCTGCGCTATCAAAGGGAAAGTTCAACTCTGTGAGGTGAATGCAAACATCCCAAAGAAGTTTCTGAGAATGCTTCCGTTTAGCTTTTAGGTGAAGATTATCCCGTTTCCAACGAAACCTTCAAAGAGGTCCAAATATCCCCTTGCGGATCCCACAGAAAGAGTGTTTCGAAACTGCTGTTTCAAAAGGAATCTTCAACTCTGTGAGTTGAATGCAATCATCACAAAGAAGTTTCTGACAATGCTTCTCTCTCGTCTTTCTGTGAAGATAAAGGAAAAGGCTTTCAGGCCTTTGCCACCACAGGCCTGAAAGCGCTCCAAATGTCCACTTGCAGATTCTGCCAAAAGAATATTTCAAAACTGCTCTATGAAAAGCAATGTTAAACTCTGTGGCTCGAACACAAACATCACAAAGCAGTTTCTGAGAATGCTTCAGTTTAGTTTTTCTGTGGAAATATTCCCGTTTCCAAAGAAATCTTCAAAGAGGTCCACGCATCCACTTACAGATTCTACAAAAAGACAGTTTCAAAACTGCTCCATCAAAAGGAGGGTTCAACTGTGTGACTTGAATGCAATCATCACTCAGAAGTTTCTGAGAATGCTTCTCTTTAGTTTTTACGTGAACATATACCCGTTTCGAACGAAGGCCACCCAGTGGTCCAAATATCCACTTGCAGATTATACAGAAAGAGTGTTTCGAACCTGAACTCTCAAAGGCAGGTTCATCTCTGCGAGTTAAATGCATTCATCATGAAGAACTTTCTCAGAGTGTTTGTGTTTAGTTATGGGGAATTGTTCCCGTTTCCAACGAAATCCTCAGAGAGCTCCAAATATCCACCTGCAGATTCTACCAAAAGTGTATTTGGAAACTGCTCCATCAAAAGGCATGTTCAGCTCTGTGAGTGAAACTCCATCATCACAAAGAATATTCTGAGAATGCTTCCGTTTGCCTTTTATATGAAGTTCCTTCCTGTACTACCGTAGGCCTCAAAGCAGTCCAAATCTCCATTTGCAGATTCTATAAAAAGAGTGATTCCAATCTGCTCTATCAATAGGATTGTTCAACTCCATGATTTGAATGCCATCCTCACAAAGTAGTTTCTGAGAATGCTTCTATCTGGTTTTTGTGTGAAGATATTTCCTTTTCCACCACAGGCCTCAAAGCCCTCCAAACGTCCACTTGCAGATTCTCGAAAAAGAGTGTTTCATAGCTGCTCTTTCAAAAGGAAAGTTCAACTCTGGGAGTTGAATACAAACATCACAAAATAGTTTCCGAGAATGCTTCTGTTTAGTTTTTATGTGAAGATGATCCCGTTTCCAGTGAAATCTTCAAAGAGGTCCACATATCCCCTTGCAGATTCCAAAGAAAGAGGGTTTCAAAACTGCTCCATCAGAAGGATTGTTCAACTCTGTGAGTTGAATGCAGTCATCGCAGAAAACTTTCTGAGAATGCTTCTTTCTAGGTTTGATGTGAAGATATAGACGTTTCAAACGAAGGCTACAAAGTGGTCAAAATATACACTTGCAGATTCTACTACAAGGGTGTTGCAAACCTGAACTATCAAAGGAAGGTTCAACTCTGTGAGTTGAATACAAACATCACAAAGAATGTTCTGAGTTTGCTTCCGTTCAGTTATGGGAAGTTGATCCCGTTTCCAACGAAATCCTCAGAGAGGTCCAAATATCCCCTCGCAGATTCTACAAAACGTGTGTTTGGAAACTGCTCCATCATAACGAATGTTCAGCTCCCTGAGTTAAACTCCATCGTCACAAAGAATTTTGTGAGAGTGCTACCGTCTGGTTTTTATATGAAGTTCTTTCCTTCACTACCACAGGCCTCAAAGCGGTCCAAATCTCCACTTGCAGATTCTACAAAAAGAGTGTTTGCAAACTGCTCTATCAAAAGGAATGTTCAACTCTGGGAGTTGAATGCAATCATTACAGAGCAGTTTCTGAGAATGCTTCTATGTCGTTTTTAGGAGAAGATATTTCCTTTTCCAACACAGTCCTCCTAGCCCGCTAAATAGCCACTTGCACATTGTAGAAAAAGTGTGTCAAAGCTGCGCTATCAAAGGGAAAGTTCAACTCTGTGAGGTGAATGCAAACATCCCAAAGAAGTTTCTGAGAATGCTTCCGTTTAGCTTTTAGGTGAAGATTATCCCGTTTCCAACGAAACCTTCAAAGAGGTCCAAATATCCCCTTGCGGATCCCACAGAAAGAGTGTTTCGAAACTGCTGTTTCAAAAGGAATCTTCAACTCTGTGAGTTGAATGCAATCATCACAAAGAAGTTTCTGACAATGCTTCTCTCTCGTCTTTCTGTGAAGATAAAGGAAAAGGCTTTCAGGCCTTTTCCACCACAGGCCTGAAAGCGCTCCAAATGTCCACTTGCAGATTCTGTGAAAAGAATATTGCAAAACTGCTCTATGAAAAGCAATGTTAAACTCTGTGGCTCGAACACAAACATCACAAAGCAGTTTCTGAGAATGCTTCAGTTTAGTTTTTCCGTGGAAATATTCCCGTTTCCAAAGAAATCTTCAAAGAGGTCCACGTATCCACTTACAGATTCTACAAAAAGACAGTTTCAAAACTGCTCCATCAAAAGGAGGGTTCAACTGTGTGACTTGAATGCAATCATCACTCAGAAGTTTCTGAGAATGCTTCTCTTTAGTTTTTACGTGAACATATACCCGTTTCGAACGAAGGCCACCCAGTGGTCCAAATATCCACTTGCAGATTCTACAGAAAGAGTGTTTCGAACCTGAACTCTCAAAGGCAGGTTCATCTCTGCGAGTTAAATGCATTCATCATGAAGAACTTTCTCAGAGTGTTTGTGTTTAGTTATGGGAAATTATTCCCGTTTCCAACGAAATCCTCAGAGAGCTCCAAATATCCACCTGCAGATTCTACCAAAAGTGTATTTGGAAACTGCTCCATCAAAAGGCATGTTCAGCTCTGTGAGTGAAACTCCATCATCACAAAGAATATTCTGAGAATGCTTCCGTTTGCCTTTTATATGAAGTTCCTTCCTATACGACCGTAGGCCTCAAAGCAGTCCAAATCTCCATTTGCAGATTCTACAAAAAGAGTGATTCCAATCTGCTCTATCAATAGGATTGTTCAACTCCATGAGTTGAATGCCATCCTCACAAAGTCGTTTCTGAGAATGCTTCTATCTAGTTTTTATGTGAAGATATTTCCTTTTCCACCACAGGCCTCAAAGCCCTCCAAACGTCCACTTGCAGATTCTCGAAAAAGAGTGTTTTATAGCTGCTCTTTCAAAAGGAAAGTTCAACTCTGGGAGTTGAATACAAACATCACAAAGTAGTTTCCGAGAATGCTTCTGTTTAGTTTTTATGTGAAGATGATCCCGTTTCCAGTGAAATCTTCAAAGAGGTCCACATATCCCCTTGCAGATTCCAAAGAAAGAGGGTTTCAAAACTGCTCCATCAGAAGGATTGTTCAACTCTGTGAGTTGAATGCAGTCATCGCAGAAAACTTTCTGAGAATGCTTCTGTCTAGGTTTGATGTGAAGATATAGATGTTTCAAACGAAGGCTACAAAGTGGTCAAAATATACACTTGCAGATTCTACTACAAGGGTGTTGCAAACCTGAACTATCAAAGGAAGGTTCAACTCTGTGAGTTGAATACAAACATCACAAAGAATGTTCTGAGTTTGCTTCCGTTCAGTTATGGGAAGTTGATCCCGTTTCCAACGAAATCCTCAGAGAGGTCCAAATATCCCCTTGCAGATTCTACAAAACGTGTGTTTGGAAACTGCTCCATCATAACGAATGTTCAGCTCCCTGAGTTAAACTCCATCGTCACAAAGAATTTTCTGAGAGTGCTACCGTCTGGTTTTTATATGAAGTTCTTTCCTTCACTACCACAGGCCTCAAAGCGGTCCAAATCTCCACTTGCAGATTCTACAAAAAGAGTGTTTGCAAACTGCTCTATCAAAAGGAATGTTCAACTCTGGGAGTTGAATGCAATCATCACAGAGCAGTTTCTGAGAATGCTTCTATGTCGTTTTTAGAAGATATTTCCTTTTCCAACACAGTCCTCCAAGCCCGCTAAATAGCCACTTGCACATTGTAGAAAAAGTGTGTCAAAGCTGCGCTATCAAAGGGAAAGTTCAACTCTGTGAGGTGAATGCAAACATCCCAAAGAAGTTTCTGAGAATGCTTCCATTTAGCTTTTAGGTGAAGATTATCCCGTTTCCAACGAAACCTTCAAAGAGGTCCAAATATCCCCTTGCGGATCCCACAGAAAGAGTGTTTCGAAACTGCTGTTTCAAAAGGAATCTTCAACTCTGTGAGTTGAATGCAATCATCACAAAGAAGTTTCTGACAATGCTTCTCTCTCGTCTTTCTGTGAAGATAAAGGAAAAGGCTTTCAGGCCTTTTCCACCACAGGCCTGAAAGCGCTCCAAATGTCCACTTGCAGATTCTGCCAAAAGAATATTTCAAAACTGCTCTATGAAAAGCAATGTTAAACTCTGCGGCTCGAACACAAACATCACAAAGCGGTTTCTGAGAATGCTTCAGTTTAGTTTTTCTGTGGAAATATTCCCGTTTCCAAAGAAATCTTCAAAGAGGTCCACGTATCCACTTACAGATTCTACAAAAAGACAGTTTCAAAACTGCTCCATCAAAAGGAGGGTTCAACCGTGTGACTTGAATGCAATCATCACTCAGAAGTTTCTGAGAATGCTTCTCTTTAGTTTTTACGTGAACATATACCCGTTTCGAACGAAGGCCACCCAGTGGTCCAAATATCCACTTGCAGATTCTACAGAAAGAGTGTTTCGAACCTGAACTCTCAAAGGCAGGTTCATCTCTGCGAGTTAAATGCATTCATCATGAAGAACTTTCTCAGCGTGTTTGTGTTTAGGTATGGGAAATTATTCCCGTTTCCAACGAAATCCTCAAAGAGCTCCAAATATCCACCTGCAGATTCTACCAAAAGTGTATTTGGAAACTGCTCCATCAAAAGGCATGTTCAGCTCTGTGAGTGAAACTCCATCATCACAAAGAATATTCTGAGAATGCTTCCGTTTGCCTGTTATATGAAGTTCCTTCCTATACGACCGTAGGCCTCAAAGCAGTCCAAATCTCCATTTGCAGATTCTACAAAAAGAGTGATTCCAATCTGCTCTATCAATAGGATTGTTCAACTCCATGAGTTGAATGCCATCTTCCAAAGTAGTTTCTGAGAATGCTTCTATCTAGTTTTTATGTGAAGATATTTCCTTTTCCACCACAGGCCTCAAAGCCCTCCAAACGTCCACTTGCAGATTCTCGAAAAAGAGTGTTTCATAGCTGCTCTTTCAAAAGGAAAGTTCAACTCTGGGAGTTGAATACAAACATCACAAAGTAGTTTCCGAGAATGCTTCTGTTTAGTTTTTATGTGAAGATGATCCCGTTTCCAGTGAAATCTTCAAAGAGGTCCACATATCCCCTTGCAGATTCCAAAGAAAGAGGGTTTCAAAACTGCTCCATCAGAAGGATTGTTCAACTCTGTGAGTTGAATGCAGTCATCGCAGAAAACTTTCTGAGAATGCTTCTGTCTAGGTTTGATGTGAAGATATAGACGTTTCAAACGAAGGCTACAAAGTGGTCAAAATATACACTTGCAGATTCTACTACAAGGGTGTTGCAAACCTGAACTATCAAAGGAAGGTTCAACTCTGTGAGTTGAATACAAACATCACAAAGAATGTTCTGAGTTTGCTTCCGTTCAGTTATGGGAAGTTGATCCCGTTTCCAACGAAATCCTCAGAGAGGTCCAAATATCCCCTTGCAGATTCTACAAAACGTGTGTTTGGAAACTGCTCCATCATAACGAATGTTCAGCTCCCTGAGTTAAACTCCATCGTCACAAAGAATTTTCTGAGAGTGCTACCGTCTGGTTTTTATATGAAGTTCTTTCCTTCACTACCACTGGCCTCAAAGCGGTCCAAATCTCCACTTGCAGATTCTACAAAAAGAGTGTTTGCAAACTGCTCTATCAAAAGGAATGTTCAACTCTGGGAGTTGAATGCAATCATCACAGAGCAGTTTCTGAGAATGCTTCTATGTCGTTTTTAGGAGAAGATATTTCCTTTTCCAACACAGTCCTCCAAGCCCGCTAAATAGCCACTTGCACATTGTAGAAAAAGTGTGTCAAAGCTGCGCTATCAAAGGGAAAGTTCAACTCTGTGAGGTGAATGCAAACATCCCAAAGAAGTTTCTGAGAATGCTTCCGTTTAGCTTTTAGGTGAAGATTATCCCGTTTCCAACGAAACCTTCAAAGAGGTCCAAATATCCCCTTGCGGATCCCACAGAAAGAGTGTTTCGAAACTGCTGTTTCAAAAGGAATCTTCAACTCTGTGAGTTGAATGCAATCATCACAAAGAAGTTTCTGACAATGCTTCTCTCTCGTCTTTCTGTGAAGATAAAGGAAAAGGCTTTCAGGCCTTTTCCACCACAGGCCTGAAAGCGCTCCAAATGTCCACTTGCAGATTCTGCCAAAAGAATATTTCAAAACTGCTCTATGAAAAGCAATGTTAAACTCTGTGGCTCGAACACAAACATCACAAAGCGGTTTCTGAGAATGCTTCAGTTTAGTTTTTCTGTGGAAATATTCCCGTTTCCAAAGAAATCTTCAAAGAGGTCCACGTATCCACTTACAGATTCTACAAAAAGACAGTTTCAAAACTGCTCCATCAAAAGGAGGGTTCAACTGTGTGACTTGAATGCAATCATCACTCACAAGTTTCTGAGAATGCTTCTCTTTAGTTTTTACGTGAACATATACCCGTTTCGAACGAAGGCCACCCAGTGGTCCAAATATCCACTTGCAGATTCTACAGAAAGAGTGTTTCGAACCTGAACTCTCAAAGGCAGGTTCATCTCTGCGAGTTAAATGCATTCATCATGAAGAACTTTCTCAGAGTGTTTGTGTTTAGTTATGGGAAATTATTCCCGTTTCCAACGAAATCCTCAGAGAGCTCCAAATATCCACCTGCAGATTCTACCAAAAGTGTATTTGGAAACTGCTCCATCAAAAGGCATGTTCAGCTCTGTGAGTGAAACTCCATCATCACAAAGAATATTCTGAGAATGCTTCCGTTTGCCTTTTATATGAAGTTCCTTCCTGTACTACCGTAGGCCTCAAAGCAGTCCAAATCTCCATTTGCAGATTCTATAAAAAGAGTGATTCCAATCTGCTCTATCAATAGGATTGTTCAACTCCATGAGTTGAATGCCATCCTCACAAAGTAGTTTCTGAGAATGCTTCTATCTGGTTTTTGTGTGAAGATATTTCCTTTTCCACCACAGGCCTCAAAGCCCTCCAAACGTCCACTTGCAGATTCTCGAAAAAGAGTGTTTCATAGCTGCTCTTTCAAAAGGAAAGTTCAACTCTGGGAGTTGAATACAAACATCACAAAATAGTTTCCGAGAATGCTTCTGTTTAGTTTTTATGTGAAGATGATCCCGTTTCCAGTGAAATCTTCAAAGAGGTCCACATATCCCCTTGCAGATTCCAAAGAAAGAGGGTTTCAAAACTGCTCCATCAGAAGGATTGTTCAACTCTGTGAGTTGAATGCAGTCATCGCAGAAAACTTTCTGAGAATGCTTCTTTCTAGGTTTGATGTGAAGATATAGACGTTTCAAACGAAGGCTACAAAGTGGTCAAAATATACACTTGCAGATTCTACTACAAGGGTGTTGCAAACCTGAACTATCAAAGGAAGGTTCAACTCTGTGAGTTGAATACAAACATCACAAAGAATGTTCTGAGTTTGCTTCCGTTCAGTTATGGGAAGTTGATCCCGTTTCCAACGAAATCCTCAGAGAGGTCCAAATATCCCCTTGCAGATTCTACAAAACGTGTGTTTGGAAACTGCTCCATCATAACGAATGTTCAGCTCCCTGAGTTAAACTCCATCGTCACAAAGAATTTTCTGAGAGTGCTACCGTCTGGTTTTTATATGAAGTTCTTTCCTTCACTACCACAGGCCTCAAAGCGGTCCAAATCTCCACTTGCAGATTCTACAAAAAGAGTGTGTGCAAACTGCTCTATCAAAAGGAATGTTCAACTCTGGGAGTTGAATGCAATCATCACAGAGCAGTTTCTGAGAATGCTTCTATGTCGTTTTTAGGAGAAGATATTTCCTTTTCCAACACAGTCCTCCAAGCCCGCTAAATAGCCACTTGCACATTGTAGAAAAAGTGTGTCAAAGCTGCGCTATCAAAGGGAAAGTTCAACTCTGTGAGGTGAATGCAAACATCCCAAAGAAGTTTCTGAGAATGCTTCCGTTTAGCTTTTAGGTGAAGATTATCCCGTTTCCAACGAAACCTTCAAAGAGGTCCAAATATCCCCTTGCGGATCCCACAGAAAGAGTGTTTCGAAACTGCTGTTTCAAAAGGAATCTTCAACTCTGTGAGTTGAATGCAATCATCACAAAGAAGTTTCTGACAATGCTTCTCTCTCGTCTTTCTGTGAAGATAAAGGAAAAGGCTTTCAGGCCTTTGCCACCACAGGCCTGAAAGCGCTCCAAATGTCCACTTGTAGATTCTGCCAAAAGAATATTTCAAAACTGCTCTATGAAAAGCAATGTTAAACTCTGTGGCTCGAACACAAACATCACAAAGCAGTTTCTGAGAATGCTTCAGTTTAGTTTTTCTGTGGAAATATTCCCGTTTCCAAAGAAATCTTCAAAGAGGTCCACGTATCCACTTACAGATTCTACAAAAAGACAGTTTCAAAACTGCTCCATCAAAAGGAGGGTTCAACTGTGTGACTTGAATGCAATCATCACTCAGAAGTTTCTGAGAATGCTTCTCTTTAGTTTTTACGTGAACATATACCCGTTTCGAACGAAGGCCACCCAGTGGTCCAAATATCCACTTGCAGATTCTACAGAAAGAGTGTTTCGAACCTGAACTGTCAAAGACAGGTTCATCTCTGCGAGTTAAATGCATTCATCATGAAGAACTTTCTCAGAGTGTTTGTGTTTAGTTATGGGAAATTATTCCCGTTTCCAACGAAATCCTCAGAGAGCTCCAAATATCCACCTGCAGATTCTACCAAAAGTGTATTTGGAAACTGCTCCATCAAAAGGCATGTTCAGCTCTGTGAGTGAAACTCCATCATCACAAAGAATATTCTGAGAATGCTTCCGTTTGCCTTTTATATGAAGTTCCTTCCCATACTACCGTAGGCCTCAAAGCAGTCCAAATCTCCATTTGCAGATTCTACAAAAAGAGTGATTCCAATCTGCTCTATCAATAGGATTGTTCAACTCCATGAGTTGAATGCCATCGTCACAAAGTAGTTTCTGAGAATGCTTCTATCTAGTTTTTATGTGAAGATATTTCCTTTTCCACCACAGGCCTCAAAGCCCTCCAAACGTCCACTTGCAGATTCTCGAAAAAGAGTGTTTCATAGCTGCTCTTTCAAAAGGAAAGTTCAACTCTGGGAGTTGAATACAAACATCACAAAGTAGTTTCCGAGAATGCTTCTGTTTAGTTTTTATGTGAAGATGATCCCGTTTCCAGTGAAATCTTCAAAGAGGTCCACATATGCCCTTGCAGATTCCAAAGAAAGAGGGTTTCAAAACTGCTCCAGCAAAAGGATTGTTCAACTCTGTGAGTTGAATGCAGTCATCGCAGAAAACTTTCTGAGAATGCTTCTGTCTAGGTTTGATGTGAAGATATAGACGTTTCAAACGAAGGCTACAAAGTGGTCAAAATATACACTTGCAGATTCTACTACAAGGGTGTTGCAAACCTGAACTATCAAAGGAAGGTTCAACTCTGTGAGTTGAATACAAACATCACAAAGAATGTTCTGAGTTTGCTTCCGTTCAGTTATGGGACGTTGATCCCGTTTCCAACGAAATCCTCAGAGAGGTCCGAATATCCCCTTGCAGATTCTACAAAACGTGTGTTTGGAAACTGCTCCATCATAACGAATGTTCAGCTCTCTGAGTTAAACTCCATCGTCACAAAGAATTTTCTGAGAGTGCTACCGTCTAGTTTTTATATGAAGTTCTTTCCTTTACTACCACAGGCCTCAAAGCGGTCCAAATCTCCACTTGCAGATTCTACAAAAAGAGTGTTTGCAAACTGCTCTATCAAAAGGAATGTTCAACTCTGGGAGTTGAATGCAATCATCACAGAGCAGTTTCTGAGAATGCTTCTATGTCGTTTTTAGGAGAAGATATTTCCTTTTCCAACACAGTCCTCCAAGCCCGCTAAATAGCCACTTGCACATTGTAGAAAAAGTGTGTCGAAGCTGCGCTATCAAAGGGAAAGTTCAACTCTGTGAGGTGAATGCAAACATCCCAAAGAAGTTTCTGAGAATGCTTCCGTTTAGCTTTTAGGTGAAGATTATCCCGTTTCCAACGAAATCTTCAAAGAGGTCCAAATATCCCCTTGCGGATCCCACAGAAAGAGTGTTTCGAAACTGCTGTTTCAAAAGGAATCTTCAACTCTGTGAGTTGAATGCAATCATCACAAAGAAGTTTCTGACAATGCTTCTCCCTCGTCTTTCTGTGAAGATAAAGGAAAAGGCTTTCAGGCCTTTTCCACCACAGGCCTGAAAGCGCTCCAAATGTCCACTTGCAGATTCTGCCAAAAGAATATTTCAAAACTGCTCTATGAAAAGCAATGTTAAACTCTGCGGCTCGAACACAAACATCACAAAGCAGTTTCTGAGAATGCTTCAGTTTAGTTTTTCTGTGGAAATATTCCCGTTTCCAAAGAAATCTTCAAAGAGGTCCACGTATCCACTTACAGATTTTACAAAAAGACAGTTTCAAAACTGCTCAATCAAAAGGAGGGTTCAACTGTGTGACTTGAATGCAATCATCACTCAGAAGTTTCTGAGAATGCTTCTCTTTAGTTTTTACGTGAACATATACCCGTTTCGAACGAAGGCCAGCCAGTGGTCCAAATATCCACTTGCAGATTCTACAGAAAGAGTGTTTCGAACCTGAACTCTGAAAGGCAGGTTCATCTCTGCGAGTTAAATGCATTCATCATGAAGAACTTTCTCAGAGTGTTTGTGTTTAGTTATGGGAAATTATTCCCGTTTCCAACGATCTCCTCAGAGAGGTCCAAATATCCACCTGCAGATTCTACCAAAAGTGTATTTGGAAACTGCTCCATCAAAAGGCATGTTCAGCTCTGTGAGTGAAACTCCATCATCACAAAGAATATTCTGAGAATGCTTCCGTTTGCCTTTTATATGAAGTTCCTTCCTATACTACCATAGGCCACAAAGCAGTCCAAATCTCCATTTGCAGATTCTACAAAAAGACTGATTCCAATCTGCTCTATCAATAGGATTGTTCAACTCCATGAGTTGAATGCCATCCTCACAAAGTCGTTTCTGAGAATGCTTCTATCTAGTTTTAATGTGAAGATATTTCCTTTTCCACCACAGGCCTCAAAGCCCTCCAAACGTCCGCTTGCAGATTCTCAAAAAAGAGTGTTTCATAGCTGCTCTTTCAAAAGGAAAGTTCAACTCTGGGAGTTGAATACAAACATCACAAAGTAGTTTCCGAGAATGCTTCTGTTTAGTTCTTATGTGAAGATGATCCCGTTTCCAGTGAAATCTTCAAAGAGGTCCACATATCCCCTTGCAGATTCCAAAGAAAGAGGGTTTCAAAACTGCTCCATCAAAAGGATTGTTCAACTCTGTGAGTTGAATGCAGTCATCGCAGAAAACTTTCTGAGAATGCTTCTGTCTAGGTTTGATGTGAAGATATAGACGTTTCAAACGAAGGCTACAAAGTGGTCAAAATATACACTTGCAGATTCTACTACAAGGGTGTTGCAAACCTGGACTATCAAAGGAAGGTTCAACTCTGTGAGTTGAATACAAACATCACAAAGAATGTTCTGAGTTTGCTTCCGTTCAGTTATGGGAAGTTGATCCCTTTCCCAAAGAAATCCTTAGAGAGGTCCAAATATCCCCTTGCAGAATCTACAAAACGTGTGATTGGAAACTGCTCCATCATAACGAATGTTCAGCTCTCTGAGTTAAACTCCATCGTCACAAAGAATTTTCTGAGAGTGCTACCGTCTAGTTTTAATATGAAGTTCGTTCCTTTACTACCACAGGCCTCAAAGTGGTCCAAATCTCCACTTGCAGATTCTACAAAAAGAGTGTTTGCAAACTGCTCTATCAAAAGGAATGTTCAACTCTGGGAGTTGAATGCAATCATCACAGAGCAGTTTCTGAGAATGCTTCTATGACGTTTTTAGGAGAAGATATTTCCTTTTCCAACACAGTCCTCCAAGCCCGCTAAATATCCACTTGCACATTGTAGAAAAAGTGTGTCGAAGCTGCGCTATCAAAGGGAAAGTTCAACTCTGTGAGGTGAATGCAAACATCCCAAAGAAGTTTCTGAGAATGCTTCCGTTTAGCTTTTAGGTGAAGATTATCCCGTTTCCAACGAAATCTTCAAAGAGGTCCAAATATCCCCTTGCGGATCCCACAGAAAGAGTGTTTCGAAACTGCTGTTACAAAAGGAATCTTCAACTCTGTGAGTTGAATGCAATCATCACAAAGAAGTTTCTGACAATGCTTCTCTCTCGTCTTTCTGTGAAGATAAAGGAAAAGGCTTTCAGGCCTTTTCCACCACAGGCCTGAAAGCGCTCCAAATGTCCACTTGCAGATTCTGCCAAAAGAATATTTCAAAACTGCTCTATGAAAAGCAATGTTAAACTCTGCGGCTCGAACACCAACATCACAAAGCAGTTTCTGAGAATGCTTCAGTTTAGTTTTTCTGTGGAAATATTCCCGTTTCCAAAGAAATCTTCCAAGAGGTCCACGAATCCACTTACAGATTCTACAAAAAGACAGTTTCAAAACTGCTCAATCAAAAGGCGGGTTCAACTGTGTGACTTGAATGCAATCATCACTCAGAAGTTTCTGAGAATGCTTCTCTTTAGTTTTTACGTGAACATATACCCGTTTCGAACGAAGGCCAGCCAGTGGTCCAAATATCCACTTGCAGATTCTACAGAAAGAGTGTTTCGAACCTGAACTCTCAAAGGCAGGTTCATCTCTGCGAGTTAAATGCATTCATCATGAAGAACTTTCTCAGAGTGTTTGTGTTTAGTTATGGGAAATTATTCCCGTTTCCAACGAAATCCTCCGACAGGTCCAAATATCCACCTGCAGATTCTACCAAAAGTGTATTTGGAAACTGCTCCATCAAAAGGCATGTTCAGCTCTGTGAGTGAAACTCCATCATGACAAAGAATATTCTGAGAATGCTTCCGTTTGCCTTTTATATGAAGTTCCTTCCTATACTACCGTAGGCCTCAAAGCAGTCCAAATCTCCATTTGCAGATTCTACAAAAAGAGTGATTCCAATCTGCTCTATCAATAGGATTGTTCAACTCCATGAGTTGAATGCCATCCTCACAAAGTAGTTTACTGAGAATGCTTCTATGTAGTTTTTATGTGAAGATATTTCCTTTTCCACCACAGGCCTCAAAGCCCTCCAAACGTCCACTTGCAGATTCTCGAAAAAGAGTGTTTCATAGCTGCTCTTTCAAAAGGAAAGTTCAACTCTGGGAGTTGAATACAAACATCACAAAGTAGTTTCCGAGATTGCTTCTGTTTAGTTTTTATGTGAAGATGACCCCGTTTCCAGTGAAATCATCAAAGAGGTCCACATATCCCCTTGCAGATTCCAAAGAAAGAGGGTTTCAAAACTGCTCCATCAGAAGGATTGTTCAACTCTGTGAGTTGAATGCAGTCATCGCAGAAAACTTTCTGAGAATGCTTCTTTCTAGGTTTGATGTGAAGATATAGACGTTTCAAACGAAGGCTACAAAGTGGTCAAAATATACACTTGCAGATTCTACTACAAGGGTGTTGCAAACCTGAACTATCAAAGGAAGGTTCAACTCTGTGAGTTGAATACAAACATCACAAAGAATGTTCTGAGTTTGCTTCCGTTCAGTTATGGGAAGTTGATCCCGTTTCCAACGAAATCCTCAGAGAGGTCCAAATATCCCCTCGCAGATTCTACAAAACGTGTGTTTGGAAACTGCTCCATCATAACGAATGTTCAGCTCCCTGAGTTAAACTCCATCGTCACAAAGAATTTTCTGAGAGTGCTACCGTCTGGTTTTTATATGAAGTTCTTTCCTTCACTACCACAGGCCTCAAAGCGGTCCAAATCTCCACTTGCAGATTCTACAAAAAGAGTGTTTGCAAACTGCTCTATCAAAAGGAATGTTCAACTCTGGGAGTTGAATGCAATCATCACAGAGCAGTTTCTGAGAATGCTTCTATGTCGTTTTTAGGAGAAGATATTTCCTTTTCCAACACAGTCCTCCTAGCCCGCTAAATAGCCACTTGCACATTGTAGAAAAAGTGTGTCAAAGCTGCGCTATCAAAGGGAAAGTTCAACTCTGTGAGGTGAATGCAAACATCCCAAAGAAGTTTCTGAGAATGCTTCCGTTTAGCTTTTAGGTGAAGATTATCCCGTTTCCAACGAAACCTTCAAAGAGGTCCAAATATCCCCTTGCGGATCCCACAGAAAGAGTGTTTCGAAACTGCTGTTTCAAAAGGAATCTTCAACTCTGTGAGTTGAATGCAATCATCACAAAGAAGTTTCTGACAATGCTTCTCTCTCGTCTTTCTGTGAAGATAAAGGAAAAGGCTTTCAGGCCTTTTCCACCACAGGCCTGAAAGCGCTCCAAATGTCCACTTGCAGATTCTGTGAAAAGAATATTTCAAAACTGCTCTATGAAAAGCAATGTTAAACTCTGTGGCTCGAACACAAACATCACAAAGCAGTTTCTGAGAATGCTTCAGTTTAGTTTTTCTGTGGAAATATTCCCGTTTCCAAAGAAATCTTCAAAGAGGTCCACGTATCCACTTACAGATTCTACAAAAAGACAGTTTCAAAACTGCTCCATCAAAAGGAGGGTTCAACTGTGTGACTTGAATGCAATCATCACTCAGAAGTTTCTGAGAATGCTTCTCTTTAGTTTTTACGTGAACATATACCCGTTTCGAACGAAGGCCACCCAGTGGTCCAAATATCCACTTGCAGATTCTACAGAAAGAGTGTTTCGAACCTGAACTCTCAAAGGCAGGTTCATCTCTGCGAGTTAAATGCATTCATCATGAAGAACTTTCTCAGAGTGTTTGTGTTTAGTTATGGGAAATTATTCCCCGTTTCCAACGAAATCCTCAGAGAGCTCCAAATATCCACCTGCAGATTCTACCAAAAGTGTATTTGGAAACTGCTCCATCAAAAGGCATGTTCAGCTCTGTGAGTGAAACTCCATCATCACAAAGAATATTCTGAGAATGCTTCCGTTTGCCTTTTATATGAAGTTCCTTCCTATACGACCGTAGGCCTCAAAGCAGTCCAAATCTCCATTTGCAGATTCTACAAAAAGAGTGATTCCAATCTGCTCTATCAATAGGATTGTTCAACTCCATGAGTTGAATGCCATCCTCACAAAGTCGTTTCTGAGAATGCTTCTATCTAGTTTTTATGTGAAGATATTTCCTTTTCCACCACAGGCCTCAAAGCCCTCCAAACGTCCACTTGCAGATTCTCGAAAAAGAGTGTTTCATAGCTGCTCTTTCAAAAGGAAAGTTCAACTCTGGGAGTTGAATACAAACATCACAAAGTAGTTTCCGAGAA
Source organism: Homo sapiens (assembly GCF_000001405.40). Lineage (NCBI taxonomy): Eukaryota > Metazoa > Chordata > Mammalia > Primates > Hominidae > Homo > Homo sapiens. The sequence goes on along the minus strand of NC_000023.11, from coordinate 59,183,744 downwards.
TGCTTCTGTTTAGTTTTTATGTGAAGATGATCCCGTTTCCAGTGAAATCTTCAAAGAGGTCCACATATCCCCTTGCAGATTCCAAAGAAAGAGGGTTTCAAAACTGCTCCATCAGAAGGATTGTTCAACTCTGTGAGTTGAATGCAGTCATCGCAGAAAACTTTCTGAGAATGCTTCTGTCTAGTTTTGATGTGAAGATATAGACGTTTCAAACGAAGGCTACAAAGTGGTCAAAATATACACTTGCAGATTCTACTACAAGGGTGTTGCAAACCTGAACTATCAAAGGAAGGTTCAACTCTGTGAGTTGAATACAAACATCACAAAGAATGTTCTGAGTTTGCTTCCGTTCAGTTATGGGAAGTTGATCCCGTTTCCAACGAAATCCTCAGAGAGGTCCAAATATCCCCTTGCAGATTCTACAAAACGTGTGTTTGGAAACTGCTCCATCATAACGAATGTTCAGCTCCCTGAGTTAAACTCCATCGTCACAAAGAATTTTCTGAGAGTGCTACCGTCTGGTTTTTATATGAAGTTCTTTCCTTCACTACCACAGGCCTCAAAGCGGTCCAAATCTCCACTTGCAGATTCTACAAAAAGAGTGTTTGCAAACTGCTCTATCAAAAGGAATGTTCAACTCTGGGAGTTGAATGCAATCATCACAGAGCAGTTTCTGAGAATGCTTCTATGTCGTTTTTAGGAGAAGATATTTCCTTTTCCAACACAGTCCTCCAAGCCCGCTAAATAGCCACTTGCACATTGTAGAAAAAGTGTGTCAAAGCTGCGCTATCAAAGGGAAAGTTCAACTCTGTGAGGTGAATGCAAACATCCCAAAGAAGTTTCTGAGAATGCTTCCGTTTAGCTTTTAGGTGAAGATTATCCCGTTTCCAACGAAACCTTCAAAGAGGTCCAAATATCCCCTTGCGGATCCCACAGAAAGAGTGTTTCGAAACTGCTGTTTCAAAAGGAATCTTCAACTCTGTGAGTTGAATGCAATCATCACAAAGAAGTTTCTGACAATGCTTCTCTCTCGTCTTTCTGTGAAGATAAAGGAAAAGGCTTTCAGGCCTTTTCCACCACAGGCCTGAAAGCGCTCCAAATGTCCACCTGCAGATTCTGCCAAAAGAATATTTCAAAACTGCTCTATGAAAAGCAATGTTAAACTCTGTGGCTCGAACACAAACATCACAAAGCAGTTTCTGAGAATGCTTCAGTTTAGTTTTTCTGTGGAAATATTCCCGTTTCCAAAGAAATCTTCAAAGAGGTCCACGTATGCACTTACAGATTCTACAAAAAGACAGTTTCAAAACTGCTCCATCAAAAGGAGGGTTCAACTGTGTGACTTGAATGCAATCATCACTCAGAAGTTTCTGAGAATGCTTCTCTTTAGTTTTTACGTGAACATATACCCGTTTCGAACGAAGGCCACCCAGTGGTCCAAATATCCACTTGCAGATTCTACAGAAAGAGTGTTTCGAACCTGAACTCTCAAAGGCAGGTTCATCTCTGTTAGTTAAATGCATTCATCATGAAGAACTTTCTCAGAGTGTTTGTGTTTAGTTATGGGAAATTATTCCCGTTTCCAACGAAATCCTCAGAGAGCTCCAAATATCCACCTGCAGATTCTACCAAAAGTGTATTTGGAAACTGCTCCATCAAAAGGCATGTTCAGCTCTGTGAGTGAAACTCCATCATCACAAAGAATATTCTGAGAATGCTTCCGTTTGCCTTTTATATGAAGTTCCTTCCTATACTACCGTAGGCCTCAAAGCAGTCCAAATCTCCATTTGCAGATTCTACAAAAAGAGTGATTCCAATCTGCTCTATCAATAGGATTGTTCAACTCCATGAGTTGAATGCCATCCTCACAAAGTCGTTTCTGAGAATGCTTCTATCTAGTTTTTATGTGAAGATATTTCCTTTTCCACCACAGGCCTCAAAGCCCTCCAAACGTCCACTTGCAGATTCTCGAAAAAGAGTGTTTCATAGCTGCTCTTTCAAAAGGAAAGTTCAACTCTGGGAGTTGAATACAAACATCACAAAGTAGTTTCCGAGAATGCTTCTGTTTAGTTTTTATGTGAAGATGATCCCGTTTCCAGTGAAATCTTCAAAGAGGTCCACATATCCCCTTGCAGATTCCAAAGAAAGAGGGTTTCAAAACTGCTCCATCAGAAGGATTGTTCAACTCTGTGAGTTGAATGCAGTCATCGCAGAAAACTTTCTGAGAATGCTTCTTTCTAGGTTTGATGTGAAGATATAGACGTTTCAAACGAAGGCTACAAAGTGGTCAAAATATACACTTGCAGATTCTACTACAAGGGTGTTGCAAACCTGAACTATCAAAGGAAGGTTCAACTCTGTGAGTTGAATACAAACATCACAAAGAATGTTCTGAGTTTGCTTCCGTTCAGTTATGGGAAGTTGATCCCGTTTCCAACCAAATCCTCAGAGAGGTCCAAATATCCCCTTGCAGATTCTACAAAACGTGTGTTTGGAAACTGCTCCATCATAACGAATGTTCAGCTCCCTGAGTTAAACTCCATCGTCACAAAGAATTTTCTGAGAGTGCTACCGTCTGGTTTTTATATGAAGCTCTTTCCTTCACTACCACAGGCCTCAAAGCGGTCCAAATCTCCACTTGCAGATTCTACAAAAAGAGTGTTTGCAAACTGCTCTATCAAAAGGAATGTTCAACTCTGGGAGTTGAATGCAATCATCACAGAGCAGTTTCTGAGAATGCTTCTATGTCGTTTTTAGGAGAAGATATTTCCTTTTCCAACACAGTCCTCCAAGCCCGCTAAATAGCCACTTGCACATTGTAGAAAAAGTGTGTCAAAGCTGCGCTATCAAAGGGAAAGTTCAACTCTGTGAGGTGAATGCAAACATCCCAAAGAAGTTTCTGAGAATGCTTCCGTTTAGCTTTTAGGTGAAGATTATCCCGTTTCCAACGAAACCTTCAAAGAGGTCCAAATATCCCCTTGCGGATCCCACAGAAAGAGTGTTTCGAAACTGCTGTTTCAAAAGGAATCTTCAACTCTGTGAGTTGAATGCAATCATCACAAAGAAGTTTCTGACAATGCTTCTCTCTCGTCTTTCTGTGAAGATAAAGGAAAAGGCTTTCAGGCCTTTTCCACCACAGGCCTGAAAGCGCTCCAAATGTCCACTTGCAGATTCTGCGAAAAGAATATTTCAAAACTGCTCTATGAAAAGCAATGTTAAACTCTGCGGCTCGAACACAAACATCACAAAGCGGTTTCTGAGAATGCTTCAGTTTAGTTTTTCTGTGGAAATATTCCCGTTTCCAAAGAAATCTTCAAAGAGGTCCACGTATCCACTTACAGATTCTACAAAAAGACAGTTTCCAAACTGCTCCATCAAAAGGAGGGTTCAACCGTGTGACTTGAATGCAATCATCACTCAGAAGTTTCTGAGAATGCTTCTCTTTAGTTTTTACGTGAACATATACCCGTTTCGAACGAAGGCCACCCAGTGGTCCAAATATCCACTTGCAGATTATACAGAAAGATTGTTTCGAACCTGAACTCTCAAAGGCAGGTTCATCTCTGCGAGTTAAATGCATTCATCATGAAGAACTTTCTCAGAGTGTTTGTGTTTAGTTATGGGAAATTATTCCCGTTTCCAACGAAATCCTCAGAGAGCTCCAAATATCCACCTGCAGATTCTACCAAAAGTGTATTTGGAAACTGCTCCATCAAAAGGCATGTTCAGCTCTGTGAGTGAAACTCCATCATCACAAAGAATATTCTGAGAATGCTTCCGTTTGCCTTTTATATGAAGTTCCTTCCTGTACTACCGTAGGCCTCAAAGCAGTCCAAATCTCCATTTGCAGATTCTACAAAAAGAGTGATTCCAATCTGCTCTATCAATAGGATTGTTCAACTCCATGAGTTGAATGCCATCCTCACAAAGCAGTTTCTGAGAATGCTTCTATCTGGTTTTTGTGTGAAGATATTTCCTTTTCCACCACAGGCCTCAAAGCCCTCTAAACGTCCACTTGCAGATTCTCGAAAAAGAGTGTTTCATAGCTGCTCTTTCAAAAGGAAAGTTCAACTCTGGGAGTTGAATACAAACATCACAAAATAGTTTCCGAGAATGCTTCTGTTTAGTTTTTATGTGAAGATGATCCCGTTTCCAGTGAAATCTTCAAAGAGGTCCACATATCCCCTTGCAGATTCCAAAGAAAGAGGGTTTCAAAACTGCTCCATCAGAAGGATTGTTCAACTCTGTGAGTTGAATGCAGTCATCGCAGAAAACTTTCTGAGAATGCTTCTGTCTAGGTTTGATGTGAAGATATAGACGTTTCAAACGAAGGCTACAAAGTGGTCAAAATATACACTTGCAGATTCTACTACAAGGGTGTTGCAAACCTGAACTATCAAAGGAAGGTTCAACTCTGTGAGTTGAATACAAACATCACAAAGAATGTTCTGAGTTTGCTTCCGTTCAGTTATGGGAAGTTGATCCCGTTTCCAGCGAAATCCTCAGAGAGGTCCATATATCCCCTTGCAGATTCTACAAAACGTGTGTTTGGAAACTGCTCCATCATAACGAATGTTCAGCTCCCTGAGTTAAACTCCATCGTCACAAAGAATTTTCTGAGAGTGCTACCGTCTGGTTTTTATATGAAGCTCTTTCCTTTACTACCCCAGTCCTCAAAGCGGTCCAAATCTCCACTTGCAGATTCTACAAAAAGAGTGTTTGCAAACTGCTCTATCAAAAGGAATGTTCAACTCTGGGAGTTGAATGCAATCATCACAGAGCAGTTTCTGAGAATGCTTCTATGTCGTTTTTAGGAGAAGATATTTCCTTTTCCAACACAGTCCTCCAAGCCCGCTAAATAGCCACTTGCACATTGTAGAAAAAGTGTGTCAAAGCTGCGCTATCAAAGGGAAAGTTCAACTCTGAGAGGTGAATGCAAACATCCCAAAGAAGTTTCTGAGAGTGCTTCCGTTTAGCTTTTAGGTGAAGATTATCCCGTTTCCAACGAAACCTTCAAAGAGGTCCAAATATCCCCTTGCGGATCCCACAGAAAGAGTGTTTCGAAACTGCTGTTTCAAAAGGAATCTTCAACTCTGTGAGTTGAATGCAATCATCACAAAGAAGTTTCTGACAATGCTTCTCTCTCGTCTTCCTGTGAAGATAAAGGAAAAGGCTTTCAGGCCTTTTCCACCACAGGCCTGAAAGCGCTCCAAATGTCCACTTGCAGATTCTGCCAAAAGAATATTTCAAAACTGCTCTATGAAAAGCAATGTTAAACTCTGTGGCTCGAACACAAACATCACAAAGCAGTTTCTGAGAATGCTTCAGTTTAGTTTTTCTGTGGAAATATTCCCGTTTCCAAAGAAATCTTCAAAGAGGTCCACGTATCCACTTACAGATTCTACAAAAAGACAGTTTCAAAACTGCTCCATCAAAAGGAGGGTTCAACTGTGTGACTTGAATGCAATCATCACTCAGAAGTTTCTGAGAATGCTTCTCTTTAGTTTTTACGTGAACATATACCCGTTTCGAACGAAGGTCAGCCAGTGGTCCAAATATCCACTTGCAGATTCTACAGAAAGAGTGTTTCGAACATGAACTCTCAAAGGCAGGTCCATCTCTGCGAGTTAAATGCATTCATCATGAAGAACTTTCTCAGCGTGTTTGTGTTTAGTTATGGGAAATTATTCCCGTTTCCAACGAAATCCTCAGAGAGGTCCAAATATCCACCTACAGATTCTACCAAAAGTGTATTTGGAAACTGCTCCATCAAAAGGCATGTTCAGCTCTGTGTGTGAAACTCCATCATCACAAATAATATTCTGAGAATGCTTCCGTTTGCCTTTTATATGAAGCTCCTTCCTATACTACCGTAGGCCTCAAAGCAGTCCAAATCTTCATTTGCAGATTCTACAAAAAGAGTGATTCCAATCTGCTCTATCAATAGGATTGTTCAACTCCATGAGTTGAATGCCATCCTCACAAAGTCGTTTCTGAGAATGCTTCTATCTAGTTTCTATGTGAAGATATTTCCTTTTCCACCACAGGCCTCAAAGCCCTCCAAACGTCCACTTGCAGATTCTCGAAAAAGAGGGTTTCATAGCTGCTCTTTCAAAAGGAAAGTTCAACTCTGGGAGTTGAATACAAACATCACAAAGTAGTTTCCGAGAATGCTTCTGTTTAGTTCTTATGTAAAGATGATCCCGTTTCCAGTGAAATCTTCAAAGAGGTCCACATATCCCCTTGCAGATTCCAAAGAAAGAGGGTTTCAAAACTGCTCCATCAAAAGGACTGTTCAACTCTGTGAGTTGAATGCAGTCATCGCAGAAAACTTTCTGAGAATGCTTCTGTCTAGGTTTGATGTGAAGATATAGACGTTTCAAATGAAGGCTACAAAGTGGTCAAAATATACACTTGCAGATTCTACTACAAGGGTGATGCAAACCTGAACTATCAAAGGAAGGTTCAACTCTGTGAGTTGAATACAAACATCACAAAGAATGTTCTGAGTTTGCTTCCGTTCAGTTATGGGAAGTTGATCCCGTTTCCAACGAAATCCTCAGAGAGGTCCAAATATCCCCTTGCAGATTCTACAAAACGTGTGTTTGGAAACTGCTCCATCATAACGAATGTTCAGCTCTCTGAGTTAAACTCCATCGTCACAAAGAATTTTCTGAGAGTGCTACCGTCTACTTTTTATATGAAGTTCTTTCCTTTACTACCACAGGCCTCAAAGCGGTCCAAATCTCCACTTGCAGATTCTACAAAAAGAGTGTTTGCAAACTGCTCTATCAAAAGGAATGTTCAACTCTGGGAGTTGAATGCAATCATCACAGAGCAGTTTCTGAGAATGCTTCTATGTCGTTTTTAGGAGAAGATATTTCCTTTTCCAACACAGTCCTCCAAGCCCGCTAAATATCCACTTGCACATTGTAGAAAAAGTGTGTCGAAGCTGCGCTATCAAAGGGAAAGTTCAACTCTGTGAGGTGAATGCAAACATCCCAAAGAAGTTTCTGAGAATGCTTCCGTTTAGCTTTAAGTGAAGATTATCCCGTTTCCAACGAAATCTTCAAAGAGGTCCAAATATCCCCTTGCGGATCCCACAGAAAGAGTGTTTCGAAACTGCTGTTTCAAAAGGAATCTTCAACTCTGTGAGTTGAATGCAATCATCACAAAGAAGTTTCTGACAATGCTTCTCTCTCGTCTTTCTGTGAAGATAAAGGAAAAGGCTTTCAGGCCATTTCCACCACAGGCCTGAAAGCGCTCCAAATGTCCACTTGCAGATTCTGCCAAAAGAATATTTCAAAACTGCTCTATGAAAAGCAATGTTAAACTCTGCGGCTCGAACACAAACATCACAAAGCAGTTTCTGAGAATGCTTCAGTTTAGTTTTTCTGTGGAAATATTCCCGTTTCCAAAGAAATCTTCAAAGAGGTCCACGCATCCACTTACAGATTCTACAAAAAGACAGTTTCAAAACTGCTCAATCAAAAGGAGGGTTCAACTGTGTGACTTGAATGCATTCATCACTCAGAAGTTTCTGAGAACGCTTCTCTTTAGTTTTTACGTGAACATATACCCGTTTCGAACGAAGGCCAGCCAGTGGTCCAAATATCCACTTGCAGATTCTACAGAAAGAGTGTTTTGAACCTGAACTCTCAAAGGCAGGTTCATCTCTGCGAGTTAAATGCATTCATCATGAAGAACTTTCTCAGCGTGTTTGTGTTTAGTTATGGGAAATTATTCCCGTTTCCAACGAAATCCTCAGAGAGCTCCAAATATCCACCTGCAGATTCTACCAAAAGTGTATTTGGAAACTGCTCCATGAAAAGGCATGTTCAGCTCTGTGAGTGAAACTCCGTCATCACAAAGAATATTCTGAGAATGCTTCCGTTTGCCTTTTATATGAAGTTCCTTCCTATACTACCGTAGGCCTCAAAGCAGTCCAAATCTCCATTTGCAGATTCTACAAAAAGAGTGATTCCAATCTGCTCTATCAATAGGATTGTTCAACTCCATGAGTTGAATGCCATCCTCACAAAGTAGTTTCTGAGAATGCTTCTATGTAGTTTTTAAGTGAAGATATTTCCTTTTCCACCACAGGCCTCAAAGCCCTCCAAACGTCCACTTGCAGATTCCCGAAAAAGAGTGTTTCATAGCTGCTCTTTCAAAAGGAAAGTTCAACTCTGGGAGTTGAATACAAACATCACAAAGTAGTTTCCGAGAATGCTTCTGTTTAGTTCTTATGTGAAGATGATCCCGTTTCCAGTGAAATCTTCAAAGAGGTCCACATATCCCCTTGCAGATTCCAAAGAAAGAGGGTTTCAAAACTGCTCCATCAAAAGGATTGTTCAACTCTGTGAGTTGAATGCAGTCATCGCAGAAAACTTTCTGAGAATGCTTCTGTCTAGGTTTGATGTGAAGATATAGACGTTTCAAACGAAGGCTACAAAGTGGTCAAAATATACACTTGCAGATTCTACTACAAGGGTGTTGCAAACCTCAACTATCAAAGGAAGGTTCAACTCTGTGAGATGAATGCAAACATCACAAAGAATGTTCTGAGTTTGCTTCCGTTCAGTTATGGGAAGTTGATCCCGTTTCCAACGAAATCCTCAGAGAGGTCCAAATATCCCCTTGCAGATTCTGCAAAACGTGTGTTTGGAAACTGCTCCATCATAACGAATGTTCAGCTCTCTGAGTTAAACTCCATCGTCACAAAGAATTTTCTGAGAGTGCTACCGTCTGGTTTTTATATGAAGTTCTTCCCTTTACTACCACAGGCCTCAAAGCGGTCCAAATCTCCACTTGCAGATTCTACAAAAAGAGTGTTTGCAAACTGCTCTATCAAAAGGAATGTTCAACTCTGGGAGTTGAATGCAATCATCACAGAGCAGTTTCTGAGAATGCTTCTATGTCGTTTTTAGGAGAAGATATTTCCTTTTCCAACACAGTCCTCCAAGCCCGCTAAATATCCACTTGCACATTGTAAAAAAAGTGTGTCGAAGCTGCGCTATCAAAGGGAAAGTTCAACTCTGTGAGGTGAATGCAAACATCCCAAAGAAGTTTCTGAGAATGCTTCCGTTTAGCTTTTAGGTGAAGATTATCCCGTTTCCAACGAAATCTTCAAAGAGGTCCAAATATCCCCTTGCGGATCCCACAGAAAGAGTGTTTCGAAACTGCTGTTTCAAAAGGAATCTTCAACTCTGTGAGTTGAATGCAATCATCACAAAGAAGTTTCTGACAATGCTTCTCTCTCGTCTTTCTGTGAAGATAAAGGAAAAGGCTTTCAGGCCTTTTCCACCACAGGCCTGAAAGCGCTCCAAATGTCCACTTGCAGATTCTGCCAAAAGAATATTTCAAAACTGCTCTATGAAAAGCAATGTTAAACTCTGTGGCTCGAACACAAACATCACAAAGCAGTTTCTGAGAATGCTTCAGTTTAGTTTTTCTGTGGAAATATTCCCGTTTCGAAAGAAATCTTCAAAGAGGTCCACGTATCCACTTACAGATTCTACAAAAAGACAGTTTCAAAACTGCTCAATCAAAAGGAGTGTTCAACCGTGTGACTTGAATGCAATCATCACTCAGAAGTTTCTGAGAATGCTTCTCTTTAGTTTTTACGTGAACATATACCCGTTTCGAACGAAGGCCACCCAGTGGTCCAAATATCCACTTGCAGATTCTACAGAAAGAGTGTTTCGAACCTGAACTCTCAAAGGCATGTTCATCTCTGCGAGTTCAATGCATTCATCATGAAGAACTTTCTCAGAGTGTTTGTGTTTAGGTATGGGAAATTATTCCCGTTTCCAACGAAATCCTCAGAGAGGTCCAAATATCCACCTGCAGATTCTACCAAAAGTGTATTTGGAAACTGCTCCATCAAAAGGCATGTTCAGCTCTGTGAGTGAAACTCCATCATCACAAAGAATATTCTGAGAATGCTTCCATTTGCCTTTTATATGAAGTTCCTTCCTATACTACCGTAGGCCTCAAAGCAGTCCAAATCTCCATTTGCAGATCCTACAAAAAGAGTGATTCCAATCTGCTCTATCAATAGGATTGTTCAACTCCATGAGTTGAATGCCATCCTCACAAAGTAGTCTCTGAGAATGCTTCTATCTAGTTTTTATGTGAAGATATTTCCTTTTCCACCACAGCCTCAAAGCCCTCCAAACGTCCACTTGCAGATTCTCGAAAAAGAGTGTTTCATAGCTGCTCTTTCAAAAGGAAAGTTCAACTCTGGGTGTTGAATACAAACATCACAAAGTAGTTTCCGAGAATGCTTCTGTTTAGTTCTTATGTGAAGATGATCCCGTTTCCAGTGAAATCTTCAAAGAGGTCCACATATCCCCTTGCAGATTCCAAAGAAAGAGGGTTTCAAAACTGCTCCATCAAAAGGATTGTTCAACTCTGTGAGTTGAATGCAGTCATCGCAGAAAACTTTCTGAGAATGCTTCTGTCTAGGTTTGAGGTGAAGATATAGACGTTTCAAACGAAGGCTACAAAGTGGTCAAAATATACACTTGCAGATTCTACTACAAGGGTGTTGCAAACCTGAACTATCAAAGGAAGGTTCAACTCTGTGAGTTGAATACAAACATCACAAAGAATGTTCTGAGTTTGCTTCCGTTCAGTTATGGGAAGTTGATCCCGTTTCCAACGAAATCCTCAGAGAGGTCCAAATATCCCCTTGCAGATTCTACAAAACGTGTGTTTGGAAACTGCTCCATCATAACGAATGTTCAGCTCTCTGAGTTAAACTCCATCGTCACAAAGAATTTTCTGAGAGTGCTACCGTCTGGTTTTTATATGAAGTTGTTTCCTTTACTACCACAGGCCTCAAAGCGGTCCAAATCTCCACTTGCAGATTCTACAAAAAGAGTGTTTGCAAACTGCTCTATCAAAAGGAATGTTCAACTCTGGGAGTTGAATGCAATCATCACAGAGCAGTTTCTGAGAATGCTTCTATGTCGTTTTTAGGAGAAGATATTTCCTTTTCCAACACAGTCCTCCAAGCCCGCTAAATATCCACTTGCACATTGTAGAAAAAGTGTGTCGAAGCTGCGCTATCAAAGGGAAAATTCAACTCTGTGAGGTGAATGCAAACATCCAAAAGAAGTTTCTGAGAATGCTTCCGTTTAGCTTTTAGGTGACGATTATCCAGTTTCCAACGAAACCTTCAAATAGATCCAAATATCCCCTTGCGGTTCCCACAGAAAGAGTGTTTCGAAACTGCTGTTTCAAAAGGAATCTTCAACTCTGTGAGTTGAATGCAATCATCACAAAGAAGTTTCTGACAATGCTTCTCTCTCGTCTTTCTGTGAAGATAAAGGAAAAGGCTTTCAGGCCTTTTCCACCACAGGCCTGAAAGCGCTCCAAATGTCCACTTGCAGATTCTGCCAAAAGAATATTTCAAAACTGCTCTATGAAAAGCAATGTTAAACTCTGCGGCTCGAACACAAACATCACAAAGCAGTTTCTGAGAATGCTTCAGTTTAGTTTTTCTGTGGAAATATTCCCGTTTCCAAAGAAATCTTCAAAGAGGTCCACGCATCCACTTACAGATTCTACAAAAACACAGTTTCAAAACTGCTCAATCAAAACGAGGGTTCAACTGTGTGACTTGAATGCAATCATCACTCAGAAGTTTCTGAGAATGCTTCTCTTTAGTTTTTACGTGAACATATACCCGTTTCGAACGAAGGCCACCCAGTGGTCCAAATATCCACTTGCAGATTCTACAGAAAGAGTGTTTCGAACCTGAACTCTCAAAGGCAGGTTCATCTCTGCGAGTTAAATGCATTCATCATGAAGAACTTTCTCAGCGTGTTTGTGTTTAGTTATGGGAAATTATTCCCGTTTCCAACGAAATCCTCAGAGAGCTCCAAATATCCACCTGCAGATTCTACCAAAAGTGTATTTGGAAACTGCTCCATCAAAAGGCATGTTCAGCTCTGTGAGTGAAACTCCATCATCACAAAGAATATTCTGAGAATGCTTCCGTTTGCCTTTTATATGAAGTTCCTTCCTGTACTACCGTAGGCCTCAAAGCAGTCCAAATCTCCATTTGCAGATTCTACAAAAAGAGTGATTCCAATCTGCTCTATCAATAGGATTGTTCAACTCCATGAGTTGAATGCCATCCTCACAAAGTAGTTTCTGAGAATGCTTCTATCTGGTTTTTGTGTGAAGATATTTCCTTTTCCACCACAGGCCTCAAAGCCCTCCAAACGTCCACTTGCAGATTCTAGAAAAAGAGTGTTTCATAGCTGCTCTTTCAAAAGGAAAGTTCAACTCTGGGAGTTGAATACAAACATCACAAAATAGTTTCCGAGAATGCTTCTGTTTAGTTTTTATGTGAAGATGACCCCGTTTCCAGTGAAATCATCAAAGAGGTCCACATATCCCCTTGCAGATTCCAAAGAAAGAGGGTTTCAAAACTGCTCCATCAGAAGGATTGTTCAACTCTGTGAGTTGAATGCAGTCATCGCAGAAAACTTTCTGAGAATGCTTCTTTCTAGGTTTGATGTGAAGATATAGACGTTTCAAACGAAGGCTACAAAGTGGTCAAAATATACACTTGCAGATTCTACTACAAGGGTGTTGCAAACCTGAACTATCAAAGGAAGGTTCAACTCTGTGAGTTGAATACAAACATCACAAAGAATGTTCTGAGTTTGCTTCCGTTCAGTTATGGGAAGTTGATCCCGTTTCCAACGAAATCCTCAGAGAGGTCCAAATATCCCCTCGCAGATTCTACAAAACGTGTGTTTGGAAACTGCTCCATCATAACGAATGTTCAGCTCCCTGAGTTAAACTCCATCGTCACAAAGAATTTTCTGAGAGTGCTACCGTCTGGTTTTTATATGAAGTTCTTTCCTTCACTACCACAGGCCTCAAAGCGGTCCAAATCTCCACTTGCAGATTCTACAAAAAGAGTGTTTGCAAACTGCTCTATCAAAAGGAATGTTCAACTCTGGGAGTTGAATGCAATCATCACAGAGCAGTTTCTGAGAATGCTTCTATGTCGTTTTTAGGAGAAGATATTTCCTTTTCCAACACAGTCCTCCAAGCCCGCTAAATAGCCACTTGCACATTGTAGAAAAAGTGTGTCAAAGCTGCGCTATCAAAGGGAAAGTTCAACTCTGTGAGGTGAATGCAAACATCCCAAAGAAGTTTCTGAGAATGCTTCCGTTTAGCTTTTAGGTGAAGATTATCCCGTTTCCAACGAAACCTTCAAAGAGGTCCAAATATCCCCTTGCGGATCCCACAGAAAGAGTGTTTCGAAACTGCTGTTTCAAAAGGAATCTTCAACTCTGTGAGTTGAATGCAATCATCACAAAGAAGTTTCTGACAATGCTTCTCTCTCGTCTTTCTGTGAAGATAAAGGAAAAGGCTTTCAGGCCCTTTTCCACCACAGGCCTGAAAGCGCTCCAAATGTCCACTTGCAGATTCTGCGAAAAGAATATTTCAAAACTGCTCTATGAAAAGCAATGTTAAACTCTGTGGCTCGAACACAAACATCACAAAGCGGTTTCTGAGAATGCTTCAGTTTAGTTTTTCTGTGGAAATATTCCCGTTTCCAAAGAAATCTTCAAAGAGGTCCACGTATCCACTTACAGATTCTACAAAAAGACAGTTTCAAAACTGCTCCATCAAAAGGAGGGTTCAACCGTGTGACTTGAATGCAATCATCACTCAGAAGTTTCTGAGAATGCTTCTCTTTAGTTTTTACGTGAACATATACCCGTTTCGAACGAAGGCCACCCAGTGGTCCAAATATCCACTTGCAGATTATACAGAAAGAGTGTTTCGAACCTGAACTCTCAAAGGCAGGTTCATCTCTGCGAGTTAAATGCATTCATCATGAAGAACTTTCTCAGAGTGTTTGTGTTTAGTTATGGGAAATTATTCCCGTTTCCAACGAAATCCTCAGAGAGCTCCAAATATCCACCTGCAGATTCTACCAAAAGTGTATTTGGAAACTGCTCCATCAAAAGGCATGTTCAGCTCTGTGAGTGAAACTCCATCATCACAAAGAATATTCTGAGAATGCTTCCGTTTGCCTTTTATCTGAAGTTCCTTCCTATACGACCGTAGGCCTCAAAGCAGTCCAAATCTCCATTTGCAGATTCTACAAAAAGAGTGATTCCAATCTGCTCTATCAATAGGATTGTTCAACTCCATGAGTTGAATGCCATCCTCACAAAGTCGTTTCTGAGAATGCTTCTATCTAGTTTTTATGTGAAGATATTTCCTTTTCCACCACAGGCCTCAAAGCCCTCCAAACGTCCACTTGCAGATTCTCGAAAAAGAGTGTTTTATAGCTGCTCTTTCAAAAGGAAAGTTCAACTCTGGGAGTTGAATACAAACATCACAAAGTAGTTTCCGAGAATGCTTCTGTTTAGTTTTTATGTGAAGATGATCCCGTTTCCAGTGAAATCTTCAAAGAGGTCCACATATCCCCTTGCAGATTCCAAAGAAAGAGGGTTTCAAAACTGCTCCATCAGAAGGATTGTTCAACTCTGTGAGTTGAATGCAGTCATCGCAGAAAACTTTCTGAGAATGCTTCTGTCTAGGTTTGATGTGAAGATATAGATGTTTCAAACGAAGGCTACAAAGTGGTCAAAATATACACTTGCAGATTCTACTACAAGGGTGTTGCAAACCTGAACTATCAAAGGAAGGTTCAACTCTGTGAGTTGAATACAAACATCACAAAGAATGTTCTGAGTTTGCTTCCGTTCAGTTATGGGAAGTTGATCCCGTTTCCAACGAAATCCTCAGAGAGGTCCAAATATCCCCTTGCAGATTCTACAAAACGTGTGTTTGGAAACTGCTCCATCATAACGAATGTTCAGCTCCCTGAGTTAAACTCCATCGTCACAAAGAATTTTCTGAGAGTGCTACCGTCTGGTTTTTATATGAAGTTCTTTCCTTCACTACCACAGGCCTCAAAGCGGTCCAAATCTCCACTTGCAGATTCTACAAAAAGAGTGTTTGCAAACTGCTCTATCAAAAGGAATGTTCAACTCTGGGAGTTGAATGCAATCATCACAGAGCAGTTTCTGAGAATGCTTCTATGTCGTTTTTAGGAGAAGATATTTCCTTTTCCAACACAGTCTTCCAAGCCCGCTAAATAGCCACTTGCACATTGTAGGAAAAGTGTGTCAAAGCTGCGCTATCAAAGGGAAAGTTCAACTCTGTGAGGTGAATGCAAACATCCCAAAGAAGTTTCTGAGAATGCTTCCGTTTAGCTTTTAGGTGAAGATTATCCCGTTTCCAACGAAACCTTCAAAGAGGTCCAAATATCCCCTTGCGGATCCCACAGAAAGAGTGTTTCGAAACTGCTGTTTCAAAAGGAATCTTCAACTCTGTGAGTTGAATGCAATCATCACAAAGAAGTTTCTGACAATGCTTCTCTCTCGTCTTTCTGTGAAGATAAAGGAAAAGGCTTTCAGGCCTTTTCCACCACAGGCCTGAAAGCGCTCCAAATGTCCACTTGCAGATTCTGCCAAAAGAATATTTCAAAACTGCTCTATGAAAAGCAATGTTAAACTCTGTGGCTCGAACACAAACATCACAAAGCAGTTTCTGAGAATGCTTCAGTTTAGTTTTTCTGTGGAAATATTCCCGTTTCGAAAGAAATCTTCAAAGAGGTCCACGCATCCACTTACAGATTCTACAAAAAGACAGTTTCAAAACTGCTCAATCATAAGGAGGGTTCAACCGTGTGACTTGAGTGCAATCATCACTCAGAAGTTTCTGAGAACGCTTCTCTTTAGTTTTTACGTGAACATATACCCGTTTCGAACGAAGGCCACCCAGTGGTCCAAATATCCACTTGCAGATTCTACAGAAAGAGTGTTTCGAACCTGAACTCTCAAAGGCAGGTTCATCTCTGCGAGTTCAATGCATTCATCATGAAGAACTTTCTCAGCGTGTTTGTGTTTAGTTATGGGAAATTATTGCCATTTCCAACGAAATCCTCAGAGAGGTCCAAATATCCACCTGCAGATTCTACCAAAAGTGTATTTGGAAACTGCTCCATCAAAAGGCATGTTCAGCTCTGTGAGTGAAACTCCATCATCACAAAGAATATTCTGAGAATGCTTCCGTTTGCCTTTTATATGAAGTTCCTTCCTATACTACCGTAGGCCTCAAAGCAGTCCAAATCTCCATTTGCAGATTCTACAAAAAGAGTGATTCCAATCTGCTCTATCAATAGGATTGTTCAACTCCATGAGTTGAATGCCATCCTCACAAAGTCGTTTCTGAGAATGCTTCTATCTAGTTTTTATGTGAAGATATTTCCTTTTCCACCACAGGCCTCAAAGCCCTCCAAACGTCCACTTGCAGATTCTCGAAAAAGAGTGTTTCATAGCTGCTCTTTCAAAAGGAAAGTTCAACTCTGGGAGTTGAATACAAACATCACAAAGTAGTTTCCGAGAATGCTTCTGTTTAGTTTTTATGTGAAGATGACCCCGTTTCCAGTGAAATCATCAAAGAGGTCCACATATCCCCTTGCAGATTCCAAAGAAAGAGGGTTTCAAAACTGCTCCATCAGAAGGATTGTTCAACTCTGTGAGTTGAATGCAGTCATCGCAGAAAACTTTCTGAGAATGCTTCTTTCTAGGTTTGATGTGAAGATATAGACGTTTCAAACGAAGGCTACAAAGTGGTCAAAATATACACTTGCAGATTCTACTACAAGGGTGTTGCAAACCTGAACTATCAAAGGAAGGTTCAACTCTGTGAGTTGAATACAAACATCACAAAGAATGTTCTGAGTTTGCTTCCGTTCAGTTATGGGAAGTTGATCCCGTTTCCAACGAAATCCTCAGAGAGGTCCAAATATCCCCTCGCAGATTCTACAAAACGTGTGTTTGGAAACTGCTCCATCATAACGAATGTTCAGCTCCCTGAGTTAAACTCCATCGTCACAAAGAATTTTCTGAGAGTGCTACCGTCTGGTTTTTATATGAAGTTCTTTCCTTCACTACCACAGGCCTCAAAGCGGTCCAAATCTCCACTTGCAGATTCTACAAAAAGAGTGTTTGCAAACTGCTCTATCAAAAGGAATGTTCAACTCTGGGAGTTGAATGCAATCATCACAGAGCAGTTTCTGAGAATGCTTCTATGTCGTTTTTAGGAGAAGATATTTCCTTTTCCAACACAGTCCTCCAAGCCCGCTAAATAGCCACTTGCACATTGTAGAAAAAGTGTGTCAAAGCTGCGCTATCAAAGGGAAAGTTCAACTCTGTGAGGTGAATGCAAACATCCCAAAGAAGTTTCTGAGAATGCTTCCGTTTAGCTTTTAGGTGAAGATTATCCCGTTTCCAACGAAACCTTCAAAGAGGTCCAAATATCCCCTTGCGGATCCCACAGAAAGAGTGTTTCGAAACTGCTGTTTCAAAAGGAATCTTCAACTCTGTGAGTTGAATGCAATCATCACAAAGAAGTTTCTGACAATGCTTCTCTCTCGTCTTTCTGTGAAGATAAAGGAAAAGGCTTTCAGGCCTTTTCCACCACAGGCCTGAAAGCGCTCCAAATGTCCACTTGCAGATTCTGCGAAAAGAATATTTCAAAACTGCTCTATGAAAAGCAATGTTAAACTCTGTGGCTCGAACACAAACATCACAAAGCGGTTTCTGAGAATGCTTCAGTTTAGTTTTTCTGTGGAAATATTCCCGTTTCCAAAGAAATCTTCAAAGAGGTCCACGTATCCACTTACAGATTCTACAAAAAGACAGTTTCAAAACTGCTCCATCAAAAGGAGGGTTCAACCGTGTGACTTGAATGCAATCATCACTCAGAAGTTTCTGAGAATGCTTCTCTTTAGTTTTTACGTGAACATATACCCGTTTCGAACGAAGGCCACCCAGTGGTCCAAATATCCACTTGCAGATTCTACAGAAAGAGTGTTTCGAACCTGAACTCTCAAAGGCAGGTTCATCTCTGCGAGTTAAATGCATTCATCATGAAGAACTTTCTCAGAGTGTTTGTGTTTAGTTATGGGAAATTATTCCCGTTTCCAACGAAATCCTCAGAGAGCTCCAAATATCCACCTGCAGATTCTACCAAAAGTGTATTTGGAAACTGCTCCATCACAAGGCATGTTCAGCTCTGTGAGTGAAACTCCATCATCACAAAGAATATTCTGAGAATGCTTCCGTTTGCCTTTTATATGAAGTTCCTTCCTGTACTACCGTAGGCCTCAAAGCAGTCCAAATCTCCATTTGCAGATTCTACAAAAAGAGTGATTCCAATCTGCTCTATCAATAGGATTGTTCAACTCCATGAGTTGAATGCCATCCTCACAAAGCAGTTTCTGAGAATGCTTCTATCTGGTTTTTGTGTGAAGATATTTCCTTTTCCACCACA
The DNA here is from genome assembly GCF_000001405.40 of Homo sapiens. Taxonomy (NCBI): domain Eukaryota; kingdom Metazoa; phylum Chordata; class Mammalia; order Primates; family Hominidae; genus Homo; species Homo sapiens. Next base: position 59,165,357 of record NC_000023.11, on the reverse strand, counting down.
GGCCTCAAAGCCCTCCAAACGTCCACTTGCAGATTCTCGAAAAAGAGTGTTTCATAGCTGCTCTTTCAAAAGGAAAGTTCAACTCTGGGAGTTGAATACAAACATCACAAAATAGTTTCCGAGAATGCTTCTGTTTAGTTTTTATGTGAAGATGATCCCGTTTCCAGTGAAATCTTCAAAGAGGTCCACATATCCCCTTGCAGATTCCAAAGAAAGAGGGTTTCAAAACTGCTCCATCAAAAGGATTGTTCAACTCTGTGAGTTGAATGCAGTCATCGCAGAAAACTTTCTGAGAATGCTTCTGTCTAGGTTTGATGTGAAGATATAGACGTTTCAAATGAAGGCTACAAAGTGGTCAAAATATACACTTGCAGATTCTACTACAAGGGTGTTGCAAACCTGAACTATCAAAGGAAGGTTCAACTCTGTGAGTTGAATACAAACATCACAAAGAATGTTCTGAGTTTGCTTCCGTTCAGTTATGGGAAGTTGATCCCGTTTCCAACGAAATCCTCAGAGAGGTCCAAATATCCCCTTGCAGATTCTACAAAACGTGTGTTTGGAAACTGCTCCATCATAACGAATGTTCAGCTCCCTGAGTTAAACTCCATCGTCACAAAGAATTTTCTGAGAGTGCTACCGTCTGGTTTTTATATGAAGTTCTTTCCTTCACTACCACAGGCCTCAAAGCGGTCCAAATCTCCACTTGCAGATTCTACAAAAAGAGTGTTTGCAAACTGCTCTATCAAAAGGAATGTTCAACTCTGGGAGTTGAATGCAATCATCACAGAGCAGTTTCTGAGAATGCTTCTATGTCGTTTTTAGGAGAAGATATTTCCTTTTCCAACACAGTCCTCCAAGCCCGCTAAATAGCCACTTGCACATTGTAGAAAAAGTGTGTCAAAGCTGCGCTATCAAAGGGAAAGTTCAACTCTGTGAGGTGAATGCAAACATCCCAAAGAAGTTTCTGAGAATGCTTCCGTTTAGCTTTTAGGTGAAGATTATCCCGTTTCCAACGAAACCTTCAAAGAGGTCCAAATATCCCCTTGCGGATCCCACAGAAAGAGTGTTTCGAAACTGCTGTTTCAAAAGGAATCTTCAACTCTGTGAGTTGAATGCAATCATCACAAAGAAGTTTCTGACAATGCTTCTCTCTCGTCTTTCTGTGAAGATAAAGGAAAAGGCTTTCAGGCCTTTTCCACCACAGGCCTGAAAGCGCTCCAAATGTCCACTTGCAGATTCTGCGAAAAGAATATTTCAAAACTGCTCTATGAAAAGCAATGGTAAACTCTGTGGCTCGAACACAAACATCACAAAGCGGTTTCTGAGAATGCTTCAGTTTAGTTTTTCTGTGGAAATATTCCCGTTTCCAAAGAAATCTTCAAAGAGGTCCACGTATCCACTTACAGATTCTACAAAAAGACAGTTTCAAAACTGCTCCATCAAAAGGAGGGTTCAACTGTGTGACTTGAATGCAATCATCACTCAGAAGTTTCTGAGAATGCTTCTCTTTAGTTTTTACGTGAACATATACCCGTTTCGAACGAAGGCCACCCAGTGGTCCAAATATCCACTTGCAGATTATACAGAAAGAGTGTTTCGAACCTGAACTCTCAAAGGCAGGTTCATCTCTGCGAGTTAAATGCATTCATCATGAAGAACTTTCTCAGAGTGTTTGTGTTTAGTTATGGGAAATTATTCCCGTTTCCAACGAAATCCTCAGAGAGCTCCAAATATCCACCTGCAGATTCTACCAAAAGTGTATTTGGAAACTGCTCCATCAACAGGCATGTTCAGCTCTGTGAGTGAAACTCCATCATCACAAAGAATATTCTGAGAATGCTTCCGTTTGCCTTTTATATGAAGTTCCTTCCTATACGACCGTAGGCCTCAAAGCAGTGCAAATCTCCATTTGCAGATTCTACAAAAAGAGTGATTCCAATCTGCTCTATCAATAGGATTGTTCAACTCCATGAGTTGAATGCCATCCTCACAAAGTCGTTTCTGAGAATGCTTCTATCTAGTTTTTATGTGAAGATATTTCCTTTTCCACCACAGGCCTCAAAGCCCTCCAAACGTCCACTTGCAGATTCTCGAAAAGGAGTGTTTCATAGCTGCTCTTTCAAAAGGAAAGTTCAACTCTGGGAGTTGAATACAAACATCACAAAGTAGTTTCCGAGAATGCTTCTGTTTAGTTTTTATGTGAAGATGATCCCGTTTCCAGTGAAATCTTCAAAGAGGTCCACATATCCCCTTGCAGATTCCAAAGAAAGAGGGTTTCAAAACTGCTCCATCAGAAGGATTGTTCAACTCTGTGAGTTGAATGCAGTCATCGCAGAAAACTTTCTGAGAATGCTTCTGTCTAGGTTTGATGTGAAGATATAGACGTTTCAAACGAAGGCTACAAAGTGGTCAAAATATACACTTGCAGATTCTACTACAAGGGTGTTGCAAACCTGAACTATCAAAGGAAGGTTCAACTCTGTGAATTGAATACAAATATCACAAAGAATGTTCTGAGTTTGCTTCCGTTCAGTTATGGGAAGTTGATCCCGTTTCCAACGAAATCCTCAGAGAGGTCCAAATATCCCCTCGCAGATTCTACAAAACGTGTGTTTGGAAACTGCTCCATCATAACGAATGTTCAGCTCCCTGAGTTAAACTCCATCGTCACAAAGAATTTTCTGAGAGTGCTACCGTCTGGTTTTTATATGAAGTTCTTTCCTTCACTACCACAGGCCTCAAAGCGGTCCAAATCTCCACTTGCAGATTCTACAAAAAGAGTGTTTGCAAACTGCTCTATCAAAAGGAATGTTCAACTCTGGGAGTTGAATGCAATCATCACAGAGCAGTTTCTGAGAATGCTTCTATGTCGTTTTTAGGAGAAGATATTTCCTTTTCCAACACAGTCCTCCAAGCCCGCTAAATAGCCACTTGCACATTGTAGAAAAAGTGTGTCAAAGCTGCGCTATCAAAGGGAAAGTTCAACTCTGTGAGGTGAATGCAAACATCCCAAAGAAGTTTCTGAGAATGCTTCCGTTTAGCTTTTAGGTGAAGATTATCCCGTTTCCAACGAAACCTTCAAAGAGGTCCAAATATCCCCTTGCGGATCCCACAGAAAGAGTGTTTCGAAACTGCTGTTTCAAAAGGAATCTTCAACTCTGTGGGTTGAATGCAATCATCACAAAGAAGTTTCTGACAATGCTTCTCTCTCGTCTTTCTGTGAAGATAAAGGAAAAGGCTTTCAGGCCTTTTCCACCACAGGCCTGAAAGCGCTCCAAATGTCCACTTGCAGATTCTGCCAAAAGAATATTTCAAAACTGCTCTATGAAAAGCAATGTTAAACTCTGTGGCTCGAACACAAACATCACAAAGCAGTTTCTGAGAATGCTTCAGTTTAGTTTTTCTGTGGAAATATTCCCGTTTCCAAAGAAATCTTCAAAGAGGTCCACGTATCCACTTACAGATTCTACAAAAAGACAGTTTCAAAACTGCTCCATCAAAAGGAGGGTTCAACTGTGTGACTTGAATGCAATCATCACTCAGAAGTTTCTGAGAATGCTTCTCTTTAGTTTTTACGTGAACATATACCCGTTTCGAACGAAGGCCACCCAGTGGTCCAAATATCCACTTGCAGATTCTACAGAAAGAGTGTTTCGAACCTGAACTCTCAAAGGCAGGTTCATCTCTGCGAGTTAAATGCATTCATCATGAAGAACTTTCTCAGAGTGTTTGTGTTTAGTTATGGGAAATTATTCCCGTTTCCAACGAAATCCTCAGAGAGCTCCAAATATCCACCTGCAGATTCTACCAAAAGTGTATTTGGAAACTGCTCCATCAAAAGGCATGTTCAGCTCTGTGAGTGAAACTCCATCATCACAAAGAATATTCTGAGAATGCTTCCGTTTGCCTTTTATATGAACTTCCTTCCTGTACTACCGTAGGCCTCAAAGCAGTCCAAATCTCCATTTGCAGATTCTACAAAAAGAGTGATTCCAATCTGCTCTATCAATAGGATTGTTCAACTCCATGAGTTGAATGCCATCCTCACAATGTCGTTTCTGAGAATGCTTCTATCTAGTTTTTATGTGAAGATATTTCCTTTTCCACCACAGGCCTCAAAGCCCTCCAAACTGTCCACTTTCAGATTCTCGAAAAAGAGTGTTTCATAGCTGCTCTTTCAAAAGGAAAGTTCAACTCTGGCAGTTGAATACAAACATCACAAAGTAGTTTCCGAGAATGCTTCTGTTTAGTTCTTATGTGAAGATGATCCCGTTTCCAGTGAAATCTTCAAAGAGGTCCACATATCCTCTTGCAGATTCCAAAGAAAGAGGGTTTCAAAACTGCTCCATCAAAAGGATTGTTCAAATCTGTGAGTTGAATGCACTCATCGCAGAAAACTTTCTGAGAATGCTTCTGTCTAGGTTTGATGTGAAGATATAGACGTTTCAAACGAAGGCTACAAAGTGGTCAAAATATACACTTGCAGATTCTACTACAAGGGTGTTGCAAACCTGAACTATCAAAGGAAGGTTCAACTCTGTGAGTTGAATACAAACATCACAAAGAATGTTCTGAGTTTGCTTCCGTTCAGTTATGGGAAGTTGATCCCGTTTCCAACGAAATCCTCAGAGAGGTCCAAATATCCCCTCGCAGATTCTACAAAACGTGTGTTTGGAAACTGCTCCATCATAACGAATGTTCAGCTCCCTGAGTTAAACTCCATCGTCACAAAGAATTTTCTGAGAGTGCTACCGTCTGGTTTTTATATGAAGTTCTTTCCTTCACTACCACAGGCCTCAAAGCGGTCCAAATCTCCACTTGCAGATTCTACAAAAAGAGTGTTTGCAAACTGCTCTATCAAAAGGAATGTTCAACTCTGGGAGTTGAATGCAATCATCACAGAGCAGTTTCTGAGAATGCTTCTATGTCGTTTTTAGGAGAAGATATTTCGTTTTCCAACACAGTCCTCCAAGCCCGCTAAATAGCCACTTGCACATTGTAGAAAAAGTGTGTCAAAGCTGCGCTATCAAAGGGAAAGTTCAACTCTGTGAGGTGAATGCAAACATCCCAAAGAAGTTTCTGAGAATGTTTCCGTTTAGCTTTTAGGTGAAGATTATCCCGTTTCCAACGAAACCTTCAAAGAGGTCCAAATATCCCCTTGCGGATCCCACAGAAAGAGTGTTTCGAAACTGCTGTTTCAAAAGGAATCTTCAACTCTGTGAGTTGAATGCAATCATCAAAAAGAAGTTTCTGACAATGCTTCTCTCTCGTCTTTCTGTGAAGATAAAGGAAAAGGCTTTCAGGCCTTTTCCACCACAGGCCTGAAAGCGCTCCAAATGTCCACTTGCAGATTCTGCCAAAAGAATATTTCAAAACTGCTCTATGAAAAGCAATGTTAAACTCTGTGGCTCGAACACAAACATCACAAAGCGGTTTCTGAGAATGCTTCAGTTTAGTTTTTCTGTGGAAATATTCCCGTTTCCAAAGAAATCTTCAAAGAGGTCCACGTATCCACTTACAGATTCTACAAAAAGACAGTTTCAAAACTGCTCCATCAAAAGGAGGGTTCAACTGTGTGACTTGAATGCAATCATCACTCAGAAGTTTCTGAGAATGCTTCTCTTTAGTTTTTACGTGAACATATACCCGTTTCGAACGAAGGCCACCCAGTGGTCCAAATATCCACTTGCAGATTATACAGAAAGAGTGTTTCGAACCTGAACTCTCAAAGGCAGGTTCATCTCTGCGAGTTAAATGCATTCATCATGAAGAACTTTCTCAGAGTGTTTGTGTTTAGTTATGGGAAATTATTCCCGTTTCCAATGAAATCCTCAGAGAGCTCCAAATATCCACCTGCAGATTCTACCAAAAGTGTATTTGGAAACTGCTCCATCAACAGGCATGTTCAGCTCTGTGAGTGAAACTCCATCATCACAAAGAACATTCTGAGAATGCTTCCGTTTGCCTTTTATATGAAGTTCCTTCCTATACGACCGTAGGCCTCAAAGCAGTCCAAATCTCCATTTGCAGATTCTACAAAAAGAGTGATTCCAATCTGCTCTATCAATAGGATTGTTCAACTCCATGAGTTGAATGCCATCCTCACAAAGTCGTTTCTGAGAATGCTTCTATCTAGTTTTTATGTGAAGATATTTCCTTTTCCACCACAGGCCTCAAAGCCCTCCAAACGTCCACTTGCACATTCTCGAAAAAGACTGTTTCATAGCTGCTCTTTCAAAAGGAAAGTTCAACTCTGGGAGTTGAATACAAACATCACAAAGTAGTTTCCGAGAATGCTTCTGTTTAGTTCTTATGTGAAGATGATCCCGTTTCCAGTGAAATCTTCAAAGAGGTCCACATATCCCCTTGCAGATTCCAAAGAAAGAGGGTTTCAAAACTGCTCCATCAAAAGGATTGTTCAACTCTGTGAGTTGAATGCAGTCATCGCAGAAAACTTTCTGAGAATGCTTCTGTCTAGGTTTGATGTGAAGATATAGACGTTTCAAACGAAGGCTACAAAGTGGTCAAAATATACACTTGCAGATTCTACTACAAGGGTGTTGCAAACCTGAACTATCAAAGGAAGGTTCAACTCTGTGAGTTGAATACAAACATCACAAAGAATGTTCTGAGTTTGCTTCCGTTCAGTTATGGGAAGTTGATCCCGTTTCCAACGAAATCCTCAGAGAGGTCCAAATATCCCCTTGCAGATTCTACAAAACGTGTGTTTGGAAACTGCTCCATCATAACGAATGTTCAGCTCCCTGAGTTAAACTCCATCGTCACAAAGAATTTTCTGAGAGTGCTACCGTCTGGTTTTTATATGAAGTTCTTTCCTTCACTACCACAGGCCTCAAAGTGGTCCAAATCTCCACTTGCAGATTCTACAAAAAGAGTGTTTGCAAACTGCTCTATCAAAAGGAATGTTCAACTCTGGGAGTTGAATGCAATCATCACAGAGCAGTTTCTGAGAATGCTTCTATGTCGTTTTTAGGAGAAGATATTTCCTTTTCCAACACAGTCCTCCAAGCCCGCTAAATAGCCACTTGCACATTGTAGAAAAAGTGTGTCAAAGCTGCGCTATCAAAGGGAAAGTTCAACTCTGTGAGGTGAATGCAAACATCCCAAAGAAGTTTCTGAGAATGCTTCCGTTTAGCTTTTAGGTGAAGATTATCCCGTTTCCAACGAAACCTTCAAAGAGGTCCAAATATCCCCTTGCGGATCCCACAGAAAGAGTGTTTCGAAACTGCTGTTTCAAAAGGAATCTTCAACTCTGTGAGTTGAATGCAATCATCACAAAGAAGTTTCTGACAATGCTTCTCTCTCGTCTTTCTGTGAAGATAAAGGAAAAGGCTTTCAGGCCTTTTCCACCACAGGCCTGAAAGCGCTCCAAATGTCCACTTGCAGATTCTGCCAAAAGAATATTTCAAAACTGCTCTATGAAAAGCAATGTTAAACTCTGTGGCTCGAACACAAACATCACAAAGCGGTTTCTGAGAATGATTCAGTTTAGTTTTTCTGTGGAAATATTCCCGTTTCCAAAGAAATCTTCAAAGAGGTCCACGTATCCACTTACAGATTCTACAAAAAGACAGTTTCAAAACTGCTCCATCAAAAGGAGGGTTCAACCGTGTGACTTGAATGCAATCATCACTCAGAAGTTTCTGAGAATGCTTCTCTTTAGTTTTTACGTGAACATATACCCGTTTCGAACGAAGGCCACCCAGTGGTCCAAATATCCACTTGCAGATTATACAGAAAGAGTGTTTCGAACCTGAACTCTCAAAGGCAGGTTCATCTCTGCGAGTTAAATGCATTCATCATGAAGAACTTTCTCAGAGTGTTTTGTGTTTAGTTATGGGAAATTATTCCCGTTTCCAACGAAATCCTCAGAGAGCTCCAAATATCCACCTGCAGATTCTACCAAAAGTGTATTTGGAAACTGCTCCATCAAAAGGCATGTTCAGCTCTGTCAGTGAAGCTCCATCATCACAAAGAATATTCTGAGAATGCTTCCGTTTGCCTTTTATATGAAGTTCCTTCCTGTACTACCGTAGGCCTCAAAGCAGTCCAAATCTCCATTTGCAGATTCTACAAAAAGAGTGATTCCAATCTGCTCTATCAATAGGATTGTTCAACTCCATGAGTTGAATGCCATCCTCACAAAGTAGTTTCTGAGAATGCTTCTATCTAGTTTTTATGTGAAGATATTTCCTTTTCCACCACAGGCCTCAAAGCCCTCCAAACGTCCACTTGCAGATTCTCGAAAAAGAGTGTTTCATAGCTACTCTTTCAAAAGGAAAGTTCAACTCTGGGAGTTGAATACAAACATCACAAAGTAGTTTCCGAGAATGCTTCTGTTTAGTTTTTATGTGAAGATGATCCCATTTCCATTGAAATCTTCAAAGAGGTCCACATATCCCCCTTGCAGATTCCAAAGAAAGAGGGTTTCAAGACTGCTCCATCAAAAGGATTGCTCAACTCTGTGAGTTGAATGCAGTCATCGCAGAAAACTTTCTGAGAATGATTCTGTCTAGGTTTGATGTGAAGATATAGACGTTTCAAACGAAGGCTACAAAGTGGTCAAAATATACACTTGCAGATTCTACTACAAGGGTGTTGCAAATCTGAACTATCAAAGGAAGGTTCAACTCTGTGAGTTGAATACAAACATCACAAAGAATGTTCTGAGTTTGCTTCCGTTCAGTTATGGGAAGTTGATCCCGTTTCCAACGAAATCCTCAGAGAGGTCCAAATATCCCCTTGCAGATTCTACAAAACGTGTGTTTGGAAACTGCTCCATCATAACGAATGTTCAGCTCCCTGAGTTAAACTCCATCGTCACAAAGAATTTTCTGAGAGTGCTACCGTCTGGTTTTTATATGAAGCTCTTTCCTTCACTACCCCAGGCCTCAAAGCGGTCCAAATCTCCACTTGCAGATTCTACAAAAAGAGTGTTTGCAAACTGCTCTATCAAAAGGAATGTTCAACTCTGGGAGTTGAATGCAATCATCACAGAGCAGTTTCTGAGAATGCTTCTATGTCGTTTTTAGGAGAAGATATTTCCTTTTCCAACACAGTCCTCCAAGCCCGCTAAATAGTCACTTGCACATTGTAGAAAAAGTGTGTCAAAGCTGCGCTATCAAAGGGAAAGTTCAACTCTGTGAGGTGAATGCAAACATCCCAAAGAAGTTTCTGAGAGTGCTTCCGTTTAGCTTTTAGGTGAAGATTATCCCGTTTCCAACGAAACCTTCAAAGAGGTCCAAATATCCCCTTGCGGATCCCACAGAAAGAGTGTTTCGAAACTGCTGTTTCAAAAGGAATCTTCAACTCTGTGAGTTGAATGCAATCATCGCAAAGAAGTTTCTGACAATGCTTCTCTCTCGTCTTTCTGTGAAGATAAAGGAAAAGGCTTTCAGGCCTTTTCCACCACAGGCCTGAAAGCGCTCCAAATGTCCACTTGCAGATTCTGCGAAAAGAATATTTCAAATCTGCTCTATGAAAAGCAATGTTAAACTCTGTGGCTCGAACACAAACATCACAAAGCGGTTTCTGAGAATGCTTCAGTTTAGTTTTTCTGTGGAAATATTCCCGTTTCCAAAGAAATCTTCAAAGAGGTCCACGTATCCACTTACAGATTCTACAAAAAGACAGTTTCAAAACTGCTCCATCAAAAGGAGGGTTCAACTGTGTGACTTGAATGCAATCATCACTCAGAAGTTTCTGAGAATGCTTCTCTTTAGTTTTTACGTGAACATATACCCGTTTCGAACGAAGGCCACCCAGTGGTCCAAATATCCACTTGCAGATTATACAGAAAGAGTGTTTCGAACCTGAACTCTCAAAGGCAGGTTCATCTCTGCGAGTTAAATGCATTCATCATGAAGAACTTTCTCAGAGTGTTTGTGTTTAGTTATGGGAAATTATTCCCGTTTCCAACGAAATCCTCAGAGAGCTCCAAATATCCACCTGCAGATTCTACCAAAAGTGTATTTGGAAACTGCTCCATCAAAAGGCATGTTCAGCTCTGTGAGTGAAACTCCATCATCACAAAGAATATTCTGAGAATGCTTCCGTTTGCCTTTTATATGAAGTTCCTTCCTGTACTACCGTAGGCCTCAAAGCAGTCCAAATCTCCATTTGCAGATTCTACAAAAAGAGTGATTCCAATCTGCTCTATCAATAGGATTGTTCAACTCCATGAGTTGAATGCCATCCTCACAAAGCAGTTTCTGAGAATGCTTCTATCTAGTTTTTATGTGAAGATATTTCCTTTTCCACCACAGGCCCCAAAGCCCTCCAAACGTCCACTTGCAGATTCTCGAAAAAGAGTGTTTCATAGCTGCTCTTTCAAAAGGAAAGTTCAACTCTGGGAGCTGAATACAAACATCACAAAGTAGTTTCCGAGAATGCTTCTGTTTAGTTCTTATGTGCAGATGATCCCGTTTCCAGTGAAATCTTCAAAGAGGTCCACATATCCCCTTGCAGATTCCAAAGAAAGAGGGTTTCAAAACTGCTCCATCAAAAGGATTGTTCAACTCTGTGAGTTGAATGCAGTCATCGCAGAAAACTTTCTGAGAATGCTTCTGTCTAGGTTTGATGTGAAGATATAGACGTTTCAAACGAAGGCTACAAAGTGGTCAACATATACACTTGCAGATTCTACTACAAGGGTGATGCAAACCTGAACTATCAAAGGAAGGTTCAACTCTGTGAGTTGAATACAAACATCACAAAGAATGTTCTGAGTTTGCTTCCGTTCAGTTATGGGAAGTTGATCCCGTTCCCAACGAAATCCTCAGAGAGGTCCAAATATCCCCTTGCAGATTCTACAAAACGTGTGTTTGGAAACTGCTCCATCATAACGAATGTTCAGCTCTCTGAGTTAAACTCCATCGTCACAAAGAATTTTCTGAGAGTGCTACCGTCTGGTTTTTATATGAAGTTCTTTCCTTTACTACCACAGGCCTCAAAGCGGTCCAAATCTCCACTTGCAGATTCTACAAAAAGAGTGTTTGCAAACTGCTCTATCAAAAGGAATGTTCAACTACTGGGAGTTGAATGCAATCATCACAGAGCAGTTTCTGAGAATGCTTCTATGTCGTTTTTAGGAGAAGTATATTTCCTTTTCCAACACAGTCCTCCAAGCCCGCTAAATAGCCACTTGCACATTGTAGAAAAAGTGTGTCAAAGCTGCGCTATCAAAGGGAAAGTTCAACTCTGTGAGGTGAATGCAAACATCCCAAAGAAGTTTCTGAGAATGCTTCCGTTTAGCTTTTAGGTGAAGATTATCCCGTTTCCAACGAAACCTTCAAAGAGGTCCAAATATCCCCTTGCGGATCCCACAGAAAGAGTGTTTCGAAACTGCTGTTTCAAAAGGAATCTTCAACTCTGTGAGTTGAATGCAATCATCACAAAGAAGTTTCTGACAATGCTTCTCTCTCGTCTTTCTGTGAAGATAAAGGAAAAGGCTTTCAGGCCTTTTCCACCACAGGCCTGAAAGCGCTCCAAATGTCCACTTGCAGATTCTGCCAAAAGAATATTTCAAAACTGCTCTATGAAAAGCAATGTTAAACTCTGTGGCTGGAACACAAACATCACAAAGCGGTTTCTGAGAATGTTTCAGTTTAGTTTTTCTGTGGAAATATTCCCGTTTCCAAAGAAATCTTCAAAGAGGTCCACGTATCCACTTACAGATTCTACAAAAAGACAGTTTCAAAACTGCTCCATCAAAAGGAGGGTTCAACTGTGTGACTTGAATGCAATCATCACTCAGAAGTTTCTGAGAATGCTTCTCTTTAGTTTTTACGTGAACATATACCCGTTTCGAACGAAGGCCACCCAGTGGTCCAAATATCCACTTGCAGATTATACAGAAAGAGTGTTTCGAACCTGAACTCTCAAAGGCAGGTTCATCTCTGCGAGTTAAATGCATTCATCATGAAGAATTTTCTCAGAGTGTTTGTGTTTAGTTATGGGAAATTATTCCCGTTTCCAACGAAATCCTCAGAGAGCTCCAAATATCCACCTGCAGATTCTACCAAAAGTGTATTTGGAAACTGCTCCATCAAAAGGCATGTTCAGCTCTGTGAGTGAAACTCCATCATCACAAAGAATATTCTGAGAATGCTTCCGTTTGCCTTTTATATGAACTTCCTTCCTGTACTACCGTAGGCCTCAAAGCAGTCCAAATCTCCATTTGCAGATTCTACAAAAAGAGTGATTCCAATCTGCTCTATCAATAGGATTGTTCAACTCCATGAGTTGAATGCCATCCTCACAAAGTAGTTTCTGAGAATGCTTCTATCTGGTTTTTGTGTGAAGATATTTCCTTTTCCACCACAGGCCTCAAAGCCCTCCAAACGTCCACTTGCAGATTCTAGAAAAAGAGTGTTTCATAGCTGCTCTTTCAAAAGGAAAGTTCAACTCTGGGAGTTGAATACAAACATCACAAAATAGTTTCCGAGAATGCTTCTGTTTAGTTTTTATGTGAAGATGATCCCGTTTCCAGTGAAATCTTCAAAGAGGTCCACATATCCTCTTGCAGATTCCAAAGAAAGAGGGTTTCAAAACTGCTCCATCAAAAGGATTGTTCAACTCTGTGAGTTGAATGCAGTCATCGCAGAAAACTTTCTGAGAATGCTTCTGTCTAGGTTTGATGTGAAGATATAGATGTTTCAAACGAAGGCTACAAAGTGGTCAAAATATACACTTGCAGATTCTACTACAAGGGTGTTGCAAACCTGAACTATCAAAGGAAGGTTCAACTCTGTGAGTTGAATACAAACATCACAAAGAATGTTCTGAGTTTGCTTCCGTTCAGTTATGGGAAGTTGATCCCGTTTCCAACGAAATCCTCAGAGAGGTCCAAATATCCCCTTGCAGATTCTACAAAACGTGTGTTTGGAAACTGCTCCATCATAACGAATGTTCAGCTCCCTGAGTTAAACTCCATCGTCACAAAGAATTTTCTGAGAGTGCTACCGTCTGGTTTTTATATGAAGTTCTTTCCTTCACTACCACAGGCCTCAAAGCGGTCCAAATCTCCACTTGCAGATTCTACAAAAAGAGTGTTTGCAAACTGCTCTATCAAAAGGAATGTTCAACTCTGGGAGTTGAATGCAATCATCACAGAGCAGTTTCTGAGAATGCTTCTATGTCGTTTTTAGGAGAAGATATTTCCTTTTCCAACACAGTCCTCCAAGCCCGCTAAATAGTCACTTGCACATTGTAGAAAAAGTGTGTCAAAGCTGCGCTATCAAAGGGAAAGTTCAACTCTGTGAGGTGAATGCAAACATCCCAAAGAAGTTTCTGAGAGTGCTTCCGTTTAGCTTTTAGGTGAAGATTATCCCGTTTCCAACGAAACCTTCAAAGAGGTCCAAATATCCCCTTGCGGATCCCACAGAAAGAGTGTTTCGAAACTGCTGTTTCAAAAGGAATCTTCAACTCTGTGAGTTGAATGCAATCATCGCAAAGAAGTTTCTGACAATGCTTCTCTCTCGTCTTTCTGTGAAGGTAAAGGAAAAGGCTTTCAGGACTTTTCCACCACAGGCCTGAAAGCGCTCCAAATGTCCACTTGCAGATTCTGCCAAAAGAATATTTCAAAACTGCTCTATGAAACGCAATGTTAAACTCTGTGGCTCGAACACAAACATCACAAGGCGGTTTCTGAGAATGATTCAGTTTAGTTTTTCTGTGGAAATATTCCCGTTTCCAAAGAAATCTTCAAAGAGGTCCACGTATCCACTTACAGATTCTACAAAAAGACAGTTTCAAAACTGCTCCATCAAAAGGAGGGTTCAACTGTGTGACTTGAATGCAATCATCACTCAGAAGTTTCTGAGAATGCTTCTCTTTAGTTTTTACGTGAACATATACCCGTTTCGAACGAAGGCCACCCAGTGGTCCAAATATCCACTTGCAGATTCTACAGAAAGAGTGTTTCGAACCTGAACTCTCAAAGGCAGGTTCATCTCTGCGAGTTAAATGCATTCATCATGAAGAACTTTCTCAGAGTGTTTGTGTTTAGTTATGGGAAATTATTCCCGTTTCCAACGAAATCCTCAGGGAGCTCCAAATATCCACCTGCAGATTCTACCAAAAGTGTATTTGGAAACTGCTCCATCAAAAGGCATGTTCAGCTCTGTGAGTGAAACTCCATCATCACAAAGAATATTCTGAGAATGCTTCCGTTTGCCTTTTATATGAACTTCCTTCCTGTACTACCGTAGGCCTCAAAGCAGTCCAAATCTCCATTTGCAGATTCTACAAAAAGAGTGATTCCAATCTGCTCTATCAATAGGATTGTTCAACTCCATGAGTTGAATGCCATCCTCACAAAGTAGTTTCTGAGAATGCTTCTATCTGGTTTTTGTGTGAAGATATTTCCTTTTCCACCACAGGCCTCAAAGCCCTCGAAACGTCCACTTGCAGATTCTCGAAAAAGAGTGTTTCATAGCTGCTCTTTCAAAAGGAAAGTTCAACTCTGGGAGTTGAATACAAACATCACAAAGTAGTTTCCGAGAATGCTTCTGTTTAGTTTTTATTTGAAGATGATCCCGTTTCCAGTGAAATCTTCAAAGAGGTCCACATATCCCCTTGCAGATTCCAAAGAAAGAGGGTTTCAAAACTGCTCCATCAGAAGGATTGTTCAACTCTGTGAGTTGAATGCAGTCATCGCAGAAAACTTTCTGAGAATGCTTCTGTCTAGGTTTGATGTGAAGGTATAGACGTTTCAAATGAAGGCTACAAAGTGGTCAAAATATACACTTGCAGATTCTACTACAAGGGTGTTGCAAACCTGAACTATCAAAGGAAGGTTCAACTCTGTGAGTTGAATACAAACATCACAAAGAATGTTCTGAGTTTGCTTCCGTTCAGTTATGGGAAGTTGATCCCGTTTCCAACGAAATCCTCAGAGAGGTCCAAATATCCCCTTGCAGATTCTACAAAACGTGTGTTTGGAAACTGCTCCATCATAACGAATGTTCAGCTCCCTGAGTTAAACTCCATCGTCACAAAGAATTTTCTGAGAGTGCTACCGTCTGGTTTTTATATGAAGTTCTTTCCTTCACTACCACAGGCCTCAAAGCGGTCCAAATCTCCACTTGCAGATTCTACAAAAAGAGTGTTTGCAAACTGCTCTATCAAAAGGAATGTTCAACTCTGGGAGTTGAATGCAATCATCACAGAGCAGTTTCTGAGAATGCTTCTATGTCGTTTTTAGGAGAAGATATTTCCTTTTCCAACACAGTCCTCCAAGCCCGCTAAATAGCCACTTGCACATTGTAGAAAAAGTGTGTCAAAGCTGCGCTATCAAAGGGAAAGTTCAACTCTGTGAGGTGAATGCAAACATCCCAAAGAAGTTTCTGAGAATGCTTCCGTTTAGCTTTTAGGTGAAGATTATCCCGTTTCCAACGAAACCTTCAAAGAGGTCCAAATATCCCCTTGCGGATCCCACAGAAAGAGTGTTTCGAAACTGCTGTTTCAAAAGGAATCTTCAACTCTGTGAGTTGAATGCAATCATCACAAAGAAGTTTCTGACAATGCTTCTCTCTCGTCTTTCTGTGAAGATAAAGGAAAAGGCTTTCAGGCCTTTTCCACCACAGGCCTGAAAGCGCTCCAAATGTCCACTTGCAGATTCTGCGAAAAGAATATTTCAAAACTGCTCTATGAAAAGCAATGTTAAACTCTGCGGCTCGAACACAAACATCACAAAGCGGTTTCTGAGAATGCTTCAGTTTAGTTTTTCTGTGGAAATATTCCCGTTTCCAAAGAAATCTTCAAAGAGGTCCACGCATCCACTTACAGATTCTACAAAAAGACAGTTTCAAAACTGCTCCATCAAAAGGAGGGTTCAACCGTGTGACTTGAATGCAATCATCACTCAGAAGTTTCTGAGAATGCTTCTCTTTAGTTTTTACGTGAACATATACCCGTTTCGAACGAAGGCCACCCAGTGGTCCAAATATCCACTTGCAGATTCTACAGAAAGAGTGTTTCGAACCTGAACTCTCAAAGGCAGGTTCATCTCTGCGAGTTAAAAGCATTCATCATGAAGAACTTTCTCAGAGTGTTTGTGTTTAGTTATGGGAAATTATTCCCGTTTCCAACGAAATCCTCAGAGAGCTCCAAATATCCACCTGCAGATTCTACCAAAAGTGTATTTGGAAACTGCTCCATCAAAAGGCATGTTCAGCTCTGTGAGTGAAACTCCATCATCACAAAGAATATTCTGAGAATGCTTCCGTTTGCCTTTTATATGAAGTTCCTTCCTGTACTACCGTAGGCCTCAAAGCAGTCCAAATCTCCATTTGCAGATTCTATAAAAAGAGTGATTCCAATCTGCTCTATCAATAGGATTGTTCAACTCCATGAGTTGAATGCCATCCTCACAAAGTAGTTTCTGAGAATGCTTCTATCTGGTTTTTGTGTGAAGATATTTCCTTTTCCACCACAGGCCTCAAAGCCCTCCAAACGTCCACTTGCAGATTCTCGAAAAAGAGTGTTTCATAGCTGCTCTTTCAAAAGGAAAGTTCAACTCTGGGAGTTGAATACAAACATCACAAAGTAGTTTCCGAGAATGCTTCTGTTTAGTTTTTATGTGAAGATGATCCCGTTTCCAGTGAAATCTTCAAAGAGGTCCACATATCCCCTTGCAGATTCCAAAGAAAGAGGGTTTCAAAACTGCTCCATCAGAAGGATTGTTCAACTCTGTGAGTTGAATGCAGTCATCGCAGAAAACTTTCTGAGAAAGCTTCTGTCTAGGTTTGATGTGAAGATATAGACGTTTCAAACGAAGGCTACAAAGTGGTCAAAATATACACTTGCAGATTCTACTACAAGGGTGTTGCAAACCTGAACTATCAAAGGAAGGTTCAACTCTGTGAGTTGAATACAAACATCACAAAGAATGTTCTGAGTTTGCTTCCGTTCAGTTATGGGAAGTTGATCCCGTTTCCAAAGAAATCCTCAGAGAGGTCCAAATATCCCCTCGCAGATTCTACAAAACGTGTGTTTGGAAACTGCTCCATCATAACGAATGTTCAGCTCCCTGAGTTAAACTCCATCGTCACAAAGAATTTTCTGAGAGTGCTACCGTCTGGTTTTTATATGAAGTTCTTTCCTTCACTACCACAGGCCTCAAAGCGGTCCAAATCTCCACTTGCAGATTCTACAAAAAGAGTGTTTGCAAACTGCTCTATCAAAAGGAATGTTCAACTCTGGGAGTTGAATGCAATCATCACAGAGCAGTTTCTGAGAATGCTTCTATGTCGTTTTTAGGAGAAGATATTTCCTTTTCCAACACAGTCCTCCAAGCCCGCTAAATAGCCACTTGCACATTGTAGAAAAAGTGTGTCAAAGCTGCGCTATCAAAGGGAAAGTTCAACTCTGTGAGGTGAATGCAAACATCCCAAAGAAGTTTCTGAGAATGCTTCCGTTTAGCTTTTAGGTGAAGATTATCCCGTTTCCAACGAAACCTTCAAAGAGGTCCAAATATCCCCTTGCGGATCCCACAGAAAGAGTGTTTCGAAACTGCTGTTTCAAAAGGAATCTTCAACTCTGTGAGTTGAATGCAATCATCACAAAGAAGTTTCTGACAATGCTTCTCTCTCGTCTTTCTGTGAAGATAAAGGAAAAGGCTTTCAGGCCTTTGCCACCACAGGCCTGAAAGCGCTCCAAATGTCCACTTGCAGATTCTGCGAAAAGAATATTTCAAAACTGCTCTATGAAAAGCAATGTTAAACTCTGTGGCTGGAACACAAACATCACAAAGCGGTTTCTGAGAATGTTTCAGTTTAGTTTTTCTGTGGAAATATTCCCGTTTCCAAAGAAATCTTCAAAGAGGTCCACGTATCCACTTACAGATTCTACAAAAAGACAGTTTCAAAACTGCTCCATCAAAAGGAGGGTTCAACTGTGTGACTTGAATGCAATCATCACTCAGAAGTTTCTGAGAATGCTTCTCTTTAGTTTTTACGTGAACATATACCCGTTTCGAACGAAGGCCACCCAGTGGTCCAAATATCCACTTGCAGATTCTACAGAAAGAGTGTTTCGAACCTGAACTCTCAAAGGCAGGTTCATCTCTGCGAGTTAAATGCATTCATCATGAAGAACTTTCTCAGAGTGTTTGTGTTTAGTTATGGGAAATTATTCCCGTTTCCAACGAAATCCTCAGAGAGCTCCAAATATCCACCTGCAGATTCTACCAAAAGTGTATTTGGAAACTGCTCCATCAAAAGGCATGTTCAGCTCTGTGAGTGAAACTCCATCATCACAAAGAATATTCTGAGAATGCTTCCGTTTGCCTTTTATATGAAGTTCCTTCATATACGACCGTAGGCCTCAAAGCAGTCCAAATCTCCATTTGCAGATTCTACAAAAAGAGTGATTCCAATCTGCTCTATCAATAGGATTGTTCAACTCCATGAGTTGAATGCCATCCTCACAAAGTAGTTTCTGAGAATGCTTCTATCTGGTTTTTGTGTGAAGATATTTCCTTTTCCACCACAGGCCTCAAAGCCCTCCAAACGTCCACTTGCAGATTCTCGAAAAAGAGTGTTTCATAGCTGCTCTTTCAAAAGGAAAGTTCAACTCTGGGAGTTGAATACAAACATCACAAAGAATGTTCTGAGTTTGCTTCCGTTCAGTTATGGGAAGTTGATCCCGTTTCCAACGAAATCCTCAGAGAGGTCCAAATATCCCCTTGCAGATTCTACAAAACGTGTGTTTGGAAACTGCTCCATCATAACGAATGTTCAGCTCCCTGAGTTAAACTCCATCGTCACAAAGAATTTTCTGAGAGTGCTACCGTCTGGTTTTTATATGAAGTTCTTTCCTTTACTACCACAGGCCTCAAAGCGGTCCAAATCTCCACTGGCAGATTCTACAAAAAGAGTGTTTGCAAACTGCTCTATCAAAAGGAATGTTCAACTCTGGGAGTTTAATGCAATCATCACAGAGCAGTTTCTGAGAATGCTTCTATGTCGTTTTTAGGAGAAGATATTTCCTTTTCCAACACAGTCCTCCAAGCCCGCTAAATAGCCACTTGCACATTGTAGAAAAAGTGTGTCGAAGCTGCGCTATCAAAGGGAAAGTTCAACTCTGTGAGGTGAATGCAAACATCCCAAAGAAGTTTCTGAGAATGCTTCCGTTTAGCTTTTAGGTGAAGATTATCCCGTTTCCAACGAAATCTTCAAAGAGGTCCAAATATCCCCTTGCGGATCCCACAGAAAGAGTGTTTCGAAACTGCTGTTTCAAAAGGAATCTTCAACTCTGTGAGTTGAATGCAATCATCACAAAGAAGTTTCTGACAATGCTTCTCTCTCGTCTTTCTGTGAAGATAAAGGAAAAGGCTTTCAGGCCTTTTCCACCACAGGCCTGAAAGCGCTCCAAATGTCCACTTGCAGATTCTGCCAAAAGAATATTTCAAAACTGCTCTATGAAAAGCAATGTTAAACTCAGCGGCTCGAACACAAACATCACAAAGCAGTTTCTGAGAATGCTTCAGTTTAGTTTTTCTGTGGAAATATTCCCGTTTCCAAAGAAATCTTCAAAGAGGTCCACGTGTCCTCTAACAGATTCTACAAAAAGACAGTTTCAAAACTGCTCAATCAAAAGGAGGGTTCAACCGTGTGACTTGAATGCAATCATCACTCAGAAGTTTCTGAGAATGCTTCTCTTTAGTTTTTACGTGAACATATACCCGTTTCCAACGAAGGCCAGCCAGTGGTCCAAATATCCACTTGCAGATTCTACAGAAAGAGTGTTTCGAACCTGAACTCTCAAAGGCAGGTTCATCTCTGCGAGTTCAATGCATTCATCATGAAGAACTTTGCTCAGAGTGTTTGTGTTTAGGTATGGGAAATTATTCCCGTTTCCAACGAAATTCCTCAGAGAGGTCCAAATATCCACCTGCAGATTCTACCAAAAGTGTATTTGGCAACTGCTTCATCAAAAGGCATGTTCAGCTCTGTGAGTGAAACTCCATCATCACAAAGAATATTCTGAGAATGCTTCCGTTTGCCTTTTATATGAAGTTCCTTCCTGTACTACCGTAGGCCTCAAAGCAGTCCAAATCTCCATTTGCGGATTCTACAAAAAGAATGATTCCAATCTCCTCTATCAATAGGATTGTTCAACTCCATGAGTTGAATGCCATCCTCACAAAGTCGTTTCTGAGAATGCTTCTATCTAGTTTTTATGTGAAGATATTTCCTTTTCCCCACAGGCCTCAAAGCCCTCCAAACGTCCACTTGCAGATTCTCGAAAAAGAGTGTTTCATAGCTGCTCTTTCACAAGGAAAGTTCAACTCTGGGAGTTGAATACAAACATCACAAAGTAGTTTCCGAGAATGCTTCTGTTTAGTTTTTATGTGAAGATGATCCCGTTTCCAGTGAAATCTTCAAAGAGGTCCACATATCCCCTTGCAGATTCCAAAGAAAGAGGGTTTCAAAACTGCTCCATCAGAAGGATTGTTCAACTCTGTGAGTTGAATGCAGTCATCGCAGAAAACTTTCTGAGAATGCTTCTGTCTAGGTTTGATGTGAAGATATAGACGTTTCAAACGAAGGCTACAAAGTGGTCAAAATATACACTTGCAGATTCTACTACAAGGGTGTTGCAAACGTGAACTATCAAAGGAAGGTTCAACTCTGTGAATTGAATACAAACATCACAAAGAATGTTCTGAGTTTGCTTCCGTTCAGTTATGGGAAGTTGATCCCGTTTCCAACGAAATCCTCAGAGAGGTCCAAATATCCCCTCGCAGATTCTACAAAACGTGTGTTTGGAAACTGCTCCATCATAACGAATGTTCAGCTCCCTGAGTTAAACTCCATCGTCACAAAGAATTTTCTGAGAGTGCTACCGTCTGGTTTTTATATGAAGTTCTTTCCTTCACTACCACAGGCCTCAAAGCGGTCCAAATCTCCACTTGCAGATTCTACAAAAAGAGTGTTTGCAAACTGCTCTATCAAAAGGAATGTTCAACTCTGGGAGTTGAATGCAATCATCACAGAGCAGTTTCTGAGAATGCTTCTATGTCGTTTTTAGAAGATATTTCCTTTTCCAACACAGTCCTCCAAGCCCGCTAAATAGCCACTTGCACATTGTAGAAAAAGTGTGTCAAAGCTGCGCTATCAAAGGGAAAGTTCAACTCTGTGAGGTGAATGCAAACATCCCAAAGAAGTTTCTGAGAATGCTTCCGTTTAGCTTTTAGGTGAAGATTATCCCGTTTCCAACGAAACCTTCAAAGAGGTCCAAATATCCCCTTGCGGATCCCACAGAAAGAGTGTTTCGAAACTGCTGTTTCAAAAGGAATCTTCAACTCTGTGAGTTGAATGCAATCATCACAAAGAAGTTTCTGACAATGCTTCTCTCTCGTCTTTCTGTGAAGATAAAGGAAAAGGCTTTCAGGCCTTTTCCACCACAGGCCTGAAAGCGCTCCAAATGTCCACTTGCAGATTCTGCCAAAAGAATATTTCAAAACTGCTCTATGAAAAGCAATGTTAAACTCTGCGGCTCGAACACAAACATCACAAAGCGGTTTCTGAGAATGCTTCAGTTTAGTTTTTCTGTGGAAATATTCCCGTTTCCAAAGAAATCTTCAAAGAGGTCCACGTATCCACTTACAGATTCTACAAAAAGACAGTTTCAAAACTGCTCCATCAAAAGGAGGGTTCAACTGTGTGACTTGAATGCAATCATCACTCAGAAGTTTCTGAGAATGCTTCTCTTTAGTTTTTACGTGAACATATACCCGTTTCGAACGAAGGCCAGCCAGTGGTCCAAATATCCACTTGCAGATTCTACAGAAAGAGTGTTTCGAACCTGAACTCTCAAAGGCAGGTTCATCTCTGCGAGTTAAATGCATTCATCATGAAGAACTTTCTCAGAGTGTTTGTGTTTAGTTATGGGAAATTATTCCCGTTTCCAACGAAATCCTCAGAGAGCTCCAAATATCCACCTGCAGATTCTACCAAAAGTGTATTTGGAAACTGCTCCATCAAAAGGCATGTTCAGCTCTGTGAGTGAAACTCCATCATCACAAAGAATATTCTGAGAATGCTTCCGTTTGCCTTTTATATGAAGTTCCTTCCTATACGACCGTAGGCCTCAAAGCAGTCCAAATCTCCATTTGCAGATTCTACAAAAAGAGTGATTCCAATCTGCTCTATCAATAGGATTGTTCAACTCCATGAGTTGAATGCCATCCTCACAAAGTCGTTTCTGAGAATGCTTCTATCTAGTTTTTATGTGAAGATATTTCCTTTTCCACCACAGGCCTCAAAGCCCTCCAAACGTCCACTTGCAGATTCTCGAAAAAGAGTGTTTCATAGCTGCTCTTTCAAAAGGAAAGTTCAACTCTGGGAGTTGAATACAAACATCACAAAGTAGTTTCCGAGAATGCTTCTGTTTAGTTTTTATGTGAAGATGATCCCGTTTCCAGTGAAATCTTCAAAGAGGTCCACATATCCCCTTGCAGATTCCAAAGAAAGAGGGTTTCAAAACTGCTCCATCAGAAGGATTGTTCAACTCTGTGAGTTGAATGCAGTCATCGCAGAAAACTTTCTGAGAATGCTTCTGTCTAGGTTTGATGTGAAGATATAGACGTTTCAAACGAAGGCTACAAAGTGGTCAAAATATACACTTGCAGATTCTACTACAAGGGTG
Source organism: Homo sapiens (assembly GCF_000001405.40). NCBI lineage: Eukaryota > Metazoa > Chordata > Mammalia > Primates > Hominidae > Homo > Homo sapiens. Next base: position 59,142,677 of record NC_000023.11, on the reverse strand, counting down.
TTGCAAACCTGAACTATCAAAGGAAGGTTCAACTCTGTGGGTTGAATACAAACATCACAAAGAATGTTCTGAGTTTGCTTCCGTTCAGTTATGGGAAGTTGATCCCGTTTCCAACGAAATCCTCAGAGAGGTCCAAATATCCCCTTGCAGATTCTACAAAACGTGTGTTTGGAAACTGCTCCATCATAACGAATGTTCAGCTCCCTGAGTTAAACTCCATCGTCACAAAGAATTTTCTGAGAGTGCTACCGTCTGGTTTTTATATGAAGTTCTTTCCTTCACTACCACAGACCTCAAAGCGGTCCAAATCTCCACTTGCAGATTCTACAAAAAGAGTGTTTGCAAACTGCTCTATCAAAAGGAATGTTCAACTCTGGGAGTTGAATGCAATCATCACAGAGCAGTTTCTGAGAATGCTTCTATGTCGTTTTTAGGAGAAGATATTTCCTTTTCCAACACAGTCTTCCAAGCCCGCTAAATAGCCACTTGCACATTGCAGAAAAAGTGTGTCAAAGCTGCGCTATCAAAGGGAAAGTTCAACTCTGTGAGGTGAATGCAAACATCCCAAAGAAGTTTCTGAGAATGCTTCCGTTTAGCTTTTAGGTGAAGATTATCCCGTTTCCAACGAAACCTTCAAAGAGGTCCAAATATCCCCTTGCGGATCCCACAGAAAGAGTGTTTCGAAACTGCTGTTTCAAAAGGAATCTTCAACTCTGTGAGTTGAATGCAATCATCACAAAGAAGTTTCTGACAATGCTTCTCTCTCGTCTTTCTGTGAAGATAAAGGAAAAGGCTTTCAGGCCTTTTCCACCACAGGCCTGAAAGCGCTCCAAATGTCCACTTGCAGATTCTGCGAAAAGAATATTTCAAAACTGCTCTATGAAAAGCAATGTTAAACTCTGTGGCTCGAACACAAACATCACAAAGCAGTTTCTGAGAATGCTTCAGTTTAGTTTTTCTGTGGAAATATTCCCGTTTCCAAAGAAATCTTCAAAGAGGTCCACGTATCCACTTACAGATTCTACAAAAAGACAGTTTCAAAACTGCTCCATCAAAAGGAGGGTTCAACTGTGTGACTTGAATGCAATCATCACTCAGAAGTTTCTGAGAATGCTTCTCTTTAGTTTTTACGTGAACATATACCCGTTTCGAACGAAGGCCACCCAGTGGTCCAAATATCCACTTGCAGATTATACAGAAAGAGTGTTTCGAACCTGAACTCTCAAAGGCAGGTTCATCTCTGCAAGTTAAATGCATTCATCATGAAGAACTTTCTCAGAGTGTTTGTGTTTAGTTATGGGAAATTATTCCCGTTTCCAACGAAATCCTCAGAGAGCTCCAAATATCCACCTGCTGATTCTACCAAAAGTGTATTTGGAAACTGCTCCATCAAAAGGCATGTTCAGGTCTGTGAGTGAAACTCCATCATCACAAAGAATATTCTGAGAATGCTTCCGTTTGCCTTTTATATGAAGTTCCTTCCTATACGACCGTAGGCCTCAAAGCAGTCCAAATCTCCATTTGCAGATTCTACAAAAAGAGTGATTCCAATCTGCTCTATCAATAGGATTGTTCAACTCCATGAGTTGAATGCCATCCTCACAAAGTAGTTTCTGAGAATGCTTCTATCTAGTTTTATGTGAAGATATTTCCTTTTCCACCACAGGCCTCAAAGCCCTCCAAACGTCCACTTGCAGATTCTCGAAAAAGAGTGTTTCATAGCTGCTCTTTCAAAAGGAAAGTTCAACTCTGGGAGTTGAATACAAACATCACAAAGTAGTTTCCGAGAATGCTTCTGTTTAGTTCTTATGTGAAGATGATCCCGTTTCCAGTGAAATCTTCAAAGAGGTCCACATATCCCCTTGCAGATTCCAAAGAAAGAGGGTTTCAAAACTGCTCCATCAAAAGGATTGTTCAACTCTGTGAGTTGAATGCAGTCATCGCAGAAAACTTTCTGAGAATGCTTCTGTCTAGGTTTGATGTGAAGATATAGACGTTTCAAACGAAGGCTACAAAGTGGTCAAAATATACACTTGCAGATTCTACTACAAGGGTGTTGCAAACCTGAACTATCAAAGGAAGGTTCAACTCTGTGAGTTGAATACAAACATCACAAAGAATGTTCTGAGTTTGCTTCCGTTCAGTTATGGGAAGTTGATCCCGTTTCCAACGAAATCCTCAGAGAGGTCCAAATATCCCCTTGCAGATTCTACAAAACGTGTGTTTGGAAACTGCTCCATCATAACGAATGTTCAGCTCCCTGAGTTAAACTCCATCGTCACAAAGAATTTTCTGAGAGTGCTACCGTCTGGTTTTTATATGAAGCTCTTTCCTTCACTACCACAGGCCTCAAAGCGGTCCAAATCTCCACTTGCAGATTCTACAAAAAGAGTGTTTGCAAACTGCTCTATCAAAAGGAATGTTCAACTCTGGGAGTTGAATGCAATCATCACAGAGCAGTTTCTGAGAATGCTTCTATGTCGTTTTTAGGAGAAGATATTTCCTTTTCCAACACAGTCCTCCAAGCCCGCTAAATATCCACTTGCACATTGTAGAAAAAGTGTGTCGAAGCTGCGCTATCAAAGGGAAAATTCAACTCTCTGAGGTGAATGCAAACATCCAAAAGAAGTTTCTGAGAATGCTTCCCGTTTAGCTTTTAGGTGAGGATTATCCCGTTTCCAACGAAACCTTCAAAGAGGTCCAAATATCCCCTTGCGGATCCCACAGAAAGAGTGTTTCGAAACTGCTGTTTCAAAAGGAATCTTCAACTCTGTGAGTTGAATGCAATCATCACAAAGAAGTTTCTGACAATGCTTCTCTCTCGTCTTTCTGTGAAGATAAAGGAAAAGGCTTTCAGGCCTTTGCCACCACAGGCCTGAAAGCGGTCCAAATGTCCACTTGCAGATTCTGCCAAAAGAATATTTCAAAACTGCTCTATGAAAAGCAATGTTAAACTCTGCGGCTCGAACACAAACATCACAAAGCGGTTTCTGAGAATGCTTCAGTTTAGTTTTTCTGTGGAAATATTCCCGTTTTCAAAGAAATCTTCAAAGAGGTCCACGTATCCACTTACAGATTCTACAAAAAGACAGTTTCAAAACTGCTCCATCAAAAGGAGGGTTCAACTGTGTGACTTGAATGCAATCATCACTCAGAAGTTTCTGAGAATGCTTCTCTTTAGTTTTTACGTGAACATATACCCGTTTCGAACGAAGGCCACCCAGTGGTCCAAATATCCACTTGCAGATTCTACAGAAAGAGTGTTTCGAACCTGAACTCTCAAAGGCAGGTTCATCTCTGCAAGTTAAATGCATTCATCATGAAGAACTTTCTCAGAGTGTTTGTGTTTAGTTATGGGAAATTATTCCCGTTTCCAACGAAATCCTCAGAGAGCTCCAAATATCCACCTGCTGATTCTACCAAAAGTGTATTTGGAAACTGCTCCATCAAAAGGCATGTTCAGCTCTGTGAGTGAAACTCCATCATCACAAAGAATATTCTGAGAATGCTTCCGTTTGCCTTTTATATGAAGTTCCTTCCTATACGACCGTAGGCCTCAAAGCAGTCCAAATCTCCATTTGCAGATTCTACAAAAAGAGTGATTCCAATCTGCTCTATCAATAGGATTGTTCAACTCCATGAGTTGAATGCCATCCTCACAAAGTAGTTTCTGAGAATGCTTCTATCTAGTTTTATGTGAAGATATTTCCTTTTCCACCACAGGCCTCCAAGCCCTCCAAACGTCCACTTGCAGATTCTCGAAAAAGAGTGTTTCATAGCTGCTCTTTCAAAAGGAAAGTTCAACTCTGGGAGTTGAATACAAACATCACAAAGTAGTTTCCGAGAATGCTTCTGTTTAGTTTTTATGTGAAGATGATCCCGTTTCCAGTGAAATCTTCAAAGAGGTCCACATATCCCCTTGCAGATTCCAAAGAAAGAGGGTTTCAAAACTGCTCCATCAGAAGGATTGTTCAACTCTGTGAGTTGAATGCAGTCATCGCAGAAAACTTTCTGAGAATGCTTCTGTCTAGGTTTGATGTGAAGATATAGACGTTTCAAATGAAGGCTACAAAGTGGTCAAAATATACACTTGCAGATTCTACTACAAGGGTGTTGCAAACCTGAACTATCAAAGGAAGGTTCAACTCTGTGAGTTGAATACAAACATCACAAAGAATGTTCTGAGTTTGCTTCCGTTCAGTTATGGGAAGTTGATCCCGTTTCCAACGAAATCCTCAGAGAGGTCCAAATATCCCCTTGCAGATTCTACAAAACGTGTGTTTGGAAACTGCTCCATCATAACGAATGTTCAGCTCCCTGAGTTAAACTCCATCGTCACAAAGAATTTTCTGAGAGTGCTACCGTCTGGTTTTTATATGAAGTTCTTTCCTTCACTACCACAGGCCTCAAAGCGGTCCAAATCTCCACTTGCAGATTCTACAAAAAGAGAGTTTGCAAACTGCTCTATCAAAAGGAATGTTCAACTCTGGGAGTTGAATGCAATCATCACAGAGCAGTTTCTGAGAATGCTTCTATGTCGTTTTTAGGAGAAGATATTTCCTTTTCCAACACAGTCCTCCAAGCCCGCTAAATAGCCACTTGCACATTGTAGAAAAAGTGTGTCAAAGCTGCGCTATCAAAGGGAAAGTTCAACTCTGTGAGGTGAATGCAAACATCCCAAAGAAGTTTCTGAGAATGCTTCCGTTTAGCTTTTAGGTGAAGATTATCCCGTTTCCAACGAAACCTTCAAAGAGGTCCAAATATCCCCTTGCGGATCCCACAGAAAGAGTGTTTCGAAACTGCTGTTTCAAAAGGAATCTTCAACTCTGTGAGTTGAATGCAATCATCACAAAGAAGTTTCTGACAATGCTTCTCTCTCGTCTTTCTGTGAAGATAAAGGAAAAGGCTTTCAGGCCTTTTCCACCACAGGCCTGAAAGCGCTCCAAATGTCCACTTGCAGATTCTGCCAAAAGAATATTTCAAAACTGCTCTATGAAAAGCAATGTTAAACTCTGTGGCTGGAACACAAACATCACAAAGCGGTTTCTGAGAATGTTTCAGTTTAGTTTTTCTGTGGAAATATTCCCGTTTCCAAAGAAATCTTCAAAGAGGTCCACGTATCCACTTACAGATTCTACAAAAAGACAGTTTCAAAACTGCTCCATCAAAAGGAGGGTTCAACTGTGTGACTTGAATGCAATCATCACTCAGAAGTTTCTGAGAATGCTTCTCTTTAGTTTTTACGTGAACATATACCCGTTTCGAACGAAGGCCACCCAGTGGTCCAAATATCCACTTGCAGATTATACAGAAAGAGTGTTTCGAACCTGAACTCTCAAAGGCAGGTTCATCTCTGCGAGTTAAATGCATTCATCATGAAGAACTTTCTCAGAGTGTTTGTGTTTAGTTATGGGAAATTATTCCCGTTTCCAACGAAATCCTCAGAGAGCTGCAAATATCCACCTGCAGATTCTACCAAAAGTGTATTTGGAAACTGCTCCATCAAAAGGCATGTTCAGCTCTGTGAGTGAAACTCCATCATCACAACGAATATTCTGAGAATGCTTCCGTTTACCTTTTATATGAAGTTCCTTCCTATACGACCGTAGGCCTCAAAGCAGTCCAAATCTCCATTTGCAGATTCTACAAAAAGAGTGATTCCAATCTGCTCTATCAATAGGATTGTTCAACTCCATGAGTTGAATGCCATCCTCACAAAGTAGTTTCTGAGAATGCTTCTATCTAGTTTTTATGTGAAGATATTTCCTTTTCCACCACAGGCCTCAAAGCCCTCCAAACGTCCACTTGCAGATTCTCGAAAAAGAGTGTTTCATAGCTGCTCTTTCAAAAGGAAAGTTCAACTCTGGGAGTTGAATACAAACATCACAAAGTAGTTTCCGAGAATGCTTCTGTTTAGTTTTTATGTGAAGATGATCCCGTTTCCAGTGAAATCTTCAAAGAGGTCCACATATCCCCTTGCAGATTCCAAAGAAAGAGGGTTTCAAAACTGCTCCATCAAAAGGATTGTTCAACTCTGTGAGTTGAATGCAGTCATCGCAGAAAACTTTCTGAGAATGCTTCTGTCTAGGTTTGATGTGAAGATATAGACGTTTCAAATGAAGGCTACAAAGTGGTCAAAATATACACTTGCAGATTCTACTACAAGGGTGTTGCAAACCTGAACTATCAAAGGAAGGTTCAACTCTGTGAGTTGAATACAAACATCACAAAGAATGTTCTGAGTTTGCTTCCGTTCAGTTATGGGAAGTTGATCCCGTTTCCAACGAAATCCTCAGAGAGGTCCAAATATCCCCTTGCAGATTCTACAAAACGTGTGTTTGGAAACTGCTCCATCATAACGAATGTTCAGCTCCCTGAGTTAAACTCCATCGTCACAAAGAATTTTCTGAGAGTGCTACCGTCTGGTTTTTATATGAAGTTCTTTCCTTCACTACCACAGGCCTCAAAGCGGTCCAAATCTCCACTTGCAGATTCTACAAAAAGAGTGTTTGCAAACTGCTCTATCAAAAGGAATGTTCAACTCTGGGAGTTGAATGCAATCATCACAGAGCAGTTTCTGAGAATGCTTCTATGTCGTTTTTAGGAGAAGATATTTCCTTTTCCAACACAGTCCTCCAAGCCCGCTAAATAGCCACTTGCACATTGTAGAAAAAGTGTGTCAAAGCTGCGCTATCAAAGGGAAAGTTCAACTCTGTGAGGTGAATGCAAACATCCCAAAGAAGTTTCTGAGAATGCTTCCGTTTAGCTTTTAGGTGAAGATTATCCCGTTTCCAACGAAACCTTCAAAGAGGTCCAAATATCCCCTTGCGGATCCCACAGAAAGAGTGTTTCGAAACTGCTGTTTCAAAAGGAATCTTCAACTCTGTGAGTTGAATGCAATCATCACAAAGAAGTTTCTGACAATGCTTCTCTCTCGTCTTTCTGTGAAGATAAAGGAAAAGGCTTTCAGGCCTTTTCCACCACAGGCCTGAAAGCGCTCCAAATGTCCACTTGCAGATTCTGCCAAAAGAATATTTCAAAACTGCTCTATGAAAAGCAATGTTAAACTCTGTGGCTGGAACACAAACATCACAAAGCGGTTTCTGAGAATGTTTCAGTTTAGTTTTTCTGTGGAAATATTCCCGTTTCCAAAGAAATCTTCAAAGAGGTCCACGTATCCACTTACAGATTCTACAAAAAGACAGTTTCAAAACTGCTCCATCAAAAGGAGGGTTCAACTGTGTGACTTGAATGCAATCATCACTCAGAAGTTTCTGAGAATGCTTCTCTTTAGTTTTTACGTGAACATATACCCGTTTCGAACGAAGGCCACCCAGTGGTCCAAATATCCACTTGCAGATTATACAGAAAGAGTGTTTCGAACCTGAACTCTCAAAGGCAGGTTCATCTCTGCGAGTTAAATGCATTCATCATGAAGAACTTTCTCAGAGTGTTTGTGTTTAGTTATGGGAAATTATTCCCGTTTCCAACGAAATCCTCAGAGAGCTCCAAATATCCACCTGCAGATTCTACCAAAAGTGTATTTGGAAACTGCTCCATCAAAAGGCATGTTCAGCTCTGTGAGTGAAACTCCATCATCACAAAGAATATTCTGAGAATGCTTCCGTTTGCCTTTTATATGAAGTTCCTTCCTATACGACCGTAGGCCTCAAAGCAGTCCAAATCTCCATTTGCAGATTCTACAAAAAGAGTGATTCCAATCTGCTCTATCAATAGGATTGTTCAACTCCATGAGTTGAATGCCATCCTCACAAAGTCGTTTCTGAGAATGCTTCTATCTAGTTTTTATGTGAAGATATTTCCTTTTCCACCACAGGCCTCAAAGCCCTCCAAACGTCCACTTGCAGATTCTCGAAAAAGAGTGTTTCATAGCTGCTCTTTCAAAAGGAAAGTTCAACTCTGGGAGTTGAATACAAACATCACAAAGTAGTTTCCGAGAATGCTTCTGTTTAGTTCTTATGTGAAGATGATCCCGTTTCCAGTGAAATCTTCAAAGAGGTCCACATATCCCCTTGCAGATTCCAAAGAAAGAGGGTTTCAAAACTGCTCCATCAAAAGGATTGTTCAACTCTGTGAGTTGAATGCAGTCATCGCAGAAAACTTTCTGAGAATGCTTCTGTCTAGGTTTGAGGTGAAGATATAGACGTTTCAAACGAAGGCTACAAAGTGGTCAAAATATACACTTGCAGATTCTACTACAAGGGTGTTGCAAACCTCAACTATCAAAGGAAGGTTCAACTCTGTGAGTTGAATACAAACATCACAAAGAATGTTCTGAGTTTGCTTCCGTTCAGTTATGGGAAGTTGATCCCATTTCCAACGAAATCCTCAGAGAGGTCCAAATATCCCCTTGCAGATTCTACAAAACGTGTGTTTGGAAACTGCTCCATCATAAAGAATGTTCAGCTCTCTGAGTTTAACTCCATCGTCACAAAGAATTTTCTGAGAGTGCTACCGTCTGGTTTTTATATGAAGTTCTTTCCTTTACTACCACAGGCCTCAAAGCGGTCCAAATCTCCACTTGCAGATTCTACAAAAACAGTGTTTGCAAACTGCTCTATCAAAAGGAATGTTCAACTCTGGGAGTTGAATGCAATCATCACAGAGCAGTTTCTGAGAATGCTTCTATGTCGTTTTTAGGAGAAGATATTTCCTTTTCCAACACAGTCCTCCAAGCCCGCTAAATATCCACTTGCACATTGTAGAAAAAGTGTGTCGAAGCTGCGCTATCAAAGGGAAAGTTCAACTCTGTGAGGTGAATGCAAACATCCCAAAGAAGTTTCTGAGAATGCTTCCGTTTAGCTTTTAGGTGAAGATTATCCCGTTTCCAACGAAACCTTCAAAGAGGTCCAAATATCCCCTTGCGGATCCCACAGAAAGAGTGTTTCGAAACTGCTGTTTCAAAAGGAATCTTCAACTCTGTGAGTTGAATGCAATCATCACAAAGAAGTTTCTGACAATGCTTCTCTCTCTCGTCTTTCTGTGAAGATAAAGGAAAAGGCTTTCAGGCCTTTTCCACCACAGGCCTGAAAGCGCTCCAAATGTCCACTTGCAGATTCTGCGAAAAGAATATTTCAAAACTGCTCTATGAAAAGCAAAGTTAAACTCTGTGGCTCGAACACAAACATCACAAAGCGGTTTCTGAGAATGCTTCAGTTTAGTTTTTCTGTGGAAATATTCCCGTTTCCAAAGAAATCTTCAAAGAGGTCCACGTATCCACTTACAGATTCTACAAAAAGACAGTTTCAAAACTGCTCCATCAAAAGGAGGGTTCAACCGTGTGACTTGAATGCAATCATCACTCAGAAGTTTCTGAGAATGCTTCTCTTTAGTTTTTACGTGAACATATACCCGTTTCGAACGAAGGCCAGCCAGTGGTCCAAATATCCACTTGCAGATTCTACAGAAAGAGTGTTTCGAACCTGAACTCTCAAAGGCAGGTTCATCTCTGCGAGTTAAATGCATTCATCATGAAGAACTTTCTCAGAGTGTTTGTGTTTAGTTATGGGAAATTATTCCCGTTTCCAACGAAATCCTCAGAGAGCTCCAAATATCCACCTGCAGATTCTACCAAAAGTGTATTTGGAAACTGCTCCCATCTCAAAAGGCATGTTCAGCTCTGTGAGTGAAACTCCATCATCACAAAGAATATTCTGAGAATGCTTCCGTTTGCCTTTTATATGAACTTCCTTCCTGTACTACCGTAGGCCTCAAAGCAGTCCAAATCTCCATTTGCAGATTCTACAAAAAGAGTGATTCCAATCTTCTCTATCAATAGGATTGTTCAACTCCATGAGTTGAATGCCATCCTCACAAAGTAGTTTCTGAGAATGCTTCTATCTGGTTTTTGTGTGAAGATATTTCCTTTTCCACCACAGGCCTCAAAGCCCTCCAAACGTCCACTTGCAGATTCTCGAAAAAGAGTGTTTCATAGCTGCTCTTTCAAAAGGAAAGTTCAACTCTGGGAGTTGAATACAAACATCACAAAGTAGTTTCCGAGAATGCTTCTGTTTAGTTTTTATGTGAAGATGATCCCGTTTCCAGTGAAATCTTCAAAGAGGTCCACATATCCCCTTGCAGATTCCAAAGAAAGAGGGTTTCAAAACTGCTCCATCAGAAGGATTGTTCAACTCTGTGAGTTGAATGCAGTCATCGCAGAAAACTTTCTGAGAATGCTTCTGTCTAGGTTTGATGTGAAGATATAGACGTTTCAAACGAAGGCTACAAAGTGGTCAAAATATACACTTGCAGATTCTACTACAAGGGTGTTGCAAACCTGAACTATCAAAGGAAGGTTCAACTCTGTGAGTTGAATACAAACATCACAAGGAACGTTCTGAGTTTGCTTCCGTTCAGTTATGGGAAGTTGATCCCGTTTCCAACGAAATCCTCAGAGAGGTCCAAATATCCCCTTGCAGATTCTACAAAACGTGTGTTTGGAAACTGCTCCATCATAACGAATGTTCAGCTCCCTGAGTTAAACTCCATCGTCACAAAGAATTTTCTGAGAGTGCTACCGTCTGGTTTTTATATGAAGTTCTTTCCTTCACTACCACAGGCCTCAAAGCGGTCCAAATCTCCACTTGCAGATTCTACAAAAAGAGTGTTTGCAAACTGCTCTATCAAAAGGAATGTTCAACTCTGGGAGTTGAATGCAATCATCACAGAGCAGTTTCTGAGAATGCTTCTATGTCGTTTTTAGGAGAAGATATTTCCTTTTCCAACACAGTCCTCCAAGCCCGCTAAATAGCCACTTGCACATTGTAGAAAAAGTGTGTCAAAGCTGCGCTATCAAAGGGAAAGTTCAACTCTGTGAGGTGAATGCAAACATCCCAAAGAAGTTTCTGAGAATGCTTCCGTTTAGCTTTTAGGTGAAGATTATCCCGTTTCCAACGAAACCTTCAAAGAGGTCCAAATATCCCCTTGCGGATCCCACAGAAAGAGTGTTTCGAAACTGCTGTTTCAAAAGGAATCTTCAACTCTGTGAGTTGAATGCAATCATCACAAAGAAGTTTCTGACAATGCTTCTCTCTCGTCTTTCTGTGAAGATAAAGGAAAAGGCTTTCAGGCCTTTTCCACCACAGGCCTGAAAGCGCTCCAAATGTCCACTTGCAGATTCTGCCAAAAGAATATTTCAAAACTGCTCTATGAAAAGCAACGTTAAACTCTGTCGCTCGAACACCAACATCACAAAGCAGTTTCTGAGAATGCTTCAGTTTAGTTTTTCTGTGGAAATATTCCCGTTTCCAAAGAAATCTTCAAAGAGGTCCACGTATCCACTTACAGATTCTACAAAAAGACAGTTTCAAAACTGCTCCATCAAAAGGAGGGTTCAACTGTGTGACTTGAATGCAATCATCACTCAGAAGTTTCTGAGAATGCTTCTCTTTAGTTTTTACGTGAACATATACCCGTTTCGAACGAACGCCACCCAGTGGTCCAAATATCCACTTGCAGATTCTACAGAAAGAGTGTTTCGAACCTGAACTCTCAAAGGCAGGTTCATCTCTGCGAGTTAAATGCATTCATCATGAAGAACTTTCTCAGAGTGTTTGTGTTTAGTTATGGGAAATTATTCCCGTTTCCAACGAAATCCTCAGAGAGCTCCAAATATCCACCTGCAGATTCTACCAAAAGTGTATTTGGAAACTGCTCCATCAAAAGGCATGTTCAGCTCTGTGAGTGAAACTCCATCATCACAAAGAATATTCTGAGAATGCTTCCGTTTGCCTTTTATCTGAAGTTCCTTCCTATACGACCGTAGGCCTCAAAGCAGTCCAAATCTCCATTTGCAGATTCTACAAAAAGAGTGATTCCAATCTGCTCTATCAATAGGATTGTTCAACTCCATGAGTTGAATGCCGTCCTCACAAAGTCGTTTCTGAGAATGCTTCTATCTAGTTTTTATGTGAAGATATTTCCTTTTCCACCACAGGCCTCAAAGCCCTCCAAACGTCCACTTGCAGATTCTCGAAAAAGAGTGTTTCATAGCTGCTCTTTCAAAAGGAAAGTTCAACTCTGGGAGTTGAATACAAACATCACAAAGTAGTTTCCGAGAATGCTTCTGTTTAGTTTTTATGTGAAGATGATCCCGTTTCCAGTGAAATCTTCAAAGAGGTCCACATATCCCCTTGCAGATTCCAAAGAAAGAGGGTTTCAAAACTGCTCCATCAGAAGGATTGTTCAACTCTGTGAGTTGAATGCAGTCATCGCAGAAAACTTTCTGAGAATGCTTCTGTCTAGGTTTGATGTGAAGATATAGACGTTTCAAACGAAGGCTACAAAGTGTTCAAAATATACACTTGCAGATTCTACTACAAGGGTGTTGCAAACCTGAACTATCAAAGGAAGGTTCAACTCTGTGAGTTGAATACAAACATCACAAAGAATGTTCTGAGTTTGCTTCCGTTCAGTTATGGGAAGTTGATCCCGTTTCCAACGAAATCCTCAGAGAGGTCCAAATATCCCCTTGCAGATTCTACAAAACGTGTGTTTGGAAACTGCTCCATCATAACGAATGTTCAGCTCCCTGAGTTAAACTCCATCGTCACAAAGAATTTTCTGAGAGTGCTACCGTCTGGTTTTTATATGAAGCTCTTTCCTTCACTACCACAGGCCTCAAAGCGGTCCAAATCTCCACTTGCAGATTCTACAAAAAGAGTGTTTGCAAACTGCTCTATCAAAAGGAATGTTCAACTCTGGGAGTTGAATGCAATCATCACAGAGCAGTTTCTGAGAATGCTTCTATGTCGTTTTTAGGAGAAGATATTTCCTTTTCCAACACAGTCCTCCAAGCCCGCTAAATAGCCACTTGCACATTGTAGAAAAAGTGTGTCAAAGCTGCGCTATCAAAGGGAAAGTTCAACTCTGTGAGGTGAATGCAAACATCCCAAAGAAGTTTCTGAGAATGCTTCCGTTTAGCTTTTAGGTGAAGATTATCCCGTTTCCAACGAAACCTTCAAAGAGGTCCAAATATCCCCTTGCGGATCCCACAGAAAGAGTGTTTCGAAACTGCTGTTTCAAAAGGAATCTTCAACTCTGTGAGTTGAATGCAATCATCACAAAGAAGTTTCTGACAATGCTTCTCTCTCGCCTTTCTGTGAAGATAAAGGAAAAGGCTTTCAGGCCTGTTCCACCACAGGCCTGAAAGCGCTCCAAATGTCCACTTGCAGATTCTGCGAAAAGAATATTTCAAAACTGCTCTATGAAAAGCAATGTTAAACTCTGTGGCTGGAACACAAACATCACAAAGCGGTTTCTGAGAATGTTTCAGTTTAGTTTTTCTGTGGAAATATTCCCGTTTCCAAAGAAATCTTCAAAGAGGTCCACGTATCCACTTACAGATTCTACAAAAAGACAGTTTCAAAACTGCTCCATCAAAAGGAGGGTTCAACTGTGTGACTTGAATGCAATCATCACTCAGAAGTTTCTGAGAATGCTTCTCTTTAGTTTTTAAGTGAACATATACCCGTTTCGAACGAAGGCCACCCAGTGGTCCAAATATCCACTTGCAGATTCTACAGAAAGAGTGTTTCGAACCTGAACTCTCAAAGGCAGGTTCATCTCTGCGAGTTAAATGCATTCATCATGAAGAACTTTCTCAGAGTGTTTGTGTTTAGTTATGGGAAATTATTCCCGTTTCCAACGAAATCCTCAGAGAGCTCCAAATATCCACCTGCAGATTCTACCAAAAGTGTATTTGGAAACTGCTCCATCAAAAGGCACGTTCAGCTCTGTGAGTGAAACTCCATCATCACAAAGAATATTCTGAGAATGCTTCCGTTTGCCTTTTATCTGAAGTTCCTTCCTATACGACCGTAGGCCTCAAAGCAGTCCAAATCTCCATTTGCAGATTCTACAAAAAGAGTGATTCCAATCTGCTCTATCAATAGGATTGTTCAACTCCTTGAGTTGAATGCCATCCTCACAAAGTAGTTTCTGAGAATGCTTCTATCTAGTTTTTATGTGAAGATATTTCCTTTTCCACCACAGGCCTCAAAGCCCTCCAAACGTCCACTTGCAGATTCTCGAAAAAGAGTGTTTCATAGCTGCTCTTTCAAAAGGAAAGTTCAACTCTGGGAGTTGAATACAAACATCACAAAGTAGTTTCCGAGAATGCTTCTGTTTAGTTTTTATGTGAAGATGATCCCGTTTCCAGTGAAATCTTCAAAGAGGTCCACATATCCCCTTGCAGATTCCAAAGAAAGAGGGTTTCAAAACTGCTCCATCAGAAGGATTGTTCAACTCTGTGAGTTGAATGCAGTCATCACAGAAAACTTTCTGAGAATGCTTCTGTCTAGGTTTGATGTGAAGATATAGACGTTTCAAATGAAGGCTACAAAGTGGTCAAAATATACACTTGCAGATTCTACTACAAGGGTGTTGCAAACCTGAACTATCAAAGGAAGGTTCAACTCTGTGAGTTGAATACAAACATCACAAAGAATGTTCTGAGTTTGCTTCCGTTCAGTTATGGGAAGTTGATCCCGTTTCCAACGAAATCCTCAGAGAGGTCCAAATATCCCCTTGCAGATTCTACAAAACGTGTGTTTGGAAACTGCTCCATCATAACGAATGTTCAGCTCCCTGAGTTAAACTCCATCGTCACAAAGAATTTTCTGAAAGTGCTACCGTCTGGTTTTTATATGAAGTTCTTTCCTTCACTACCACAGGCCTCAAAGCGGTCCAAATCTCCACTTGCAGATTCTACAAAAAGAGTGTTTGCAAACTGCTCTATCAAAAGGAATGTTCAACTCTGGGAGTTGAATGCAATCATCACAGAGCAGTTTCTGAGAATGCTTCTATGTCGTTTTTAGGAGAAGATATTTCCTTTTCCAACACAGTCCTCCAAGCCCGCTAAATAGCCACTTGCACATTGAAGAAAAAGTGTGTCAAAGCTGCGCTATCAAAGGGAAAGTTCAACTCTGTGAGGTGAATGCAAACATCCCAAAGAAGTTTCTGAGAATGCTTCCGTTTAGCTTTTAGGTGAAGATTATCCCGTTTCCAACGAAACCTTCAAAGAGGTCCAAATATCCCCTTGCGGATCCCACAGAAAGAGTGTTTCGAAACTGCTGTTTCAAAAGGAATCTTCAACTCTGTGAGTTGAATGCAATCATCACAAAGAAGTTTCTGACAATGCTTCTCTCTCGTCTTTCTGTGAAGATAAAGGAAAAGGCTTTCAGGCCTTTTCCACCACAGGCCTGAAAGCGCTCCAAATGTCCACTTGCAGATTCTGCCAAAAGAATATTTCAAAACTGCTCTATGAAAAGCAATGTTAAACTCTGTGGCTGGAACACAAACATCACAAAGCGGTTTCTGAGAATGTTTCAGTTTAGTTTTTTTGTGGAAATATTCCCGTTTCCAAAGAAATCTTCAAAGAGGTCCACGTATCCACTTACAGATTCTACAAAAAGACAGTTTCAAAACTGCTCCATCAAAAGGAGGGTTCAACTGTGTGACTTGAATGCAATCATCACTCAGAAGTTTCTGAGAATGCTTCTCTTTAGTTTTTACGTGAACATATACCCGTTTCGAACGAAGGCCACCCAGTGGTCCAAATATCCACTTGCAGATTATACAGAAAGAGTGTTTCGAACCTGAACTCTCAAAGGCAGGTTCATCTCTGCGAGTTAAATGCATTCATCATGAAGAACTTTCTCAGAGTGTTTGTGCTTAGTTATGGGAAATTATTCCCGTTTCCAACGAAATCCTCAGAGTGGTCCAAATATCCACCTGCAGATTCTACCAAAAGTGTATTTGGAAACTGCTCCATCAAAAGGCATGTTCAGCTCTGTGAGTGAAACTCCATCATCACAAAGAATATTCTGAGAATGCTTCCGTTTGCCTTTTATCTGAAGTTCCTTCCTATACGACCGTAGGCCTCAAAGCAGTCCAAATCTCCATTTGCAGATTCTACAAAAAGAGTGATTCCAATCTGCTCTATCAATAGGATTGTTCAACTCCATGAGTTGAATGCCATCCTCACAAAGTCGTTTCTGAGAATGCTTCTATCTAGTTTTTATGTGAAGATATTTCCTTTTCCACCACAGGCCTCAAAGCCCTCCAAACGTCCACTTGCAGATTCTCGAAAAAGAGTGTTTTATAGCTGCTCTTTCAAAAGGAAAGTTCAACTCTGGGAGTTGAATACAAACATCACAAAGTAGTTTCCGAGAATGCTTCTGTTTAGTTTTTATGTGAAGATGATCCCGTTTCCAGTGAAATCTTCAAAGAGGTCCACATATCCCCTTGCAGATTCCAAAGAAAGAGGGTTTCAAAACTGCTCCATCAGAAGGATTGTTCAACTCTGTGAGTTGAATGCAGTCATCGCAGAAAACTTTCTGAGAATGCTTCTGTCTAGGTTTGATGTGAAGATATAGATGTTTCAAACGAAGGCTACAAAGTGGTCAAAATATACACTTGCAGATTCTACTACAAGGGTGTTGCAAACCTGAACTATCAAAGGAAGGTTCAACTCTGTGAGTTGAATACAAACATCACAAAGAATGTTCTGAGTTTGCTTCCGTTCAGTTATGGGAAGTTGATCCCGTTTCCAACGAAATCCTCAGAGAGGTCCAAATATCCCCTTGCAGATTCTACAAAACGTGTGTTTGGAATCTGCTCCATCGTAACGAATGTTCAGCTCCCTGAGTTAAACTCCATCGTCACAAAGAATTTTCTGAGAGTGCTACCGTCTGGTTTTTATATGAAGTTCTTTCCTTCACTACCACAGGCCTCAAAGCGGTCCAAATCTCCACTTGCAGATTCTACAAAAAGAGTGTTTGCAAACTGCTCTATCAAAAGGAATGTTCAACTCTGGGAGTTGAATGCAATCATCACAGAGCAGTTTCTGAGAATGCTTCTATGTCGTTTTTAGGAGAAGATATTTCCTTTTCCAACACAGTCCTCCAAGCCCGCTAAATAGCCACTTGCACATTGTAGAAAAAGTGTGTCAAAGCTGCGCTATCAAAGGGAAAGTTCAACTCTGTGAGGTGAATGCAAACATCCCAAAGAAGTTTCTGAGAATGCTTCCGTTTAGCTTTTAGGTGAAGATTATCCCGTTTCCAACGAAACCTTCAAAGAGGTCCAAATATCCCCTTGCGGATCCCACAGAAAGAGTGTTTCGAAACTGCTGTTTCAAAAGGAATCTTCAACTCTGTGAGTTGAATGCAATCATCACAAAGAAGTTTCTGACAATGCTTCTCTCTCGCCTTTCTGTGAAGATAAAGGAAAAGGCTTTCAGGCCTGTTCCACCACAGGCCTGAAAGCGCTCCAAATGTCCACTTGCAGATTCTGCGAAAAGAATATTTCAAAACTGCTCTATGAAAAGCAATGTTAAACTCTGTGGCTGGAACACAAACATCACAAAGCGGTTTCTGAGAATGTTTCAGTTTAGTTTTTCTGTGGAAATATTCCCGTTTCCAAAGAAATCTTCAAAGAGGTCCACGTATCCACTTACAGATTCTACAAAAAGACAGTTTCAAAACTGCTCCATCAAAAGGAGGGTTCAACTGTGTGACTTGAATGCAATCATCACTCAGAAGTTTCTGAGAATGCTTCTCTTTAGTTTTTACGTGAACATATACCCGTTTCGAACGAAGGCCACCCAGTGGTCCAAATATCCACTTGCAGATTCTACAGAAAGAGTGTTTCGAACCTGAACTCTCAAAGGCAGGTTCATCTCTGCGAGTTAAATGCATTCATCATGAAGAACTTTCTCAGAGTGTTTGTGTTTAGTTATGGGAAATTATTCCCGTTTCCAACGAAATCCTCAGAGAGCTCCAAATATCCACCTGCAGATTCTACCAAAAGTGTATTTGGAAACTGCTCCATCAAAAGGCATGTTCAGCTCTGTGAGTGAAACTCCATCATCACAAAGAATATTCTGAGAATGCTTCCGTTTGCCTTTTATATGAAGTTCCTTCCTGTACTACCGTAGGCCTCAAAGCAGTCCAAATCTCCATTTGCAGATTCTACAAAAAGAGTGATTCCAATCTGCTCTATCAATAGGATTGTTGAACTCCATGAGTTGAATGCCATGCTCACAAAGTAGTTTCTGAGAATGCTTCTATCTAGTTTTATGTGAAGATATTTCCTTTTCCACCACAGGCCTCAAAGCCCTCCAAACGTCCACTTGCAGATTCTCGAAAAAGAGTGTTTCATAGCTGCTCTTTCAAAAGGAAAGTTCAACTCTGGGAGTTGAATACAAACATCACAAAGTAGTTTCCGAGAATGCTTCTGTTTAGTTTTTATGTGAAGATGATCCCATTTCCAGTGAAATCTTCAAAGAGGTCCACATATCCCCTTGCAGATTCCAAAGAAAGAGGGTTTCAAAACTGCTCCATCAGAAGGATTGTTCAACTCTGTGAGTTGAATGCAGTCATCGCAGAAAACTTTC
This sequence comes from Homo sapiens, assembly GCF_000001405.40. NCBI lineage: Eukaryota > Metazoa > Chordata > Mammalia > Primates > Hominidae > Homo > Homo sapiens. The sequence goes on along the minus strand of NC_000023.11, from coordinate 59,124,262 downwards.
TGAGAATGCTTCTGTCTAGGTTTGATGTGAAGATATAGACGTTTCAAACGAAGGCTACAAAGAGGTCAAAATATACACTTGCAGATTCTACTACAAGGGTGTTGCAAACCTGAACTATCAAAGGAAGGTTCAACTCTGTGAGTTGAATACAAACATCACAAAGAATGTTCTGAGTTTGCTTCCGTTCAGTTATGGGAAGTTGATCCCGTTTCCAACGAAATCCTCAGAGAGGTCCAAATATCCCCTTGCAGATTCTACAAAACGTGTGTTTGGAAACTGCTCCATCATAACGAATGTTCAGCTCCCTGAGTTAAACTCCATCGTCACAAAGAATTTTCTGAGAGTGCTACCGTCTGGTTTTTATATGAAGTTCTTTCCTTCACTACCACAGGCCTCAAAGCGGTCCAAATCTCCACTTGCAGATTCTACAAAAAGAGTGTTTGCAAACTGCTCTATCAAAAGGAATGTTCAACTCTGGGAGTTGAATGCAATCATCACAGAGCAGTTTCTGAGAATGCTTCTATGTCGTTTTTAGAAGATATTTCCTTTTCCAACACAGTCCTCCAAGCCCGCTAAATATCCACTTGCACATTGTAGAAAAAGTGTGTCAAAGCTGCGCTATCAAAGGGAAAGTTCAACTCTGTGAGGTGAATGCAAACATCCCAAAGAAGTTTCTGAGAATGCTTCCGTTTAGCTTTTAGGTGAAGATTATCCCGTTTCCAACGAAACCTTCAAAGAGGTCCAAATATCCCCTTGCGGATCCCACAGAAAGAGTGTTTCGAAACTGCTGTTTCAAAAGGAATCTTCAACTCTGTGAGTTGAATGCAATCATCACAAAGAAGTTTCTGACAATGCTTCTCTCTCGTCTTTCTGTGAAGATAAAGGAAAAGGCTTTCAGGCCTTTTCCACCACAGGCCTGAAAGCGCTCCAAATGTCCACTTGCAGATTCTGCGAAAAGAATATTTCAAAACTGCTCTATGAAAAGCAATGTTAAACTCTGTGGCTCGAACACAAACATCACAAAGCGGTTTCTGAGAATGCTTCAGTTTAGTTTTTCTGTGGAAATATTCCCGTTTCCAAAGAAATCTTCAAAGAGGTCCACGTATCCACTTACAGATTCTACAAAAAGACAGTTTCAAAACTGCTCCATCAAAAGGAGGGTTCAACTGTGTGACTTGAATGCAATCATCACTCAGAAGTTTCTGAGAATGCTTCTCTTTAGTTTTTACGTGAACATATACCCGTTTCGAACGAAGGCCACCCAGTGGTCCAAATATCCACTTGCAGATTCTACAGAAAGAGTGTTTCGAACCTGAACTCTCAAAGGCAGGTTCATCTCTGCGAGTTAAAAGCATTCATCATGAAGAACTTTCTCAGAGTGTTTGTGTTTAGTTATGGGAAATTATTCCCGTTTCCAACGAAATCCTCAGAGAGCTCCAAATATCCACCTGCAGATTCTACCAAAAGTGTATTTGGAAACTGCTCCATCAAAAGGCATGTTCAGCTCTGTGAGTGAAACTCCATCATCACAAAGAATATTCTGAGAATGCTTCCGTTTGCCTTTTATATGAAGTTCCTTCCTGTACTACCGTAGGCCTCAAAGCAGTCCAAATCTCCATTTGCAGATTCTATAAAAAGAGTGATTCCAATCTGCTCTATCAATAGGATTGTTCAACTCCATGAGTTGAATGCCATCCTCACAAAGTAGTTTCTGAGAATGCTTCTATCTGGTTTTTGTGTGAAGATATTTCCTTTTCCACCACAGGCCTCAAAGCCCTCCAAACGTCCACTTGCAGATTCTCGAAAAAGAGTGTTTCATAGCTGCTCTTTCAAAAGGAAAGTTCAACTCTGGGAGTTGAATGCAAACATCACAAAATAGTTTCCGAGAATGCTTCTGTTTAGTTTTTATGTGAAGATGATCCCGTTTCCAGTGAAATCTTCAAAGAGGTCCACATATCCCCTTGCAGATTCCAAAGAAAGAGGGTTTCAAAACTGCTCCAATCAGAAGGATTGTTCAACTCTGTGAGTTGAATGCAGTCATCGCAGAAAACTTTCTGAGAATGCTTCTGTCTAGGTTTGATGTGAAGATATAGACGTTTCAAACGAAGGCTACAAAGTGGTCAAAATATACACTTGCAGATTCTACTACAAGGGTGTTGCAAACCTGAACTATCAAAGGAAGGTTCAACTCTGTGAGTTGAATACAAACATCACAAAGAATGTTCTGAGTTTGCTTCCGTTCAGTTATGGGAAGTTGATCCCGTTTCCAACGAAATCCTCAGAGAGGTCCAAATATCCCCTTGCAGATTCTACAAAACGTGTGTTTGGAAACTGCTCCATCATAACGAATGTTCAGCTCCCTGAGTTAAACTCCATCGTCACAAAGAATTTTCTGAGAGTGCTACCGTCTGGTTTTTATATGAAGTTCTTTCCTTCACTACCACAGGCCTCAAAGCGGTCCAAATCTCCACTTGCAGATTCTACAAAAAGAGTGTTTGCAAACTGCTCTATCAAAAGGAATGTTCAACTCTGGGAGTTGAATGCAATCATCACAGAGCAGTTTCTGAGAATGCTTCTATGTCGTTTTTAGGAGAAGATATTTCCTTTTCCAACACAGTCCTCCAAGCCCGCTAAATAGCCACTTGCACATTGTAGAAAAAGTGTGTCAAAGCTGCGCTATCAAAGGGAAAGTTCAACTCTGTGAGGTGAATGCAAACATCCCAAAGAAGTTTCTGAGAATGCTTCCGTTTAGCTTTTAGGTGAAGATTATCCCGTTTCCAACGAAACCTTCAAAGAGGTCCAAATATCCCCTTGCGGATCCCACAGAAAGAGTGTTTCGAAACTGCTGTTTCAAAAGGAATCTTCAACTCTGTGAGTTGAATGCAATCATCACAAAGAAGTTTCTGACAATGCTTCAGTTTAGTTTTTCTGTGGAAATATTCCCGTTTCCAAAGAAATCTTCAAAGAGGTCCACGTATCCACTTACAGATTCTACAAAAAGACAGTTTCAAAACTGCTCCATCAAAAGGAGGGTTCAACCGTGTGACTTGAATGCAATCATCACTCAGAAGTTTCTGAGAATGCTTCTCTTTAGTTTTTACGTGAACATATACCCGTTTCGAACGAAGGCCACCCAGTGGTCCAAATATCCACTTGCAGATTCTACAGAAAGAGTGTTTCGAACCTGAACTCTCAAAGGCAGGTTCATCTCTGCGAGTTAAATGCATTCATCATGAAGAACTTTCTCAGAGTGTTTGTGTTTAGTTATGGGAAATTATTCCCGTTTCCAACGAAATCCTCAGAGAGCTCCAAATATCCACCTGCAGATTCTACCAAAAGTGTATTTGGAAACTGCTCCATCAAAAGGCATGTTCAGCTCTGTGAGTGAAACTCCATCATCACAAAGAATATTCTGAGAATGCTTCCGTTTGCCTTTTATATGAAGTTCCTTCCTGTACTACCGTAGGCCTCAAAGCAGTCCAAATCTCCATTTGCAGATTCTACAAAAAGAGTGATTCCAATCTGCTCTATCAATAGGATTGTTCAACTCCATGAGTTGAATGCCATCCTCACAAAGTCGTTTCTGAGAATGCTTCTATCTGGTTTTTGTGTGAAGATATTTCCTTTTCCACCACAGGCCTCAAAGCCCTCCAAACGTCCACTTGCAGATTCTCGAAAAAGAGTGTTTCATAGCTGCTCTTTCAAAAGGAAAGTTCAACTCTGGGAGTTGAATACAAACATCACAAAATAGTTTCCGAGAATGCTTCTGTTTAGTTTTTATGTGAAGATGATCCCGTTTCCAGTGAAATCTTCAAAGAGGTCCACATATCCCCTTGCAGATTCCAAAGAAAGAGGGTTTCAAAACTGCTCCATCAAAAGGATTGTTCAACTCTGTGAGTTGAATGCAGTCATCGCAGAAAACTTTCTGAGAATGCTTCTGTCTAGGTTTGATGTGAAGATATAGACGTTTCAAACGAAGGCTACAAAGTGGTCAAAATATACACTTGCAGATTCTACTACAAGGGTGTTGCAAACCTGAACTATCAAAGGAAGGTTCAACTCTGTGAGTTGAATACAAACATCACAAAGAATGTTCTGAGTTTGCTTCTGTTCAGTTATGGGAAGTTGATCCCGTTTCCAGCGAAATCCTCAGAGAGGTCCAAATATCCCCTTGCAGATTCTACAAAACGTGTGTTTGGAAACTGCTCCATCATAACGAATGTTCAGCTCCCTGAGTTAAACTCCATCGTCACAAAGAATTTTCTGAGAGTGCTACCGTCTGGTTTTTATATGAAGTTCTTTCCTTTACTACCATAGGCCTCAAAGCGGTCCAAATCTCCACTTGCAGATTCTACAAAAAGAGTGTTTGCAAACTGCTCTATCAAAAGGAATGTTCAACCCTGGGAGTTGAATGCAATCATCACAGAGCAGTTTCTGAGAATGCTTCTATGTCGTTTTTAGGAGAAGATATTTCCTTTTCCAACACAGTCCTCCACGCCCGCTAAATATCCACTTGCACATTGTAGAAAAAGTGTGTCAAAGCTGCGCTATCAAAGGGAAAGTTCAACTCTGTGAGGTGAATGCAAACATCCCAAAGAAGTTTCTGAGAGTGCTTCCGTTTAGCTTTTAGGTGAAGATTATCCCGTTTCCAACGAAAGCTTCAAAGAGGTCCAAATATCCCCTTGCGGATCCCACAGAAAGAGTGTTTCGAAACTGCTGTTTCAAAAGGAATCTTCAACTCTGTGAGTTGAATGCAATCATCACAAAGAAGTTTCTGACAATGCTTCTCTCTCGTCTTTCTGTGAAGATAAAGGAAAAGGCTTTCAGGCCTTTTCAACCACAGGCCTGAAAGCGCTCCAAATGTCCACTTGCAGATTCTGCCAAAAGAATATTTCAAAACTGCTCTATGAAAAGCAATGTTAAACTCTGTGGCTCGAACACAAACATCACAAAGCAGTTTCTGAGAATGCTTCAGTTTAGTTTTTCTGTGGAAATATTCCCGTTTCCAAAGAAATATTCAAAGAGGTCCACGTATCCACTTACAGATTTTACAAAAAGACAGTTTCAAAACTGCTCAATCAAAAGGAGGGTTCAACTGTGTGACTTGAATGTAATCATCACTCAGAAGTTTCTGAGAATGCTTCTCTTTAGTTTTTACGTGAACATATACCCGTTTCGAACGAAGGCCAGCCAGTGGTCCAAATATCCACTTGCAGATTCTACAGAAAGAGTGTTTCGAACCTGAACTCTCAAAGGCAGGTTCATCTCTGCGAGTTAAATGCATTCATCATGAAGAACTTTCTCAGAGTGTTTGTGTTTAGTTATGGGAAATTATTCCCTTTTCCAACGAAATCCTCAGAGAGCTCCAAATATCCACCTGCAGATTCTACCAAAAGTGTATTTGGAAACTGCTCCATCAAAAGGCATGTTCAGCTCTGTGAGTGAAACTCCATCATCACAAAGAATATTCTGAGAATGCTTCCGTTTGCCTTTTATATGAAGTTCCTTCCTGTACTACCGTAGGCCTCAAAGCAGTCCAAATCTCCATTTGCAGATTCTACAAAAAGAGTGATTCCAATCTGCTCTATCAATAGGATTGTTCAACTCCATGAGTTGAATGCCATCCTCACAAAGTAGTTTCTGAGAATGCTTCTATCTAGTTTTTATGTGAAGATATTTCCTTTTCCACCACAGGCCTCAAAGCCCTCCAAACGTCCACTTGCAGATTCTCGAAAAAGAGTGTTTCATAGCTGCTCTTTCAAAAGGAAAGTTCAACTCTGGGAGTTGAATACAAACATCACAAAGTAGTTTCCGAGAATGCTTCTGTTTAGTTTTTATGTGAAGATGATCCCGTTTCCAGTGAAATCTTCAAAGAGGTCCACATATCCCCTTGCAGATTCCAAAGAAAGAGGGTTTCAAAACTGCTCCATCAGAAGGATTGTTCAACTCTGTGAGTTGAATGCAGTCATCGCAGAAAACTTTCTGAGAATGCTTCTGTCTAGGTTTGATGTGAAGATATAGACGTTTCAAACGAAGGCTACAAAGTGGTCAAAATATACACTTGCAGATTCTACTACAAGGGTGTTGCAAACCTGAACTATCAAAGGAAGGTTCAACTCTGTGAGTTGAATACAAACATCACAAAAAATGTTCTGAGTTTGCTTCCGTTCAGTTATGGGAAGTTGATCCCGTTTCCAACGAAATCCTCAGAGAGGTCCAAATATCCCCTTGCAGATTCTACAAAACGTGTGTTTGGAAACTGCTCCATCATAACGAATGTTCAGCTCCCTGAGTTAAACTCCATCGTCACAAAGAATTTTCTGAGAGTGCTACCGTCTGGTTTTTATATGAAGCTCTTTCCTTCACTACCACAGGCCTCAAAGCGGTCCAAATCTCCACTTGCAGATTCTACAAAAAGAGTGTTTGCAAACTGCTCTATCAAAAGGAATGTTCAACTCTGGGAGTTGAATGCAATCATCACAGAGCAGTTTCTGAGAATGCTTCTATGTCGTTTTTAGGAGAAGATATTTCCTTTTCCAACACAGTCCTCCAAGCCTGCTAAATAGCCACTTGCACATTGTAGAAAACGTGTGTCAAAGCTGCGCTATCAAAGGGAAAGTTCAACTCTGTGAGGTGAATGCAAACATCCCAAAGAAGTTTCTGAGAATGCTTCCGTTTAGCTTTTAGGTGAAGATTATCCCGTTTCCAACGAAACCTTCAAAGAGGTCCAAATATCCCCTTGCGGATCCCACAGAAAGAGTGTTTCGAAACTGCTGTTTCAAAAGGAATCTTCAACTCTGTGAGTTGAATGCAATCATCACAAAGAAGTTTCTGACAATGCTTCTCTCTCGTCTTTCTGTGAAGATAAAGGAAAAGGCTTTCAGGCCTTTTCCACCACAGGCCTGAAAGCGCTCCAAATGTCCACTTGCAGATTCTGCCAAAAGAATATTTCAAAACTGCTCTATGAAAAGCAATGTTAAACTCTGTGGCTCGAACACAAACATCACAAAGCGGTTTCTGAGAATGCTTCAGTTTAGTTTTTCTGTGGAAATATTCCCGTTTCCAAAGAAATCTTCAAAGAGGTCCACGTATCCACTTACAGATTCTACAAAAAGACAGTTTCAAAACTGCTCCATCAAAAGGAGGGTTCAACTGTGTGACTTGAATGCAATCATCACTCAGAAGTTTCTGAGAATGCTTCTCTTTAGTTTTTACGTGAACATATACCCGTTTCGAACGAAGGCCAGCCAGTGGTCCAAATATCCACTTTCAGATTCTACAGAAAGAGTGTTTCGAACATGAACTCTCAAAGGCAGGTTCATCTCTGCGAGTTAAATGCATTCATCATGAAGAACTTTCTCAGCGTGTTTGTGTTTAGTTATGGGAAATTATTCCCGTTTCCAACGAAATCCTCAGAGAGCTCCAAATATCCACCTGCAGATTCTACCAAAAGTGTATTTGGAAACTGCTCCATCAAAAGGCATGTTCCGCTCTGTGAGTGAAACTCCATCATCACAAAGAATATTCTGAGAATGCTTCCGTTTGCCTTTTATATGAAGTTCCTTCCTATACGACCGTAGGCCTCAAAGCAGTCCAAATCTCCATTTGCAGATTCTACAAAAAGAGTGATTCCAATCTGCTCTATCAATAGGATTGTTCAACTCCATGAGTTGAATGCCATCCTCACAAAGTCGTTTCTGAGAATGCTTCTATCTAGTTTTTATGTGAAGATATTTCCTTTTCCACCACAGGCCTCAAAGCCCTCCAAACGTCCACTTGCAGATTCTCGAAAAAGAGTGTTTCATAGCTGCTCTTTCAAAAGGAAAGTTCAACTCTGGGAGTTGAATACAAACATCACAAAGTAGTTTCCGAGAATGCTTCTGTTTAGTTTTTATGTGAAGATGATCCCGTTTCCAGTGAAATCTTCAAAGAGGTCCACATATCCCCTTGCAGATTCCAAAGAAAGAGGGTTTCAAAACTGCTCCATCAGAAGGATTGTTCAACTCTGTGAGTTGAATGCAGTCATCGCAGAAAACTTTCTGAGAATGCTTCTGTCTAGGTTTGATGTGAAGATATAGACGTTTCAAACGAAGGCTACAAAGTGGTCAAAATATACACTTGCAGATTCTACTACAAGGGTGTTGCAAACCTGAACTATCAAAGGAAGGTTCAACTCTGTGAGTTGAATACAAACATCACAAAGAATGTTCTGAGTTTGCTTCCGTTCAGTTATGGGAAGTTGATCCCGTTTCCAACGAAATCCTCAGAGAGGTCCAAATATCCCCTTGCAGATTCTACAAAACGTGTGTTTGGAAACTGCTCCATCATAACGAATGTTCAGCTCCCTGAGTTAAACTCCATCGTCACAAAGAATTTTCTGAGAGTGCTACCGTCTAGTTTTTATATGAAGTTCTTTCCTTTACTACCACAGGCCTCAAAGCGGTCCAAATCTCCACTTGCAGATTCTACAAAAAGAGTGTTTGCAAACTGCTCTATCAAGAGGAATGTTCAACTCTGGGAGTTGAATGCAATCATCACAGAGCAGTTTCTGAGAATGCTTCTATGTGGTTTTTAGGAGAAGATATTTCCTTTTCCACCACAGTCCTCCAAGCCCGCTAAATATCCACTTGCAGATGGTAGAAAAAGTGTTTCAAAGCTGTGCTATCAAAGGGAAAGTTCAACTCTGTGAGGTGAATGCAAGCATCCCAAAGAAGTTTCTGAGAGTGCTTCCGTTTAGCTTTTAGGTGAAGATTATCCCGTTTCCAACGAAACCTTCAAAGAGGTCCAAATATCCCCTTGCGGATCCCACAGAAAGAGTGTTTCGAAACTGCTGTTTCAAAAGGAATCTTCAACTCTGTGAGTTGAATGCAATCATCACAAAGAAGTTTCTGACAATGCTTCTCTCTGGTCTTTCTGTGAAGATAAAGGAAAAGGCTTTCAGGCCTTTTCCACCACAGGCCTGAAAGGGCTCCAAATGTCCACTTGCAGATTCTGCGAAAAGAATATTTCAAAACTGCTCTTTGAGAAGCAATGTTAAACTCTGTGGCTCGAACACAAACATCACAAAGCAGTTTCCGAGAATGCTTCAGTTTAGTTTTTCTGTGGAAATATTCCCGTTTCCAAAGAAATCTTCCAGGAGGTCCACGTATCCACTTACAGATTCTAAAAAAAGACAGTTTCAAAACTGCTCAATCAAAAGGAGGGTTCAACTGTGTGACTTGAATGCAATCATCACTCAGAAGTTTCTGAGAATGCTTCTCTTTAGTTTTTACATGAACATATACCCGTTTCGAACGAAGGCCACCCATTGGTCCAAATATCCACTTGCAGATTCTACAGAAAGAGTGTTTCGAACCTGAACTATCAAAGGCAGGTTCATCTCTGCGAGTTAAATGCATTCATCATGAAGAACTTTCTCAGAGTGTTTGTGTTTAGTTATGGGAAATTATTCCCGTTTCCAACGAAGTCCTCAGAGAGCTCCAAATATCCACCTGCAGATTCTACCAAAAGTGTATTTGGAAACTGCTCCATCAAAAGGCATGTTCAGCTCTGTGAGTGAAACTCCATCATCACAAAGAATATTCTGAGAATGCTTCCGTTCGCCTTTTATATGAAGTTCCTTCCTATACTACCGTAGGCCTCAAAGCAGTCCAAATCTCCATTTGCAGATTCTACAAAAAGAGTGATTCCAATCTGCTCTATCAATAGGACTGTTCAACTCCATGAGTTGAATGCCATCCTCACAAAGTAGTTTCTGAGAATGCTTCTATCTAGTTTTTATGTGAAGATATTTCCTTTTCCACCACAGGCCTCAAAGCCCTCCAAACGTCCACTTGCAGATTCTCGAAAAAGAGTGTTTCATAGCTGCTCTTTCAAAAGGAAAGTTCAACTCTGGGAGTTGAATACAAACATCACAAAGTAGTTTCCGAGAATGCTTCTGTTTAGTTCTTATGTGAAGATGATCCCGTTTCCAGTGAAATCTTCAAAGAGGTCCACATATCCCCTTGCAGATTCCAAAGAAAGAGGGTTTCAAAACTGCTCCATCAAAAGGATTGTTCAACTCTGTGAGTTGAATGCAGTCATCGCAGAAAACTTTCTGAGAATGCTTCTGTCTAGGTTTGAGGTGAAGATATAGACGTTTCAAACGAAGGCTACAAAGTGGTCAAAATATACACTTGCAGATTCTACTACAAGGGTGTTGCAAACCTGAACTATCAAAGGAAGGTTCAACTCTGTGAGTTGAATACAAACATCACAAAGAATGTTCTGAGTTTGCTTCCGTTCAGTTATGGGAAGTTGATCCCGTTTCCAACGAAATCCTCAGAGAGGTCCAAATATCCCCTTGCAGATTCTACAAAACGTGTGTTTGGAAACTGCTCCATCATAACGAATGTTCAGCTCTCTGAGTTAAACTCCATCGTCACAAAGAATTTTCTGAGAGTGCTACCGTCTAGTTTTTATATGAAGTTCTTTCCTTTACTACCACAGGCCTCAAAGCGGTCCAAATCTCCACTTGCAGATTCTACAAAAAGAGTGTTTGCAAACTGCTCTATCAAAAGGAATGTTCAACTCTGGGAGTTGAATGCAATCATCACAGAGCAGTTTCTGAGAATGCTTCTATGTCGTTTTTAGGAGAAGATATATCCTTTTCCAACACAGTCCTCCAAGCCCGCTATGTATCCACTTGCACATTGTAGAAAAAGTGTGTCGAAGCTGTGCTATCAAAGGGAAAGTTCAACTCTGTGAGGTGAATGCAAACATCCCAAAGAAGTTTCTGAGAATGCTTCCGTTTAGCTTTAAGTGAAGATTATTCCGTTTCCAACGAAATCTTCAAAGAGGTCCAAATATCCCCTTGCGGATCCCACAGAAAGAGTGTTTCGAAACTGCTGTTTCAAAAGGAATCTTCAACTCTGTGAGTTGAATGCAATCATCACAAAGAAGTTTCTGACAATGCTTCTCTCTCGTCTTTCTGTGAAGATAAAGGAAAAGGCTTTCAGGCCATTTCCACCACAGGCCTGAAAGCGCTCCAAATGTCCACTTGCAGATTCTGCCAAAAGAATATTTCAAAACTGCTCTATGAAAAGCAATGTTAAACTCTGCGGCTCGAACACAAACATCACAAAGCAGTTTCTGAGAATGCTTCAGTTTAGTTTTTCTGTGGAAATATTCCCGTTTCCAAAGAAATCTTCAAAGAGGTCCACGCATCCACTTACAGATTCTACAAAAAGACAGTTTAAAAACTGCTCAATCAAAAGGAGGGTTCAACTGTGTGACTTGAATGCATTCATCACTCAGAAGTTTCTGAGAACGCTTCTCTTTAGTTTTTACGTGAACATATACCCGTTTCGAACGAAGGCCAGCCAGTGGTCCAAATATCCACTTGCAGATTCTACAGAAAGAGTGTTTCGAACCTGAACTCTCAAAGGCAGGTTCATCTCTGCGAGTTAAATGCATTCATCATGAAGAACTTTCTCAGCGTGTTTGTGTTTAGTTATGGGAAATTATTCCCGTTTCCAACGAAATCCTCAGAGAGCTCCAAATATCCACCTGCAGATTGTACCAAAAGTGTATTTGGAAACTGCTCCATGAAAAGGCATGTTCAGCTCTGTGAGTGAAACTCCGTCATCACAAAGAATATTCTGAGAATGCTTCCGTTTGCCTTTTATATGAAGTTCCTTCCTATACTACCGTAGGCCTCAAAGCAGTCCAAATCTCCATTTGCAGATTCTACAAAAAGAGTGATTCCAATCTGCTCTATCAATAGGATTGTTCAACTCCATGAGTTGAATGCCATCCTCACAAAGTAGTTTCTGAGAATGCTTCTATGTAGTTTTTAAGTGAAGATATTTCCTTTTCCACCACAGGCCTCAAAGCCCTCCAAACGTCCACTTGCAGATTCCCGAAAAAGAGTGTTTCATAGCTGCTCTTTCAAAAGGAAAGTTCAACTCTGGGAGTTGAATACAAACATCACAAAGTAGTTTCCGAGAATGCTTCTGTTTAGTTCTTATGTGAAGATGATCCCGTTTCCAGTGAAATCTTCAAAGAGGTCCACATATCCCCTTGCAGATTCCAAAGAAAGAGGGTTTCAAAACTGCTCCATCAAAACGATTGTTCAACTCTGTGAGTTGAATGCAGTCATCGCAGAAAACTTTCTGAGAATGCTTCTGTCTAGGTTTGATGTGAAGATATAGACGTTTCAAACGAAGGCTACAAAGTGGTCAAAATATACACTTGCAGATTCTACTACAAGGGTGTTGCAAACCTCAACTATCAAAGGAAGGTTCAACTCTGTGAGACGAATGCAAACATCACAAAGAATGTTCTGAGTTTGCTTCCGTTCAGTTATGGGAAGTTGATCCCGTTTCCAACGAAATCCTCAGAGAGGTCCAAATATCCCCTTGCAGATTCTACAAAACGTGTGTTTGGAAACTGCTCCATCATAACGAATGTTCAGCTCTCTGAGTTAAACTCCATCGTCACAAAGAATTTTCTGAGAGTGCTACCGTCTACTTTTTATATGAAGTTCTTTCCTTTACTACCACAGGCCTCAAAGCGGTCCAAATCTCCACTTGCAGATTCTACAAAAAGAGTGTTTGCAAATTGCTCTATCAAAAGGAATGTTCAACTCTGGGAGTTGAATGCAATCATCACAGAGCAGTTTCTGAGAATGCTTCTATGTCGTTTTTAGGAGAAGATATTTCCTTTTCCAACACAGTCCTCCAAGCCCGCTAAATATCCACTTGCACATTGTAGAAAAAGTGTGTCGAAGCTGCGCTATCAAAGGGAAAGTTCAACTCTGTGAGGTGAATGCAAACATCCCAAAGAAGTTTCTGAGAATGCTTCCGTTTAGCTTTAAGTGAAGATTATCCCGTTTCCAACGAAATCTTCAAAGAGGTCCAAATATCCCCTTGCGGATCCCACAGAAAGAGTGTTTCGAAACTGCTGTTTCAAAAGGAATCTTCAACTCTGTGAGTTGAATGCAATCATCACAAAGAAGTTTCTGACAATGCTTCTCTCTCGTCTTTCTGTGAAGATAAAGGAAAAGGCTTTCAGGCCTTTTCCACCACAGGCCTGAAAGCGCTCCAAATGTCCACTTGCAGATTCTGCCAAAAGAATATTTCAAAACTGCTCTATGAAAAGCAATGTTAAACTCTGTGGCTCGAACACAAACATCACAAAGCAGTTTCTGAGAATGCTTCAGTTTAGTTTTTCTGTGGAAATATTCCCGTTTCCAAAGAAATCTTCAAAGAGGTCCACGCATCCACTTACAGATTCTACAAAAAGACAGTTTCAAAACTGCTCAATCAAAAGGAGGGTTCAACTGTGTGACTTGAATGCATTCATCACTCAGAAGTTTCTGAGAACGCTTCTCTTTAGTTTTTACGTGAACATATACCCGTTTCGAACGAAGGCCAGCCAGTGGTCCAAATATCCACTTGCAGATTCTACAGAAAGAGTGTTTTGAACCTGAACTCTCAAAGGCAGGTTCATCTCTGCGAGTTAAATGCATTCATCATGAAGAACTTTCTCAGCGTGTTTGTGTTTAGTTATGGGAAATTATTCCCGTTTCCAACGAAATCCTCAGAGAGCTCCAAATATCCACCTGCAGATTGTACCAAAAGTGTATTTGGAAACTGCTCCATGAAAAGGCATGTTCAGCTCTGTGAGTGAAACTCCGTCATCACAAAGAATATTCTGAGAATGCTTCCGTTTGCCTTTTATATGAAGTTCCTTCCTATACTACCGTAGGCCTCAAAGCAGTCCAAATCTCCATTTGCAGATTCTACAAAAAGAGTGATTCCAATCTGCTCTATCAATAGGATTGTTCAACTCCATGAGTTGAATGCCATCCTCACAAAGTAGTTTCTGAGAATGCTTCTATGTAGTTTTTAAGTGAAGATATTTCCTTTTCCACCACAGGCCTCAAAGCCCTCCAAACGTCCACTTGCAGATTCCCGAAAAAGAGTGTTTCATAGCTGCTCTTTCAAAAGGAAAGTTCAACTCTGGGAGTTGAATACAAACATCACAAAGTAGTTTCCGAGAATGCTTCTGTTTAGTTCTTATGTGAAGATGATCCCGTTTCCAGTGAAATCTTCAAAGAGGTCCACATATCCCCTTGCAGATTCCAAAGAAAGAGGGTTTCAAAACTGCTCCATCAAAAGGATTGTTCAACTCTGTGAGTTGAATGCAGTCATCGCAGAAAACTTTCTGAGAATGCTTCTGTCTAGGTTTGATGTGAAGATATAGACGTTTCAAACGAAGGCTACAAAGTGGTCAAAATATACACTTGCAGATTCTACTACAAGGGTGTTGCAAACCTCAACTATCAAAGGAAGGTTCAACTCTGTGAGACGAATGCAAACATCACAAAGAATGTTCTGAGTTTGCTTCCGTTCAGTTATGGGAAGTTGATCCCGTTTCCAACGAAATCCTCAGAGAGGTCCAAATATCCCCTTGCAGATTCTACAAAACGTGTGTTTGGAAACTGCTCCATCATAACGAATGTTCAGCTCTCTGAGTTAAACTCCATCGTCACAAAGAATTTTCTGAGAGTGCTACCGTCTACTTTTTATATGAAGTTCTTTGCTTTACTACCACAGGCCTCAAAGCGGTCCAAATCTCCACTTGCAGATTCTACAAAAAGAGTGTTTGCAAACTGCTCTATCAAAAGGAATGTTCAACTCTGGGAGTTGAATGCAATCATCACAGAGCAGTTTCTGAGAATGCTTCTATGTCGTTTTTAGGAGAAGATATTTCCTTTTCCAACACAGTCCTCCAAGCCCGCTAAATAGCCACTTGCACATTGTAGAAAAAGTGTGTCGAAGCTGCGCTATCAAAGGGAAAGTTCAACTCTGTGAGGTGAATGCAAACATCCCAAAGAAGTTTCTGAGAATGCTTCCGTTTAGCTTTTAGGTGAAGATTATCCCGTTTCCAACGAAATCTTCAAAGAGGTCCAAATATCCCCCTGCGGATCCCACAGAAAGAGTGTTTCGAAACTGCTGTTTCAAAAGGAATCTTCAACTCTGTGAGTTGAATGCAATCATCACAAAGAAGTTTCTGACAATGCTTCTCTCTCGTCTTTCTGTGAAGATAAAGGAAAAGGCTTTCAGGCCTTTTCCACCACAGGCCTGAAAGCGCTCCAAATGTCCACTTGCAGATTCTGCCAAAAGAATATTTCAAAACTGCTCTACGAAAAGCAATGTTAAACTCTGTGGCTCGAACACAAACATCACAAAGCCGTTTCTGAGAATGCTTCAGTTTAGTTTTTCTGTGGAAATATTCCCGTTTCCAAAGAAATCTTCAAAGAGGTCCACGCATCCACTTACAGATTCTACAAAAAGACAGTTTCAAAACTGCTCAATCAAAAGGAGGGTTCAACTGTGTGACTTGAATGCAATCATCACTCAGAAGTTTCTGAGAACGCTTCTCTTTAGTTTTTACGTGAACATATACCCGTTTCGAAAGAAGGCCAGCCAGTGGTCCAAATATCCACTTGCAGATTCTACAGAAAGAGTGTTTCGAACCTGAACTCTCAAAGGCAGGTTCATCTCTGCGAGTTCAATGCATTCATCATGAAGAACTTTCTCAGCGTGTTTGTGTTTAGTTATGGGAAATTATTCCCGTTTCCAACGAAATCCTCAGAGAGCTCCAAATATCCACCTGCAGATTCTACCAAAAGTGTATTTGGAAACTGCTCCATCAAAAGGCATGTTCAGCTCTGTGAGTGAAACTCCATCATCACAAAGAATATTCTGAGAATGCTTCCGTTTGCCTTTTATATGAAGTTCCTTCCTATACGACTGTAGGCCTCAAAGCAGTCCAAATCTCCATTTGCAGATTCTACAAAAAGAGTGATTCCAATCTGCTCTATCAATAGGATTGTTCAACTCCATGAGTTGAATGCCATCCTCACAAAGTAGTTTCTGAGAATGCTTCTATCTAGTTTTTATGTGAAGATATTTCCTTTTCCACCACAGGCCTCAAAGCCCTCCAAACGTCCACTTGCAGATTCTCGAAAAAGAGTGTTTCATAGCTGCTCTTTCAAAAGGAAAGTTCAACTCTGGGAGTTGAATACAAACATCACAAAGTAGTTTCCGAGAATGCTTCTGTTTAGTTGTTATGTGAAGATGATCCCGTTTCCAGTGAAATCTTCAAAGAGGTCCATATATCCCCTTGCAGATTCCAAAGAAAGAGGGTTTCAAAACTGCTCCATCAAAAGGATTGTTCAACTCTGTGAGTTGAATGCAGTCATCGCAGAAAACTTTCTGAGAATGCTTCTGTCTAGGTTTGATGTGAAGATATAGACGTTTCAAACGAAGGCTACAAAGTGGTCAAAATATACACTTGCAGATTCTACTACAAGGGTGATGCAAACCTCAACTATCAAAGGAAGGTTCAACTCTGTGAGATGAATGCAACCATCACAAAAAATGTTCTGAGTTTGCTTCCGTTCAGTTATGGGAAATTGATACCGTTTCCAACGAAATCCTCAGAGAGGTCCAAATATCCCCTTGCAGATTCTACAAAACGTGTGTTTGGAAACTGCTCCATCATAACGAATGTTCAGCTCTCTGAGTTAAACTCCATCGTCACAAAGAATTTTCTGAGAGTGCTACCGTCTAGTTTTTATATGAAGTTCTTTCCTTTACTACCACAGGCCTCAAAGCGGTCCAAATCTCCACTTGCAGATTCTACAAAAAGAGTGTTTGCAAACTGCTCTATCAAAAGGAATGTTCAACTCTGGGAGTTGAATGCAATCATCACAGAGCAGTTTCTGAGAATGCTTCTATGTCGTTTTTAGGAGAAGATATTTCCTTTTCCAACACAGTCCTCCAAGCCCGCTAAATATCCACTTGCACATTGTAGAAAAAGTGTGTCGAAGCTGCGCTATCAAAGGGAAAGTTCAACTCTGTGAGGTGAATGCAAACATCCCAAAGAAGTTTCTGAGAATGCTTCCGTTTAGCTTTAAGTGAAGATTATCCCGTTTCCAACGAAATCTTCAAAGAGGTCCAAATATCCCCTTGCGGATCCCACAGAAAGAGTGTTTCGAAACTGCTGTTTCAAAAGGAATCTTCAACTCTGTGAGTTGAATGCAATCATCACAAAGAAGTTTCTGACAATGCTTCTCTCTCGTCTTTCTGTGAAGATAAAGGAAAAGGCTTTCAGGCCATTTCCACCACAGGCCTGAAAGCGCTCCAAATGTCCACTTGCAGATTCTGCCAAAAGAATATTTCAAAACTGCTCTATGAAAAGCAATGTTAAACTCTGCGGCTCGAACACAAACATCACAAAGCAGTTTCTGAGAATGCTTCAGTTTAGTTTTTCTGTGGAAATATTCCCGTTTCCAAAGAAATCTTCAAAGAGGTCCACGCATCCACTTACAGATTCTACAAAAAGACAGTTTCAAAACTGCTCAATCAAAAGGAGGGTTCAACTGTGTGACTTGAATGCATTCATCACTCAGAAGTTTCTGAGAACGCTTCTCTTTAGTTTTTACGTGAACATATACCCGTTTCGAACGAAGGCCAGCCAGTGGTCCAAATATCCACTTGCAGATTCTACAGAAAGAGTGTTTTGAACCTGAACTCTCAAAGGCAGGTTCATCTCTGCGAGTTAAATGCATTCATCATGAAGAACTTTCTCAGCGTGTTTGTGTTTAGTTATGGGAAATTATTCCCGTTTCCAACGAAATCCTCAGAGAGCTCCAAATATCCACCTGCAGATTGTACCAAAACTGTATTTGGAAACTGCTCCATGAAAAGGCATGTTCAGCTCTCTGAGTGAAACTCCGTCATCACAAAGAATATTCTGAGAATGCTTCCGTTTGCCTTTTATATGAAGTTCCTTCCTATACTACCGTAGGCCTCAAAGCAGTCCAAATCTCCATTTGCAGATTCTACAAAAAGAGTGATTCCAATCTGCTCTATCAATAGGATTGTTCAACTCCATGAGTTGAATGCCATCCTCACAAAGTCGTTTCTGAGAATGCTTCTATGTAGTTTTTATGTGAAGATATTTCCTTTTCCACCACAGGCCTCAAAGCCCTCCAAACGTCCACTTGCAGATTCTCGAAAAAGAGTGTTTCATAGCTGCTCTTTCAAAAGGAAAGTTCAACTCTGGGAGTTGAATACAAACATCACAAAGTAGTTTCCGAGAATGCTTCTGTTTAGTTCTTATGTGAAGATGATCCCGTTTCCAGTGAAATCTTCAAAGAGGTCCACATATCCCCTTGCAGATTCCAAAAAAAGAGGGTTTCAAAACTGCTCCATCAAAAGGATTGTTCAACTCTGTGAGTTGAATGCAGTCATCGCAGAAAACTTTCTGAGAATGCTTCTGTCTAGGTTTGATGTGAAGATATAGACGTTTCAAACGAAGGCTACAAAGTGGTCAAAATATACACTTGCAGATTCTACTACAAGGGTGTTGCAAACCTCAACTATCAAAGGAAGGTTCAACTCTGTGAGACGAATGCAAACATCACAAAGAATGTTCTGAGTTTGCTTCCGTTCAGTTATGGGAAGTTGATCCCGTTTCCAACGAAATCCTCAGAGAGGTCCAAATATCCCCTTGCAGATTCTACAAAACGTGTGTTTGGAAACTGCTCCATCATAACGAATGTTCAGCTCTCTGAGTTAAACTCCATCGTCACAAAGAATTTTCTGAGAGTGCTACCGTCTACTTTTTATATGAAGTTCTTTGCTTTACTACCACAGGCCTCAAAGCGGTCCAAATCTCCACTTGCAGATTCTACAAAAAGAGTGTTTGCAAACTGCTCTATCAAAAGGAATGTTCAACTCTGGGAGTTGAATGCAATCATCACAGAGCAGTTTCTGAGAATGCTTCTATGTCGTTTTTAGGAGAAGATATTTCCTTTTCCAACACAGTCCTCCAAGCCCGCTAAATATCCACTTGCACATTGTAGAAAAAGTGTGTCGAAGCTGCGCTATCAAAGGGAAAGTTCAACTCTGTGAGGTGAATGCAAACATCCCAAAGAAGTTTCTGAGAATGCTTCCGTTTAGCTTTAAGTGAAGATTATCCCGTTTCCAACGAAATCTTCAAAGAGGTCCAAATATCCCCTTGCGGATCCCACAGAAAGAGTGTTTCGAAACTGCTGTTTCAAAAGGAATCTTCAACTCTGTGAGTTGAATGCAATCATCACAAAGAAGTTTCTGACAATGCTTCTCTCTCGTCTTTCTGTGAAGATAAAGGAAAAGGCTTTCAGGCCATTTCCACCACAGGCCTGAAAGCGCTCCAAATGTCCACTTGCAGATTCTGCCAAAAGAATATTTCAAAACTGCTCTATGAAAAGCAATGTTAAACTCTGCGGCTCGAACACAAACATCACAAAGCAGTTTCTGAGAATGCTTCAGTTTAGTTTTTCTGTGGAAATATTCCCGTTTCCAAAGAAATCTTCAAAGAGGTCCACGCATCCACTTACAGATTCTACAAAAAGACAGTTTCAAAACTGCTCAATCAAAAGGAGGGTTCAACTGTGTGACTTGAATGCAATCATCACTCAGAAGTTTCTGAGAACGCTTCTCTTTAGTTTTTACGTGAACATATACCCGTTTCGAACGAAGGCCAGCCAGTGGTCCAAATATCCACTTGCAGATTCTACAGAAAGAGTGTTTCGAACCTGAACTCTCAAAGGCAGGTTCATCTCTGCGAGTTAAATGCATTCATCATGAAGAACTTTCTCAGCGTGTTTGTGTTTAGTTATGGGAAATTATTCCCGTTTCCAACGAAATCCTCAGAGAGCTCCAAATATCCACCTGCAGATTCTACCAAAAGTGTATTTGGAAACTGCTCCATCAAAAGGCATGTTCAGCTCTGTGAGTGAAACTCCATCATCACAAAGAATATTCTGAGAATGCTTCCATTTGCCTTTTATATGAAGTTACTTCCTATACTACCGTAGGCCTCAAAGCATTCCAAATCTCCATTTGCAGATTCTACAAAAAGAGTGATTCCAATCTGCTCTATCAATAGGACTGTTCAACTCCATGAGTTGAATGCCGTCCTCACAAAGTAGTTTCTGAGAATGCTTCTATCTAGTTTTTATGTGAAGATATTTCCTTTTCCACCACAGGCCTCAAAGCCCTCCAAACGTCCACTTGCAGATTCTCGAAAAAGAGTGTTTCATAGCTGCTCTTTCAAAAGGAAAGTTCAACTCTGGGAGCTGAATACAAACATCACAAAGTAGTTTCCGAGAATGCTTCTGTTTAGTTCTTATGTGAAGATGATCCCGTTTCCAGTGAAATCTTCAAAGAGGTCCACATATCCCCTTGCAGATTCCAAAGAAAGAGGGTTTCAAAACTGCTCCATCAAAAGGATTGTTCAACTCTGTGAGTTGAATGCAGTCATCGCAGAAAACTTTCTGAGAATGCTTCTGTCTAGGTTAGATGTGAAGATATAGACGTTTCAAACGAAGGCTACAAAGTGGTCAAAATATACACTTGCAGATTCTACTACAAGGGTGATGCAAACCTGAACTATCAAAGGAAGGTTCAACTCTGTGAGTTGAATACAAACATCACAAAGAATGTTCTGAGTTTGCTTCCGTTCAGTTATGGGAAGTTGATCCCGTTTCCAACGAAATCCTCAGAGAGGTCCAAATATCCCCTTGCAGATTCTACAAAACGTGTGTTTGGAAACTGCTCCATCATAACGAATGTTCAGCTCTCTGAGTTAAACTCCATCGTCACAAAGAATTTTCTGAGAGTGCTACCGTCTAGTTTTTATATGAAGTTCTTTCCTTTACTACCACAGGCCTCAAAGCGGTCCAAATCTCCACTTGCAGATTCTACAAAAAGAGTGTTTGCAAACTGCTCTATCAAAAGGAATGTTCAACTCTGGGAGTTGAATGCAATCATCACAGAGCAGTTTCTGAGAATGCTTCTATGTCGTTTTTAGGAGAAGATATTTCCTTTTCCAACACAGTCCTCCAAGCCCGCTAAATATCCACTTGCACATTGTAGAAAAAGTGTGTCGAAGCTGCGCTATCAAAGGGAAAGTTCAACTCTGTGAGGTGAATGCAAACATCCCAAAGAAGTTTCTGAGAATGCTTCCGTTTAGCTTTTAGGTGACGATTATCCAGTTTCCAACGAAACCTTCAAAGAGATCCAAATATCCCCTTGCGGATCCCACAGAAAGAGTGTTTCGAAACTGCTGTTTCAAAAGGAATCTTCAACTCTGTGAGTTGAATGCAATCATCACAAAGAAGTTTCTGACAATGCTTCTCTCTCGTCTTTCTGTGAAGATAAAGGAAAAGGCTTTCAGGCCTTTTCCACCACAGGCCTGAAAGCGCTCCAAATGTCCACTTGCAGATTCTGCCAAAAGAATATTTCAAAACTGCTCTATGAAAAGCAATGTTAAACTCTGTGACTCGAACACAAACATCACAAAGCAGTTTCTGAGAATGCTTCAGTTTAGTTTTTCTGTGGAAATATTCCCGTTTCCAAAGAAATCTTCAAAGAGGTCCACGCATCCACTTACAGATTCTACAAAAAGACAGTTTCAAAACTGCTCAATCAAAAGGAGGGTTCAACTGTGTGACTTGAATGCAATCATCACTCAGAAGTTTCTGAGAACGCTTCTCTTTAGTTTTTACGTGAACATATACCCGTTTGGAATGAAGGCCAGCCAGTGGTCCAAATATCCACTTGAAGATTCCACAGAAAGAGTGTTTCGAACCTGAACTCTCAAAGGCAGGTTCATCTCTGCGAGTTAAATGCATTCATCATGAAGAACTTTCTCAGCGTGTTTGTGTTTAGTTATGGGAAATTATTCCCGTTTCCAAGGAAATCCTCAGAGAGCTCCAAATATCCACCTGCAGATTCTACCAAAAGTGTATTTGGAAACTGCTCCATCAACAGGAATGTTCAGCTCTGTGAGTGAAACTCCATCATCACAAAGAATATTCTGAGAATGCTTCCGTTTGCCTTTTATATGAAGTTCCTTCCTATACTACCGTAGGCCTCAAAGCAGTCCAAATCTCCATTTGCAGATTCTACAAAAAGAGTGATTCCAATCTGCTCTATCAATAGGATTGTTCAACTCCATGAGTTGAATGCCATCCTCACAAAGTCGTTTCTGAGAATGCTTCTATGTAGTTTTTATGTGAAGATATTTCCTTTTCCACCACAGGCCTCAAAGCCCTCCAAACGTCCACTTGCAGATTCTCGAAAAAGAGTGTTTCATAGCTGCTCTTTCAAAAGGAAAGTTCAACTCTGGGAGTTGAATACAAACATCACAAAGTAGTTTCCGAGAATGCTTCTGTTTAGTTCTTATGTGAAGATGATCCCGTTTCCAGTGAAATCTTGAAAGAGGTCCACATATCCCCTTGCAGATTCCAAAGAAAGAGGGTTTCAAAACTGCTCCATCAAAAGGATTGTTCAACTCTGTGAGTTGAATGCAGTCATCGCAGAAAACTTTCTGAGAATGCTTCTGTTTAGGTTTGATGTGAAGATATAGACGTTTCAAACGAAGGCTACAAAGTGGTCAAAATATACACTTGCAGATTCTACTACAAGGGTGATGCAAACCTCAACTATCAAAGGAAGGTTCAACTCTGTGAGTTGAATACAAACATCACAAAGAATGTTCTGAGTTTGCTTCCGTTCAGTTATGGGAAGTTGATCCCACTTCCAACGAAATCCTCAGAGAGGTCCAAATATCCCCTTGCAGATTCTACAAAACGTGTGTTTGGGAACTGCTCCATCATAAAGAATGTTCAGCTCTCTGAGTTTAACTCCATCGTCACAAAGAATTTTCTGAGAGTGCTACCGTCTGGTTTTTATATGAAGTTCTTTCCTTTACTACCACAGGCCTCAAAGCGGTCCAAATCTCCACTTGCAGATTCTACAAAAAGAGTGTTTGCAAACTGCTCTATCAAAAGGAATGTTCAACTACTGGGAGTTGAATGCAATCATCACAGAGCAGTTTCTGAGAATGCTTCTATGTCGTTTTTAGGAGAAGTATATTTCCTTTTCCAACACAGTCCTCCAAGCCCGCTAAATAGCCACTTGCACATTGTAGAAAAAGTGTGTCAAAGCTGCGCTATCAAAGGGAAAGTTCAACTCTGTGAGGTGAATGCAAACATCCCAAAGAAGTTTCTGAGAATGCTTCCGTTTAGCTTTTAGGTGAAGATTATCCCGTTTCCAACGAAACCTTCAAAGAGGTCCAAATATCCCCTTGCGGATCCCACAGAAAGAGTGTTTCGAAACTGCTGTTTCAAAAGGAATCTTCAACTCTGTGAGTTGAATGCAATCATCACAAAGAAGTTTCTGACAATGCTTCTCTCTCGTCTTTCTGTGAAGATAAAGGAAAAGGCTTTCAGGCCTTTTCCACCACAGGCCTGAAAGCGCTCCAAATGTCCACTTGCAGATTCTGCGAAAAGAATATTTCAAAACTGCTCTATGAAAAGCAATGTTAAACTCTGTGGCTCGAACACAAACATCACAAAGCGGTTTCTGAGAATGCTTCAGTTTAGTTTTTCTGTGGAAATATTCCCGTTTCCAAAGAAATCTTCAAAGAGGTCCACGTATCCACTTACAGATTCTACAAAAAGACAGTTTCAAAACTGCTCCATCAAAAGGAGGGTTCAACCGTGTGACTTGAATGCAATCATCACTCAGAAGTTTCTGAGAATGCTTCTCTTTAGTTTTTACGTGAACATATACCCGTTTCGAACGAAGGCCACCCAGTGGTCCAAATATCCACTTGCAGATTATACAGAAAGAGTGTTTGAAACCTGAACTCTCAAAGGCAGGTTCATCTCTGCGAGTTAAATGCATTCATCATGAAGAACTTTCTCAGAGTGTTTGTGTTTAGTTATGGGAAATTATTCCCGTTTCCAAAGAAATCCTCAGAGAGCTCCAAATATCCACCTGCAGATTCTACCAAAAGTGTATTTGGAAACTGCTCCATCAAAAGGCATGTTCAGCTCTGTGAGTGAAACTCCATCATCACAAAGAATATTCTGAGAATGCTTCCGTTTGCCTTTTATATGAAGTTCCTTCCTGTACTACCGTAGGCCTCAAAGCAGTCCAAATCTCCATTTGCAGATTCTACAAAAAGAGTGATTCCAATCTGCTCTATCAATAGGATTGTTCAACTCCATGAGTTGAATGCCATCCTCACAAAGCAGTTTCTGAGAATGCTTCTATCTGGTTTTTGTGTGAAGATATTTCCTTTTCCACCACAGGCCTCAAAGCCCTCCAAACGTCCACTTGCAGATTCTCGAAAAAGAGTGTTTCATAGCTGCTCTTTCAAAAGGAAAGTTCAACTCTGGGAGTTGAATACAAACATCACAAAGTAGTTTCCGAGAATGCTTCTGTTTAGTTTTTATGTGAAGATGATCCCGTTTCCAGTGAAATCTTCAAAGAGGTCCACATATCCCCTTGCAGATTCCAAAGAAAGAGGGTTTCAAAACTGCTCCATCAGAAGGATTGTTCAACTCTGTGAGTTGAATGCAGTCATCGCAGAAAACTTTCTGAGAATGCTTCTGTCTAGGTTTGATGTGAAGATATAGACGTTTCAAATGAAGGCTACAAAGTGGTCAAAATATACACTTGCAGATTCTACTACAAGGGTGTTGCAAACCTGAACTATCAAAGGAAGGTTCAACTCTGTGAGTTGAATACAAACATCACAAAGAATGTTCTGAGTTTGCTTCCGTTCAGTTATGGGAAGTTGATCCCGTTTCCAACGAAATCCTCAGAGAGGTCCAAATATCCCCTCGCAGATTCTACAAAACGTGTGTTTGGAAACTGCTCCATCATAACGAATGTTCAGCTCCCTGAGTTAAACTCCATCGTCACAAAGAATTTTCTGAGAGTGCTACCGTCTGGTTTTTATATGAAGTTCTTTCCTTCACTACCACAGGCCTCAAAGCGGTCCAAATCTCCACTTGCAGATTCTACAAAAAGAGTGTTTGCAAACTGCTCTATCAAAAGGAATGTTCAACTCTGGGAGTTGAATGCAATCATCACAGAGCAGTTTCTGAGAATGCTTCTATGTCGTTTTTAGGAGAAGATATTTCCTTTTCCAACACAGTCCTCCAAGCCCGCTAAATAGCCACTTGCACATTGTAGAAAAAGTGTGTCAAAGCTGCGCTATCAAAGGGAAAGTTCAACTCTGTGAGGTGAATGCAAACATCCCAAAGAAGTTTCTGAGAATGCTTCCGTTTAGCTTTTAGGTGAAGATTATCCCGTTTCCAACGAAACCTTCAAAGAGGTCCAAATATCCCCTTGCGGATCCCACAGAAAGAGTGTTTCGAAACTGCTGTTTCAAAAGGAATCTTCAACTCTGTGAGTTGAATGCAATCATCACAAAGAAGTTTCTGACAATGCTTCTCTCTCGTCTTTCTGTGAAGATAAAGGAAAAGGCTTTCAGGCCTTTTCCACCACAGGCCTGAAAGCGCTCCAAATGTCCACTTGCAGATTCTGCCAAAAGAATATTTCAAAACTGCTCTATGAAAAGCAATGTTAAACTCTGTGGCTCGAACACAAACATCACAAAGCAGTTTCTGAGAATGCTTCAGTTTAGTTTTTCTGTGGAAATATTCCCGTTTCCAAAGAAATCTTCAAAGAGGTCCACGTATCCACTTACAGATTCTACAAAAAGACAGTTTCAAAACTGCTCCATCAAAAGGAGGGTTCAACTGTGTGACTTGAATGCAATCATCACTCAGAAGTTTCTGAGAATGCTTCTCTTTAGTTTTTACGTGAACATATACCCGTTTCGAACGAAGGCCACCCAGTGGTCCAAATATCCACTTGCAGATTCTACAGAAAGAGTGTTTCGAACCTGAACTCTCAAAGGCAGGTTCATCTCTGCGAGTTAAATGCATTCATCATGAAGAACTTTCTCAGAGTGTTTGTGTTTAGTTATGGGAAATTATTCCCGTTTCCAACGAAATCCTCAGAGAGCTCCAAATATCCACCTGCAGATTCTACCAAAAGTGTATTTGGAAACTGCTCCATCAAAAGGCATGTTCAGCTCTGTGAGTGAAACTCCATCATCACAAAGAATATTCTGAGAATGCTTCCGTTTGCCTTTTATCTGAAGTTCCTTCCTATACGACCGTAGGCCTCAAAGCAGTCCAAATCTCCATTTGCAGATTCTACAAAAAGAGTGATTCCAATCTGCTCTATCAATAGGATTGTTCAACTCCATGAGTTGAATGCCATCCTCACAAAGTCGTTTCTGAGAATGCTTCTATCTAGTTTTTATGTGAAGATATTTCCTTTTCCACCACAGGCCTCAAAGCCCTCCAAACGTCCACTTGCAGATTCTCGAAAAAGAGTGTTTCATAGCTGCTCTTTCAAAAGGAAAGTTCAACTCTGGGAGTTGAATACAAACATCACAAAGTAGTTTCCGAGAATGCTTCTGTTTAGTTTTTATGTGAAGATGATCCCGTTTCCAGTGAAATCTTCAAAGAGGTCCACATATCCCCTTGCAGATTCCAAAGAAAGAGGGTTTCAAAACTGCTCCATCAGAAGGATTGTTCAACTCTGTGAGTTGAATGCAGTCATCGCAGAAAACTTTCTGAGAATGCTTCTGTCTAGGTTTGATGTGAAGATATAGACGCTTCAAACGAAGGGTACAAAGTGGTCAAAATATACACTTGCAGATTCTACTACAAGGGTGTTACAAACCTGAACTATCAAAGGATGGTTCAACTCTGTGAGTTGAATACAAACATCACAAAGAATGTTCTGAGTTTGCTTCCGTTCAGTTATGGGAAGTTGATCCTGTTTCCAACGAAATCCTCAGAGAGGTCCAAATATCCCCTCGCAGATTCTACAAAACGTGTGTTTGGAAACTGCTCCATCATAACGAATGTTCAGCTCCCTGAGTTAAACTCCATCGTCACAAAGAATTTTCTGAGAGTGCTACCGTCTGGTTTTTATATGAAGTTCTTTCCTTCACTACCACAGGCCTCAAAGCGGTCCAAATCTCCACTTGCAGATTCTACAAAAAGAGTGTTTGCAAACTGCTCTATCAAAAGGAATGTTCAACTCTGGGAGTTGAATGCAATCATCACAGAGCAGTTTCTGAGAATGCTTCTATGTCGTTTTTAGGAGAAGATATTTCCTTTTCCAACACAGTCCTCCAAGCCCGCTAAATAGCCACTTGCACATTGTAGAAAAAGTGTGTCAAAGCTGCGCTATCAAAGGGAAAGTTCAACTCTGTGAGGTGAATGCAAACATCCCAAAGAAGTTTCTGAGAATGCTTCCGTTTAGCTTTTAGGTGAAGATTATCCCGTTTCCAACGAAACCTTCAAAGAGGTCCAAATATCCCCTTGCGGATCCCACAGAAAGAGTGTTTCGAAACTGCTGTTTCAAAAGGAATCTTCAACTCTGTGAGTTGAATGCAATCATCACAAAGAAGTTTCTGACAATGCTTCTCTCTCGTCTTTCTGTGAAGATAAAGGAAAAGGCTTTCAGGCCTTTTCCACCACAGGCCTGAAAGCGCTCCAAATGTCCACTTGCAGATTCTGTGAAAAGAATATTGCAAAACTGCTCTATGAAAAGCAATGTTAAACTCTGTGGCTCGAACACAAACATCACAAAGCAGTTTCTGAGAATGCTTCAGTTTAGTTTTTCTGTGGAAATATTCCCGTTTCCAAAGAAATCTTCAAAGAGGTCCACGTATCCACTTACAGATTCTACAAAAAGACAGTTTCAAAACTGCTCCATCAAAAGGAGGGTTCAACTGTGTGACTTGAATGCAATCATCACTCAGAAGTTTCTGAGAATGCTTCTCTTTAGTTTTTACGTGAACATATACCCGTTTCGAACGAAGGCCACCCAGTGGTCCAAATATCCACTTGCAGATTCTACAGAAAGGGTGTTTCGAACCTGAACTCTCAAAGGCAGGTTCATCTCTGCGAGTTAAATGCATTCATCATGAAGAACTTTCTCAGAGTGTTTGTGTTTAGTTATGGGAAATTATTCCCGTTTCCAACGAAATCCTCAGAGAGGTCCAAATATCCACCTGCAGATTCTACCAAAAGTGTATTTGGAAACTGCTCCATCAAAAGGCATGTTCAGCTCTGTGAGTGAAACTGCATCATCACAAAGAATATTCAGAGAATGCTTCCGTTTGCCTTTTATATGAAGTTCCTTCCTGTACTACCGTAGGCCTCAAAGCAGTCCAAATGTCCATTTGCAGATTCTACAAAAAGAGTGATTCCAATCTGCTCTATCAATAGGATTGTTCAACTCCATGAGTTGAATGCCATCCTCACAAAGTCGTTTCTGAGAATGCTTCTATCTAGTTTTTATGTGAAGATATTTCCTTTTCCACCACAGGCCTCAAAGCCCTCCAAACGTCCACTTGCAGATTCTCGAAAAAGAGTGTTTCATAGCTACTCTTTCAAAAGGAAAGTTCAACTCTGGGAGTTGAATACAAACATCACAAAGTAGTTTCCGAGAATGCTTCTGTTTAGTTTTTATGTGAAGATGATCCCATTTCCATTGAAATCTTCAAAGAGGTCCACATATCCCCTTGCAGATTCCAAAGAAAGAGGGTTTCAAGACTGCTCCATCAAAAGGATTGCTCAACTCTGTGAGTTGAATGCAGTCATCGCAGAAAACTTTCTGAGAATGATTCTGTCTAGGTTTGATGTGAAGATATAGACGTTTCAAACGAAGGCTACAAAGTGGTCAAAATATACACTTGCAGATTCTACTACAAGGGTTTTGCCAACCTGAACTATCAAAGGAAGGTTCAACTCTGTGAGTTGAATACAAACATCACAAAGAATGTTCTGAGTTTGCTTCAGTTCAGTTATGGGAAGTTGATCCCTTTTCCAAAGAAATCCACAGAGAGGTCCAAATATCCCCTTGCAGATTCTACAAAACGTGTGTTTGGAAACTGCTCCATCATAACGAATGTTCAGCTCTCTGAGTTAAACTCCATCGTCACAAAGAATTTTCGAAGAGTGCTACCGTCTAGTTTTTATATGAAGTTCTTTCCTTTACTACCACAGGCCTCAAAGCGGTCCAAATCTCCACTTGCAGATTCTACAAAAAGAGTGTTTGCAAACTGCTCTATCAAAAGGAATGTTCAACTCTGGGAGTTGAATGCAATCATCACAGAGCAGTTTCTGAGAATGCTTCTATGTCGTTTTTAGGAGAAGATATTTCCTTTTCCAACACAGTCCTCCATGCCCGCTAAATATCCACTTGCACATTGTAGAAAAAGAGTGTCGAAGCTGCGCTATCAAAGGGAAAGTTCAACTCTGTGAGGTGAATGCAAACATCCCAAAGAAGTTTCTGAGAATGCTTCCGTTTAGCTTTTAGGTGAAGATTATCCCGTTTCCAACGAAATCTTCAAAGAGGTCCAAATATCCCCTTGCGGATCCCACAGAAAGAGTGTTTCGAAACTGCTGTTTCAAAAGGAATCTTCAACTCTGTGAGTTGAATGCAATCATCACAAAGAAGTTTCTGACAATGCTTCTCTCTCGTCTTTCTGTGAAGATAAAGGAAAAGGCTTTCAGGCCTTTTCCACCACAGGCCTGAAAGCGCTCCAAATGTCCACTTGCAGATTCTGCCAAAAGAATATTTCAAAACTGCTCTATGAAAAGCAGTGTTAAACTCTGTGGCTCGAACACAAACATCACAAAGCAGTTTCTGAGAATGCTTCAGTTTAGTTTTTCTGTGGAAATATTCCCGTTTCCAAAGAAATCTTCAAAGAGGTCCACGCATCCACTTACAGATTCTACAAAAAGACAGTTTCAAAACTGCTCAATCAAAAGGAGGGTTCAACTGTGTGACTTGAATGCAATCATCACTCAGAAGTTTATGAGAACGCTTCTCTTTAGTTTTTACGTGAACATATACCCGTTTCGAACGAAGGCCAGCCAGTGGTCCAAATATCCACTTGCAGATTCTACAGAAAGAGTGTTTCGAACCTGAACTCTCAAAGGCAGGTTCATCTCTGCGAGTTCAATGCATTCATCATGAAGAACTTTCTCAGAGTGTTTGTGTTTAGTTATGGGAAATTATTCCCGTTTCCAACGAAATCCTCAGAGAGGTCCAAATATCCACCTGCAGATTCTACCAAAAGTGTATTTGGAAACTGCTCCATCAAAAGGCATGTTCAGCTCTGTGAGTGAAACTCCATCATCACAAAGAATATTCTGAGAATGCTTCCGTTTGCCTTTTATATGAAGTTCCTTCCTATACGACCGTAGGCCTCAAAGCAGTCCAAATCTCCATTTGCAGATTCTCCAAAAAGAGTGATTCCAATCTGCTCTATCAATAGGATTGTTCAACTCCATGTGTTGAATGCCATCCTCACAAAGTCGTTTCTGAGAATGCTTCTATCTAGTTTTTATGTGAAGATATTTCCTTTTCCACCACAGGCCTCAAAGCCCTCCAAACGTCCACTTGCAGATCCTCGAAAAAGAGTGTTTCATAGCTGCTCTTTCAAAAGGAAAGTTCAACTCTGGGAGTTGAATACAAACATCACAAAGTAGTTTCCGAGAATGCTTCTGTTTAGTTTTTATGTGAAGATGATCCCGTTTCCAGTGAAATCTTCAAAGAGGTCCACATATCCCCTTGCAGATTCCAAAGAAAGAGGGTTTCAAAACTGCTCCATCAGAAGGATTGTTCAACTCTGTGAGTTGAATGCAGTCATCGCAGAAAACTTTCTGAGAATGCTTCTTTCTAGGTTTGATGTGAAGATATAGACGTTTCAAACGAAGGCTACAAAGTGGTCAAAATATACACTTGCAGATTCTACTACAAGGGTGTTGCAAACCTGAACTATCAAAGGAAGGTTCAACTCTGTGAGTTGAATACAAACATCACAAAGAATGTTCTGAGTTTGCTTCCGTTCAGTTATGGGATGTTGATCCCGTTTCCAACGAAATCCTCAGAGAGGTCCAAATATCCCCTTGCAGATTCTACAAAACGTGTGTTTGGAAACTGCTCCATCATAACGAATGTTCAGCTCCCTGAGTTAAACTCCATCGTCACAAAGAATTTTCTGAGAGTGCTACCGTCTGGTTTTTATATGAAGCTCTTTCCTTCACTACCACAGGCCTCAAAGCGGTCCAAATCTCCACTTCCAGATTCTACAAAAAGAGTGTTTGCAAACTGCTCTATCAAAAGGAATGTTCAACTCTGGGAGTTGAATGCAATCATCACAGAGCAGTTTCTGAGAATGCTTCTATGTCGTTTTTAGGAGAAGATATTTCCTTTTCCAACACAGTCCTCCAAGCCCGCTAAATAGCCACTTGCACATTGTAGAAAAAGTGTGTCAAAGCTGCGCTATCAAAGGGAAAGTTCAACTCTGTGAGGTGAATGCAAACATCCCAAAGAAGTTTCTGAGAATGCTTCCGTTTAGCTTTTAGGTGAAGATTATCCCGTTTCCAACGAAACCTTCAAAGAGGTCCAAATATCCCCTTGCGGATCCCACAGAAAGAGTGTTTCGAAACTGCTGTTTCAAAAGGAATCTTCAACTCTGTGAGTTGAATGCAATCATCACAAAGAAGTTTCTGACAATGCTTCTCTCTCGTCTTTCTGTGAAGATAAAGGAAAAGGCTTTCAGGCCTTTGCCACCACAGGCCTGAAAGCGCTCCAAATGTCCACTTGCAGATTCTGCCAAAAGAATATTTCAAAACTGCTCTATGAAAAGCAATGTTAAACTCTGCGGCTCGAACACAAACATCACAAAGCGGTTTCTGAGAATGCTTCAGTTTAGTTTTTCTGTGGAAATATTCCCGTTTCCAAAGAAATCTTCAAAGAGGTCCACGTATCCACTTACAGATTCTACAAAAAGACAGTTTCAAAACTGCTCCATCAAAAGGAGGGTTCAACTGTGTGACTTGAATGCAATCATCACTCAGAAGTTTCTGAGAATGCTTCTCTTTAGTTTTTACGTGAACATATACCCGTTTCGAACGAAGGCCAGCCAGTGGTCCAAATATCCACTTGCAGATTCTACAGAAAGAGTGTTTCGAACCTGAACTCTCAAAGGCAGGTTCATCTCTGCGAGTTAAATGCATTCATCATGAAGAACTTTCTCAGAGTGTTTGTGTTTAGTTATGGGAAATTATTCCCGTTTCCAACGAAATCCTCAGAGAGCTCCAAATATCCACCTGCAGATTCTACCAAAAGTGTATTTGGAAACTGCTCCATCAAAAGGCATGTTCAGCTCTGTGAGTGAAACTCCATCATCACAAAGAATATTCTGAGAATGCTTCCGTTTGCCTTTTATATGAAGTTCCTTCCTATACGACCGTAGGCCTCAAAGCAGTCCAAATCTCCATTTGCAGATTCTACAAAAAGAGTGATTCCAATCTGCTCTATCAATAGGATTGTTCAACTCCATGAGTTGAATGCCATCCTCACAAAGTAGTTTCTGAGAATGCTTCTATCTGGTTTTTGTGTGAAGATATTTCCTTTTCCACCACAGGCCTCAAAGCCCTCCAAACGTCCACTTGCAGATTCTCGAAAAAGAGTGTTTCATAGCTGCTCTTTCAAAAGGAAAGTTCAACTCTGGGAGTTGAATACAAACATCACAAAGTAGTTTCCGAGAATGCTTCTGTTTAGTTTTTATGTGAAGATGATCCCGTTTCCAGTGAAATCTTCAAAGAGGTCCACATATCCCCTTGCAGATTCCAAAGAAAGAGGGTTTCAAAACTGCTCCATCAGAAGGATTGTTCAACTCTGTGAGTTGAATGCAGTCATCGCAGAAAACTTTCTGAGAATGCTTCTGTCTAGGTTTGATGTGAAGATATAGACGTTTCAAACGAAGGCTACAAAGTGGTCAAAATATACACTTGCAGATTCTACTACAAGGGTGTTGCAAACCTGAACTATCAAAGGAAGGTTCAACTCTGTGAGTTGAATACAAACATCACAAAGAATGTTCTGAGTTTGCTTCCGTTCAGTTATGGGAAGTTGATCCCGTTTCCAACGAAATCCTCAGAGAGGTCCAAATATCCCCTCGCAGATTCTACAAAACGTGTGTTTGGAAACTGCTCCATCATAACGAATGTTCAGCTCCCTGAGTTAAACTCCATCGTCACAAAGAATTTTCTGAGAGTGCTACCGTCTGGTTTTTATATGAAGTTCTTTCCTTCACTACCACAGGCCTCAAAGCGGTCCAAATCTCCACTTGCAGATTCTACAAAAAGAGTGTTTGCAAACTGCTCTATCAAAAGGAATGTTCAACTCTGGGAGTTGAATGCAATCATCACAGAGCAGTTTCTGAGAATGCTTCTATGTCGTTTTTAGGAGAAGATATTTCCTTTTCCAACACAGTCCTCCAAGCCCGCTAAATAGCCACTTGCACATTGTAGAAAAAGTGTGTCAAAGCTGTGCTATCAAAGGGAAAGTTCAACTCTGTGAGGTGAATGCAAACATCCCAAAGAAGTTTCTGAGAATGCTTCCGTTTAGCTTTTAGGTGAAGATTATCCCGTTTCCAACGAAACCTTCAAAGAGGTCCAAATATCCCCTTGCGGATCCCACAGAAAGAGTGTTTCGAAACTGCTGTTTCAAAAGGAATCTTCAACTCTGTGAGTTGAATGCAATCATCAAAAAGAAGTTTCTGACAATGCTTCTCTCTCGTCTTTCTGTGAAGATAAAGGAAAAGGCTTTCAGGCCTTTTCCACCACAGGCCTGAAAGCGCTCCAAATGTCCACTTGCAGATTCTGTGAAAAGAATATTGCAAAACTGCTCTATGAAAAGCAATGTTAAACTCTGTGGCTCGAACACAAACATCACAAAGCAGTTTCTGAGAATGCTTCAGTTTAGTTTTTCTGTGGAAATATTCCCGTTTCCAAAGAAATCTTCAAAGAGGTCCACGTGTCCACTTACAGATTCTACAAAAAGACAGTTTCAAAACTGCTCCATCAAAAGGAGGGTTCAACTGTGTGACTTGAATGCAATCATCACTCAGAAGTTTCTGAGAATGCTTCTCTTTAGTTTTTACGTGAACATATACCCGTTTCGAACGAAGTCCACCCAGTGGTCCAAATATCCACTTGCAGATTCTACAGAAAGAGTGTTTCGAACCTGAACTCTCAAAGGCAGGTTCATCTCTGCGAGTTAAATGCATTCATCATGAAGAACTTTCTCAGAGTGTTTGTGTTTAGTTATGGGAAATTATTCCCGTTTCCAACGAAATCCTCAGAGAGCTCCAAATATCCACCTGCAGATTCTACCAAAAGTGTATTTGGAAACTGCTCCATCAAAAGGCATGTTCAGCTCTGTGAGTGAAACTCCATCATCACAAAGAATATTCTGAGAATGCTTCCGTTTGCCTTTTATATGAAGTTCCTTCCTATACGACCGTAGGCCTCAAAGCAGTCCAAATCTCCATTTGCAGATTCTACAAAAAGAGTGATTCCAATCTGCTCTATCAATAGGATTGTTCAACTCCATGAGTTGAATGCCATCCTCACAAAGTAGTTTCTGAGAATGCTTCTATCTAGTTTTTATGTGAAGATATTTCCTTTTCCACCACAGGCCTCAAAGCCCTCCAAACGTCCACTTGCAGATTCTCGAAAAAGAGTGTTTCATAGCTGCTCTTTCAAAAGGAAAGTTCAACTCTGGGAGTTGAATACAAACATCACAAAGTAGTTTCCGAGAATGCTTCTGTTTAGTTTTTATGTGAAGATGATCCCGTTTCCAGTGAAATCTTCAAAGAGGTCCACATATCCCCTTGCAGATTCCAAAGAAAGAGGGTTTCAAAACTGCTCCATCAGAAGGATTGTTCAACTCTGTGAGTTGAATGCAGTCATCGCAGAAAACTTTCTGAGAATGCTTCTGTCTAGGTTTGATGTGAAGATATAGACGTTTCAAACGAAGGCTACAAAGTGGTCAAAATATACACTTGCAGATTCTACTACAAGGGTGTTGCAAACCTGAACTATCAAAGGAAGGTTCAACTCTGTGAGTTGAATACAAACATCACAAAGAATGTTCTGAGTTTGCTTCCGTTCAGTTATGGGAAGTTGATCCCGTTTCCAACGAAATCCTCAGAGAGGTCCAAATATCCCCTTGCAGATTCTACAAAACGTGTGTTTGGAAACTGCTCCATCATAACGAATGTTCAGCTCCCTGAGTTAAACTCCATCGTCACAAAGAATTTTCTGAGAGTGCTACCGTCTGGTTTTTATATGAAGTTCTTTCCTTCACTACCACAGGCCTCAAAGCGGTCCAAATCTCCACTTGCAGATTCTACAAAAAGAGTGTTTGCAAACTGCTCTATCAAAAGGAATGTTCAACTCTGGGAGTTGAATGCAATCATCACAGAGCAGTTTCTGAGAATGCTTCTATGTCGTTTTTAGGAGAAGATATTTCCTTTTCCAACACAGTCCTCTAAGCCCGCTAAATAGCCACTTGCACATTGTAGAAAAAGTGTGTCAAAGCTGCGCTATCAAAGGGAAAGTTCAACTCTGTGAGGTGAATGCAAACATCCCAAAGAAGTTTCTGAGAATGCTTCCGTTTAGCTTTTAGGTGAAGATTATCCCGTTTCCAACGAAACCTTCAAAGAGGTCCAAATATCCCCTTGCGGATCCCACAGAAAGAGTGTTTCGAAACTGCTGTTTCAAAAGGAATCTTCAACTCTGTGAGTTGAATGCAATCATCACAAAGAAGTTTCTGACAATGCTTCTCTCTCGTCTTTCTGTGAAGATAAAGGAAAAGGCTTTCAGGCCTTTTCCACCACAGGCCTGAAAGCGCTCCAAATGTCCACTTGCAGATTCTGCTAAAAGAATATTTCAAAACTGCTCTATGAAAAGCAATGTTAAACTCTGTGGCTCGAACACAAACATCACAAAGCAGTTTCTGAGAATGCTTCAGTTTAGTTTTTCTGTGGAAATATTCCCGTTTCCAAAGAAATCTTCAAAGAGGTCCACGTATCCACTTACAGATTCTACAAAAAGACAGTTTCAAAACTGCTCCATCAAAAGGAGGGTTCAACTGTGTGACTTGAATGCAATCATCACTCAGAAGTTTCTGAGAATGCTTCTCTTTAGTTTTTACGTGAACATATACCCGTTTCGAACGAAGGCCACCCAGTGGTCCAAATATCCACTTGCAGATTCTACAGAAAGAGTGTTTCGAACCTGAACTCTCAAAGGCAGGTTCATCTCTGCGAGTTAAATGCATTCATCATGAAGAACTTTCTCAGAGTGTTTGTGTTTAGTTATGGGAAATTATTCCCGTTTCCAACGAAATCCTCAGAGAGCTCCAAATATCCACCTGCAGATTCTACCAAAAGTGTATTTGGAAACTGCTCCATCAAAAGGCATGTTCAGCTCTGTCAGTGAAACTCCATCATCACAAAGAATATTCTGAGAATGCTTCCGTTTGCCTTTTATATGAAGTTCCTTCCTGTACTACCGTAGGCCTCAAAGCAGTCCAAATCTCCATTTGCAGATTCTACAAAAAGAGTGATTCCAATCTGCTCTATCAATAGGATTGTTCAACTCCATGAGTTGAATGCCATCCTCACAAAGTCGTTTCTGAGAATGCTTCTATCTGGTTTTTGTGTGAAGATATTTCCTTTTCCACCACAGGCCTCAAAGCCCTCCAAACGTCCACTTGCAGATTCTCGAAAAAGAGTGTTTCATAGCTGCTCTTTCAAAAGGAAAGTTCAACTCTGGGAGTTGAATACAAACATCACAAAATAGTTTCCGAGAATGCTTCTGTTTAGTTTTTATGTGAAGATGATCCCGTTTCCAGTGAAATCTTCAAAGAGGTCCACATATCCCATTGCAGATTCCAAAGAAAGAGGGTTTCAAAACTGCTCCATCAGAAGGATTGTTCAACTCTGTGAGTTGAATGCAGTCATCGCAGAAAACTTTCTGAGAATGCTTCTGTCTAGGTTTGATGTGAAGATATAGACGTTTCAAACGAAGGCTACAAAGTGGTCAAAATATACACTTGCAGATTCTACTACAAGGGTGTTGCAAACCTGAACTATCAAAGGAAGGTTCAACTCTGTGAGTTGAATACAAACATCACAAAGAATGTTCTGAGTTTGCTTCCGTTCAGTTATGGGAAGTTGATCCCGTTTCCAACGAAATCCTCAGAGAGGTCCAAATATCCCCTTGCAGATTCTACAAAACGTGTGTTTGGAAACTGCTCCATCATAACGAATGTTCAGCTCCCTGAGTTAAACTCCATCGTCACAAAGAATTTTCTGAGAGTGCTACCGTCTGGTTTTTATATGAAGTTCTTTCCTTCACTACCACAGGCCTCAAAGCGGTCCAAATCTCCACTTGCAGATTCTACAAAAAGAGTGTTTGCAAACTGCTCTATCAAAAGGAATGTTCAACTCTGGGAGTTGAATGCAATCATCACAGAGCAGTTTCTGAGAATGCTTCTATGTCGTTTTTAGGAGAAGATATTTCCTTTTCCAACACAGTCCTCCAAGCCCGCTAAATAGCCACTTGCACATTGTAGAAAAAGTGTGTCAAAGCTGCGCTATCAAAGGGAAAGTTCAACTCTGTGAGGTGAATGCAAACATCCCAAAGAAGTTTCTGAGAATGCTTCCGTTTAGCTTTTAGGTGAAGATTATCCCGTTTCCAACGAAACCTTCAAAGAGGTCCAAATATCCCCTTGCGGATCCCACAGAAAGAGTGTTTCGAAACTGCTGTTTCAAAAGGAATCTTCAACTCTGTGAGTTGAATGCAATCATCACAAAGAAGTTTCTGACAATGCTTCTCTCTCGTCTTTCTGTGAAGATAAAGGAAAAGGCTTTCAGGCCTTTTCCACCACAGGCCTGAAAGCGCTCCAAATGTCCACTTGCAGATTCTGCCAAAAGAATATTTCAAAACTGCTCTATGAAAAGCAATGTTAAACTCTGTGGCTCGAACACAAACATCACAAAGCGGTTTCTGAGAATACTTCAGTTTAGTTTTTCTGTGGAAATATTCCCGTTTCCAAAGAAATCTTCAAAGAGGTCCACGTATCCACTTACAGATTCTACAAAAAGACAGTTTCAAAACTGCTCCATCAAAAGGAGGGTTCAACTGTGTGACTTGAATGCAATCATCACTCAGAAGTTTCTGAGAATGCTTCTCTTTAGTTTTTACGTGAACATATACCCGTTTCGAACGAAGGCCAGCCAGTGGTCCAAATATCCACTTGCAGATTCTACAGAAAGAGTGTTTCGAACCTGAACTCTCAAAGGCAGGTTCATCTCTGCGAGTTAAATGCATTCATCATGAAGAACTTTCTCAGAGTGTTTGTGTTTAGTTATGGGAAATTATTCCCGTTTCCAACGAAATCCTCAGAGAGCTCCAAATATCCACCTGCAGATTCTACCAAAAGTGTATTTGGAAACTGCTCCATCAAAAGGCATGTTCAGCTCTGTGAGTGAAACTCCATCATCACAAAGAATATTCTGAGAATGCTTCCGTTTGCCTTTTATATGAAGTTCCTTCCTGTACTACCGTAGGCCTCAAAGCAGTCCAAATCTCCATTTGCAGATTCTACAAAAAGAGTGATTCCAATCTGCTCTATCAATAGGATTGTTCAACTCCATGAGTTGAATGCCATCCTCACAAAGTCGTTTCTGAGAATGCTTCTATCTGGTTTTTGTGTGAAGATATTTCCTTTTCCACCACAGGCCTCAAAGCCCTCCAAACGTCCACTTGCAGATTCTCGAAAAAGAGTGTTTCATAGCTGCTCTTTCAAAAGGAAAGTTCAACTCTGGGAGTTGAATACAAACATCACAAAATAGTTTCCGAGAATGCTTCTGTTTAGTTTTTATGTGAAGATGATCCCGTTTCCAGTGAAATCTTCAAAGAGGTCCACATATCCCCTTGCAGATTCCAAAGAAAGAGGGTTTCAAAACTGCTCCATCAAAAGGATTGTTCAACTCTGTGAGTTGAATGCAGTCATCGCAGAAAACTTTCTGAGAATGCTTCTGTCTAGGTTTGATGTGAAGATATAGACGTTTCAAACGAAGGCTACAAAGTGGTCAAAATATACACTTGCAGATTCTACTACAAGGGTGTTGCAAACCTGAACTATCAAAGGAAGGTTCAACTCTGTGAGTTGAATACAAACATCACAAAGAATGTTCTGAGTTTGCTTCCGTTCAGTTATGGGAAGTTGATCCCGTTTCCAGCGAAATCCTCAGAGAGGTCCAAATATCCCCTTGCAGATTCTACAAAACGTGTGTTTGGAAACTGCTCCATCATAACGAATGTTCAGCTCCCTGAGTTAAACTCCATCGTCACAAAGAATTTTCTGAGAGTGCTACCGTCTGGTTTTTATATGAAGTTCTTTCCTTTACTACCATAGGCCTCAAAGCGGTCCAAATCTCCACTTGCAGATTCTACAAAAAGAGTGTTTGCAAACTGCTCTATCAAAAGGAATGTTCAACCCTGGGAGTTGAATGCAATCATCACAGAGCAGTTTCTGAGAATGCTTCTATGTCGTTTTTAGGAGAAGATATTTCCTTTTCCAACACAGTCCTCCAAGCCCGCTAAATAGCCACTTGCACATTGTAGAAAAAGTGTGTCAAAGCTGCGCTATCAAAGGGAAAGTTCAACTCTGTGAGGTGAATGCAAACATCCCAAAGAAGTTTCTGAGAGTGCTTCCGTTTAGCTTTTAGGTGAAGATTATCCCGTTTCCAACGAAACCTTCAAAGAGGTCCAAATATCCCCTTGCGGATCCCACAGAAAGAGTGTTTCGAAACTGCTGTTTCAAAAGGAATCTTCAACTCTGTGAGTTGAATGCAATCATCACAAAGAAGTTTCTGACAATGCTTCTCTCTCGTCTTTCTGTGAAGATAAAGGAAAAGGCTTTCAGGCCTTTTCCACCACAGGCCTGAAAGCGCTCCAAATGTCCACTTGCAGATTCTGCCAAAAGAATATTTCAAAACTGCTCTATGAAAAGCAATGTTAAACTCTGCGGCTCGAACACAAACATCACAAAGCGGTTTCTGAGAATGCTTCAGTTTAGTTTTTCTGTGGAAATATTCCCGTTTCCAAAGAAATCTTCAAAGAGGTCCACGTATCCACTTACAGATTCTACAAAAAGACAGTTTCAAAACTGCTCCATCAAAAGGAGGGTTCAACTGTGTGACTTGAATGCAATCATCACTCAGAAGTTTCTGAGAATGCTTCTCTTTAGTTTTTACGTGAACATATACCCGTTTCGAACGAAGGCCACCCAGTGGTCCAAATATCCACTTGCAGATTATACAGAAAGAGTGTTTCGAACCTGAACTCTCAAAGGCAGGTTCATCTCTGCGAGTTAAATGCATTCATCATGAAGAACTTTCTCAGCGTGTTTGTGTTTAGTTATGGGAAATTATTCCCGTTTCCAACGAAATCCTCAAAGAGCTCCAAATATCCACCTGCAGATTCTACCAAAAGTGTATTTGGAAACTGCTCCATCAAAAGGCATGTTCAGCTCTGTGAGTGAAACTCCATCATCACAAAGAATATTCTGAGAATGCTTCCGTTTGCCTTTTATATGAAGTTCCTTCCTATACGACCGTAGGCCTCAAAGCAGTCCAAATCTCCATTTGCAGATTCTACAAAAAGAGTGATTCCAATCTGCTCTATCAATAGGATTGTTCAACTCCATGAGTTGAATGCCATCCTCACAAAGTAGTTTCTGAGAATGCTTCTATCTAGTTTTTATGTGAAGATATTTCCTTTTCCACCACAGGCCTCAAAGCCCTCCAAACGTCCACTTGCAGATTCTCGAAAAAGAGTGTTTCATAGCTGCTCTTTCAAAAGGAAAGTTCACCTCTGGCAGTTGAATACAAACATCACAAAGTAGTTTCCGAGAATGCTTCTGTTTAGTTTTTATGTGAAGATGATCCCGTTTCCAGTGAAATCTTCAAAGAGGTCCACATATCCCCTTGCAGATTCCAAAGAAAGAGGGTTTCAAAACTGCTCCATCAGAAGGATTGTTCAACTCTGTGAGTTGAATGCAGTCATCGCAGAAAACTTTCTGAGAATGCTTCTGTCTAGGTTTGATGTGAAGATATAGCATGTTTCAAACGAAGGCTACAAAGTGGTCAAAATATACACTTGCAGATTCTACTACAAGGGTGTTGCAAACCTGAACTATCAAAGGAAGGTTCAACTCTGTGAGTTGAATACAAACATCACAAAGAATGTTCTGAGTTTGCTTCCGTTCAGTTATGGGAAGTTGATCCCGTTTCCAACGAAATCCTCAGAGAGGTCCAAATATCCCCTCGCAGATTCTACAAAACGTGTGTTTGGAAACTGCTCCATCATAACGAATGTTCAGCTCCCTGAGTTAAACTCCATCGTCACAAAGAATTTTCTGAGAGTGCTACCGTCTGGTTTTTATATGAAGTTCTTTCCTTCACTACCACAGGCCTCAAAGCGGTCCAAATCTCCACTTGCAGATTCTACAAAAAGAGTGTTTGCAAACTGCTCTATCAAAAGGAATGTTCAACTCTGGGAGTTGAATGCAATCATCACAGAGCAGTTTCTGAGAATGCTTCTATGTCGTTTTTAGGAGAAGATATTTCCTTTTCCAACACAGTCCTCCAAGCCCGCTAAATAGCCACTTGCACATTGTAGAAAAAGTGTGTCAAAGCTGTGCTATCAAAGGGAAAGTTCAACTCTGTGAGGTGAATGCAAACATCCCAAAGAAGTTTCTGAGAATGCTTCCGTTTAGCTTTTAGGTGAAGATTATCCCGTTTCCAACGAAACCTTCAAAGAGGTCCAAATATCCCCTTGCGGATCCCACAGAAAGAGTGTTTCGAAACTGCTGTTTCAAAAGGAATCTTCAACTCTGTGAGTTGAATGCAATCATCAAAAAGAAGTTTCTGACAATGCTTCTCTCTCGTCTTTCTGTGAAGATAAAGGAAAAGGCTTTCAGGCCTTTTCCACCACAGGCCTGAAAGCGCTCCAAATGTCCACTTGCAGATTCTGTGAAAAGAATATTGCAAAACTGCTCTATGAAAAGCAATGTTAAACTCTGTGGCTCGAACACAAACATCACAAAGCAGTTTCTGAGAATGCTTCAGTTTAGTTTTTCTGTGGAAATATTCCCGTTTCCAAAGAAATCTTCAAAGAGGTCCACGTGTCCACTTACAGATTCTACAAAAAGACAGTTTCAAAACTGCTCCATCAAAAGGAGGGTTCAACTGTGTGACTTGAATGCAATCATCACTCAGAAGTTTCTGAGAATGCTTCTCTTTAGTTTTTACGTGAACATATACCCGTTTCGAACGAAGGCCACCCAGTGGTCCAAATATCCACTTGCAGATTCTACAGAAAGAGTGTTTCGAACCTGAACTCTCAAAGGCAGGTTCATCTCTGCGAGTTAAATGCATTCATCATGAAGAACTTTCTCAGAGTGTTTGTGTTTAGTTATGGGAAATTATTCCCGTTTCCAACGAAATCCTCAGAGAGCTCCAAATATCCACCTGCAGATTCTACCAAAAGTGTATTTGGAAACTGCTCCATCAAAAGGCATGTTCAGCTCTGTGAGTGAAACTCCATCATCACAAAGAATATTCTGAGAATGCTTCCGTTTGCCTTTTATATGAAGTTCCTTCCTGTACTACCGTAGGCCTCAAAGCAGTCCAAATCTCCATTTGCAGATTCTATAAAAAGAGTGATTCCAATCTGCTCTATCAATAGGATTGTTCAACTCCATGAGTTGAATGCCATCCTCACAAAGTAGTTTCTGAGAATGCTTCTATCTGGTTTTTGTGTGAAGATATTTCCTTTTCCACCACAGGCCTCAAAGCCCTCCAAACGTCCACTTGCAGATTCTCGAAAAAGAGTGTTTCATAGCTGCTCTTTCAAAAGGAAAGTTCAACTCTGGGAGTTGAATACAAACATCACAAAGTAGTTTCCGAGAATGCTTCTGTTTAGTTTTTATGTGAAGATGATCGATCCCGTTTCCAGTGAAATCTTCAAAGAGGTCCACATATCCCCTTGCAGATTCCAAAGAAAGAGGGTTTCAAAACTGCTCCATCAGAAGGATTGTTCAACTCTGTGAGTTGAATGCAGTCATCGCAGAAAACTTTCTGAGAATGCTTCTGTCTAGGTTTGATGTGAAGATATAGACGTTTCAAACAAAGGCTACAAAGTGGTCAAAATATACACTTGCAGATTCTACTACAAGGGTGTTGCAAACCTGAACTATCAAAGGAAGGTTCAACTCTGTGAGTTGAATACAAACATCACAAAGAATGTTCTGAGTTTGCTTCCGTTCAGTTATGGGAAGTTGATCCCGTTTCCAACGAAATCCTCAGAGAGGTCCAAATATCCCCTCGCAGATTCTACAAAACGTGTGTTTGGAAACTGCTCCATCATAACGAATGTTCAGCTCCCTGAGTTAAACTCCATCGTCACAAAGAATTTTCTGAGAGTGCTACCGTCTGGTTTTTATATGAAGTTCTTTCCTTCACTACCACAGGCCTCAAAGCGGTCCAAATCTCCACTTGCAGATTCTACAAAAAGAGTGTTTGCAAACTGCTCTATCAAAAGGAATGTTCAACTCTGGGAGTTGAATGCAATCATCACAGAGCAGTTTCTGAGAATGCTTCTATGTCGTTTTTAGGAGAAGATATTTCCTTTTCCAACACAGACCTCCAAGCCCGCTAAAGATCCACTTGCACATTGTAGAAAAAGTGTGTCAAAGCTGCGCTATCAAAGGGAAAGTTCAACTCTGTGAGGTGAATGCAAACATCCCAAAGAAGTTTCTGAGAATGCTTCCGTTTAGCTTTTAGGTGAAGATTATCCCGTTTCCAATGAAACCTTCAAAGAGGTCCAAATATCCCCTTGCGGATCCCACAGAAAGAGTGTTTCGAAACTGCTGTTTCAAAAGGAATCTTCAACTCTGTGAGTTGAATGCAATCATCACAAAGAAGTTTCTGACAATGCTTCTCTCTCGTCTTTCTGTGAAGATAAAGGAAAAGGCTTTCAGGCCTTTTCCACCACAGGCCTGAAAGCGCTCCAAATGTCCACTTGCAGATTCTGCGAAAAGAATATTTCAAAACTGCTCTATGAAAAGCAATGTTAAACTCTGTGGCTCGAACACAAACATCACAAAGCGGTTTCTGAGAATGCTTCAGTTTAGTTTTTCTGTGGAAATATTCCCGTTTCCAAAGAAATCTTCAAAGAGGTCCACGTATCCACTTACAGATTCTACAAAAAGACAGTTTCAAAACTGCTCCATCAAAAGGAGGGTTCAACTGTGTGACTTGAATGCAATCATCACTCAGAAGTTTCTGAGAATGCTTCTCTTTAGTTTTTACGTGAACATATACCCGTTTCGAACGAAGGCCACCCAGTGGTCCAAATATCCACTTGCAGATTCTACAGAAAGAGTGTTTCGAACCTGAACTCTCAAAGGCAGGTTCATCTCTGCGAGTTAAATGCATTCATCATGAAGAACTTTCTCAGAGTGTTTGTGTTTAGTTATGGGAAATTATTCCCGTTTCCAACGAAATCCTCAGGGAGCTCCAAATATCCACCTGCAGATTCTACCAAAAGTGTATTTGGAAACTGCTCCATCAAAAGGCATGTTCAGCTCTGTGAGTGAAACTCCATCATCACAAAGAATATTCTGAGAATGCTTCCGTTTGCCTTTTATATGAAGTTCCTTCCTGTACTACTGTAGGCCTCAAAGCAGTCCAAATCTCCATTTGCAGATTCTACAAAAAGAGTGATTCCAATCTGCTCTATCAATAGGATTGTTCAACTCCATGAGTTGAATGCCATCCTCACAAAGTAGTTTCTGAGAATGCTTCTATCTGGTTTTTGTGTGAAGATATTTCCTTTTCCACCACAGGCCTCAAAGC
Organism: Homo sapiens; assembly: GCF_000001405.40. Classification (NCBI taxonomy): domain Eukaryota; kingdom Metazoa; phylum Chordata; class Mammalia; order Primates; family Hominidae; genus Homo; species Homo sapiens. Next base: position 59,079,472 of record NC_000023.11, on the reverse strand, counting down.
CCTCCAAACGTCCACTTGCAGATTCTCGAAAAAGAGTGTTTCATAGCTGCTCTTTCAAAAGGAAAGTTCAACTCTGGGAGTTGAATACAAACATCACAAAATAGTTTCCGAGAATGCTTCTGTTTAGTTTTTATGTGAAGATGATCCCGTTTCCAGTGAAATCTTCAAAGAGGTCCACATATCCCCTTGCAGATTCCAAAGAAAGAGGGTTTCAAAACTGCTCCATCAAAAGGATTGTTCAACTCTGTGAGTTGAATGCAGTCATCGCAGAAAACTTTCTGAGAATGCTTCTTTCTAGGTTTGATGTGAAGATATAGACGTTTCAAACGAAGGCTACAAAGTGGTCAAAATATACACTTGCAGATTCTACTACAAGGGTGTTGCAAACCTGAACTATCAAAGGAAGGTTCAACTCTGTGAGTTGAATACAAACATCACAAAGAATGTTCTGAGTTTGCTTCCGTTCAGTTATGGGAAGCTGATCCCGTTTCCAACGAAATCCTCAGAGAGGTCCAAATATCCCCTTGCAGATTCTACAAAACGTGTGTTTGGAAACTGCTCCATCATAACGAATGTTCAGCTCCCTGAGTTAAACTCCATCGTCACAAAGAATTTTCTGAGAGTGCTACCGTCTGGTTTTTATATGAAGTTCTTTCCTTCACTACCACTGGCCTCAAAGCGGTCCAAATCTCCACTTGCAGATTCTACAAAAAGAGTGTTTGCAAACTGCTCTATCAAAAGGAATGTTCAACTCTGGGAGTTGAATGCAATCATCACAGAGCAGTTTCTGAGAATGCTTCTATGTCGTTTTTAGGAGAAGATATTTCCTTTTCCAACACAGTCCTCCAAGCCCGCTAAATAGCCACTTGCACATTGTAGAAAAAGTGTGTCAAAGCTGCGCTATCAAAGGGAAAGTTCAACTCTGTGAGGTGAATGCAAACATCCCAAAGAAGTTTCTGAGAATGCTTCCGTTTAGCTTTTAGGTGAAGATTATCCCGTTTCCAACGAAACCTTCAAAGAGGTCCAAATATCCCCTTGCGGATCCCACAGAAAGAGTGTTTCGAAACTGCTGTTTCAAAAGGAATCTTCAACTCTGTGAGTTGAATGCAATCATCACAAAGAAGTTTCTGACAATGCTTCTCTCTCGTCTTTCTGTGAAGATAAAGGAAAAGGCTTTCAGGCCTTTTCCACCACAGGCCTGAAAGCGCTCCAAATGTCCACTTGCAGATTCTGCGAAAAGAATATTTCAAAACTGCTCTATGAAAAGCAATGTTAAACTCTGTGGCTCGAACACAAACATCACAAAGCGGTTTCTGAGAATGCTTCAGTTTAGTTTTTCTGTGGAAATATTCCCGTTTCCAAAGAAATCTTCAAAGAGGTCCACGTATCCACTTACAGATTCTACAAAAAGACAGTTTCAAAACTGCTCCATCAAAAGGAGGGTTCAACCGTGTGACTTGAATGCAATCATCACTCAGAAGTTTCTGAGAATGCTTCTCTTTAGTTTTTACGTGAACATATACCCGTTTCGAACGAAGGCCACCCAGTGGTCCAAATATCCACTTGCAGATTATACAGAAAGAGTGTTTGAAACCTGAACTCTCAAAGGCAGGTTCATCTCTGCGAGTTAAATGCATTCATCATGAAGAACTTTCTCAGAGTGTTTGTGTTTAGTTATGGGAAATTATTCCCGTTTCCAAAGAAATCCTCAGAGAGCTCCAAATATCCACCTGCAGATTCTACCAAAAGTGTATTTGGAAACTGCTCCATCAAAAGGCATGTTCAGCTCTGTGAGTGAAACTCCATCATCACAAAGAATATTCTGAGAATGCTTCCGTTTGCCTTTTATATGAAGTTCCTTCCTGTACTACCGTAGGCCTCAAAGCAGTCCAAATCTCCATTTGCAGATTCTACAAAAAGAGTGATTCCAATCTGCTCTATCAATAGGATTGTTCAACTCCATGAGTTGAATGCCATCCTCACAAAGCAGTTTCTGAGAATGCTTCTATCTGGTTTTTATGTGAAGATATTTCCTTTTCCACCACAGGCCTCAAAGCCCTCCAAACGTCCACTTGCAGATTCTCGAAAAAGAGTGTTTCATAGCTGCTCTTTCAAAAGGAAAGTTCAACTCTGGGAGTTGAATACAAACATCACAAAGTAGTTTCCGAGAATGCTTCTGTTTAGTTTTTATGTGAAGATGATCCCGTTTCCAGTGAAATCTTCAAAGAGGTCCACATATCCCCTTGCAGATTCCAAAGAAAGAGGGTTTCAAAACTGCTCCATCAGAAGGATTGTTCAACTCTGTGAGTTGAATGCAGTCATCGCAGAAAACTTTCTGAGAATGCTTCTGTCTAGGTTTGATGTGAAGATATAGACGTTTCAAACGAAGGCTACAAAGTGGTCAAAATATACACTTGCAGATTCTACTACAAGGGTGTTGCAAACCTGAACTATCAAAGGAAGGTTCAACTCTGTGAGTTGAATACAAACATCACAAAGAATGTTCTGAGTTTGCTTCCGTTCAGTTATGGGAAGTTGATCCCATTTCCAACGAAATCCTCAGAGAGGTCCAAATATCCCTTTGCAGATTCTACAAAATGTGTGTTTGGAAACTGCTCCATCATAACGAATGTTCAGCTCTCTGAGTTAAACTCTATCGTCACAAAGAATTTTACTGAGAGTGCTACCGTCTGGTTTTTATATGAAGTTCTTTCCTTCACTACCACAGGCCTCAAAGCGGTCCAAATCTCCACTTGCAGATTCTACAAAAAGAGTGTTTGCAAACTGCTCTATCAAAAGGAATGTTCAACTCTGGGAGTTGAATGCAATCATCACAGAGCAGTTTCTGAGAATGCTTCTATGTCGTTTTTAGGAGAAGATATTTCCTTTTCCAACACAGTCCTCCAAGCCCGCTAAATAGCCACTTGCACATTGTAGAAAAAGTGTGTCAAAGCTGCGCTATCAAAGGGAAAGTTCAACTCTGTGAGGTGAATGCAAACATCCCAAAGAAGTTTCTGAGAATGCTTCCGTTTAGCTTTTAGGTGAGGATTATCCCGTTTCCAACGAAACCTTCAAAGAGGTCCAAATATCCCCTTGCGGATCCCACAGAAAGAGTGTTTCGAAACTGCTGTTTCAAAAGGAATCTTCAACTCTGTGAGTTGAATGCAATCATCACAAAGAAGTTTCTGACAATGCTTCTCTCTCGTCTTTCTGTGAACATAAAGGAAAAGGCGTTCAGGCCTTTGCCACCACAGGCCTGAAAGCGCTCCAAATGTCCACTTGCAGATTCTGCCAAAAGAATATTTCAAAACTGCTTTGTGAAAAGCAATGTTAAACTCTGTGGCTCGAACACAAACATCACAAAGCGGTTTCTGAGAATGCTTCAGTTTAGTTTTTCTGTGGAAATATTCCCGTTTCCAAAGAAATCTTCAAAGAGGTCCACGTATCCACTTACAGATTCTACAAAAAGACAGTTTCAAAACTGCTCCATCAAAAGGAGGGTTCAACTGTGTGACTTGAATGCAATCATCACTCAGAAGTTTCTGAGAATGCTTCTCTTTAGTTTTTACGTGAACATATACCCGTTTCGAACGAAGGCCAGCCAGTGGTCCAAATATCCACTTGCAGATTCTACAGAAAGAGTGTTTCGAACCTGAACTCTCAAAGGCAGGTTCATCTCTGCGAGTTAAATGCATTCATCATGAAGAACTTTCTCAGAGTGTTTGTGTTTAGTTATGGGAAATTATTCCCGTTTCCAACGAAATCCTCAGAGAGCTCCAAATATCCACCTGCAGATTCTACCAAAAGTGTATTTGGAAACTGCTCCATCAAAAGGCATGTTCAGCTCTGTGAGTGAAACTCCATCATCACAAAGAATATTCTGAGAATGCTTCCGTTTGCCTTTTATATGAAGTTCCTTCCTATACGACCTTAGGCCTCAAAGCAGTCCAAATCTCCATTTGCAGATTCTACAAAAAGAGTGATTCCAATCTGCTCTATCAATAGGATTGTTCAACTCCATGAGTTGAATGCCATCCTCACAAAGTCGTTTCTGAGAATGCTTCTATCTAGTTTTTATGTGAAGATATTTCCTTTTCCACCACAGGCCTCAAAGCCCTCCAAACGTCCACTTGCAGATTCTCGAAAAAGAGTGTTTCATAGCTGCTCTTTCAAAAGGAAAGTTCAACTCTGGGAGTTGAATACAAACATCACAAAGTAGTTTCTGAGAATGCTTCTGTTTAGTTTTTATGTGAAGATGATCCCGTTTCCAGTGAAATCTTCAAAGAGGTCCACATATCCCCTTGCAGATTCCAAAGAAAGAGGGTTTCAAAACTGCTCCATCAGAAGGATTGTTCAACTCTGTGAGTTGAATGCAGTCATCGCAGAAAACTTTCTGAGAATGCTTCTGTCTAGGTTTGATGTGAAGATATAGACGTTTCAAACGAAGGCTACAAAGTGGTCAAAATATACACTTGCAGATTCTACTACAAGGGTGTTGCAAACCTGAACTATCAAAGGAAGGTTCAACTCTGTGAGTTGAATACAAACATCACAAAGAATGTTCTGAGTTTGCTTCCGTTCAGTTATGGGAAGTTGATCCCGTTTCCAACGAAATCCTCAGAGAGGTCCAAATATCCCCTTGCAGATTCTACAAAACGTGTGTTTGGAAACTGCTCCATCATAACGAATGTTCAGCTCCCTGAGTTAAACTCCATCGTCACAAAGAATTTTCTGAGAGTGCTACCGTCTGGTTTTTATATGAAGTTCTTTCCTTCACTACCACAGGCCTCAAAGCGGTCCAAATCTCCACTTGCAGATTCTACAAAAAGAGTGTTTGCAAACTGCTCTATCAAAAGGAATGTTCAACTCTGGGAGTTGAATGCAATCATCACAGAGCAGTTTCTGAGAATGCTTCTATGTCGTTTTTAGAAGATATTTCCTTTTCCAACACAGTCCTCCAAGCCCGCTAAATAGCCACTTGCACATTGTAGAAAAAGTGTGTCAAAGCTGCGCTATCAAAGGGAAAGTTCAACTCTGTGAGGTGAATGCAAACATCCCAAAGAAGTTTCTGAGAATGCTTCCGTTTAGCTTTTAGGTGAAGATTATCCCGTTTCCAACGAAACCTTCAAAGAGGTCCAAATATCCCCTTGCGGATCCCACAGAAAGAGTGTTTCGAAACTGCTGTTTCAAAAGGAATCTTCAACTCTGTGAGTTGAATGCAATCATCACAAAGAAGTTTCTGACAATGCTTCTCTCTCGTCTTTCTGTGAAGATAAAGGAAAAGGCTTTCAGGCCTTTTCCAACCACAGGCCTGAAAGCGCTCCAAATGTCCACTTGCAGATTCTGCGAAAAGAATATTTCAAAACTGCTCTATGAAAAGCAATGTTAAACTCTGTGGCTCGAACACAAACATCACAAAGCAGTTTCTGAGAATGCTTCAGTTTAGTTTTTCTGTGGAAATATTCCCGTTTCCAAAGAAATCTTCAAAGAGGTCCACGTATCCACTTACAGATTCTACAAAAAGACAGTTTCAAAACTGCTCCATCAAAAGGAGGGTTCAACTGTGTGACTTGAATGCAATCATCACTCAGAAGTTTCTGAGAATGCTTCTCTTTAGTTTTTACGTGAACATATACCCGTTTCGAACGAAGGCCACCCAGTGGTCCAAATGTCCACTTGCAGATTCTACAGAAAGAGTGTTTCGAACCTGAACTCTCAAAGGCAGGTTCATCTCTGCGAGTTAAATGCATTCATCATGAAGAACTTTCTCAGCGTGTTTGTGTTTAGTTATGGGAAATTATTCCCGTTCCCAACGAAATCCTCAGAGAGGTCCAAATGTCCACCTGCAGATTCTACCAAAAGTGTATTTGGAAACTGCTCCATCAACAGGCATGTTCAGCTCTGTGAGTGAAACTCCATCATCACAAAGAATATTCTGAGAATGCTTCCGTTTGCCTTTTATATGAAGTTCCTTCCTATACGACCGTAGGCCTCAAAGCAGTCCAAATCTCCATTTGCAGATTCTACAAAAAGAGTGATTCCAATACAAAAAGAGTGATTCCAATCTGCTCTATCAATAGGATTGTTCAACTCCATGAGTTGAATGCCATCCTCACAAAGTCGTTTCTGAGAATGCTTCTATCTAGTTTTTATGTGAAGATATTTCCTTTTCCACCACAGGCCTCAAAGCCCTCCAAACGTCCACTTGCAGATTCTCGAAAAAGAGTGTTTCATAGCTGCTCTTTCAAAAGGAAAGTTCAACTCTGGGAGTTGAATACAAACATCACAAAGTAGTTTCCGAGAATGCTTCTGTTTAGTTCTTATGTGAAGATGATCCCGTTTCCAGTGAAATCTTCAAAGAGGTCCACATATCCCCTTGCAGATTCCAAAGAAAGAGGGTTTCAAAACTGCTCCATCAAAAGGATTGTTCAACTCTGTGAGTTGAATGCAGTCATCGCAGAAAACTTTCTGAGAATGCTTCTGTCTAGGTTTGAGGTGAAGATATAGACGTTTCAAACGAAGGCTACAAAGTGGTCAAAATATACACTTGCAGATTCTACTACAAGGGTGTTGCAAACTTCAACTATCAAAGGAAGGTTCAACTCTGTGAGTTGAATACAAACATCACAAAGAATGTTCTGAGTTTGCTTCCGTTCAGTTATGGGAAGTTGATCCCGTTTCCAACGAAATCCTCAGAGAGGTCCAAATATCCCCTTGCAGATTCTACGAAACGTGTGTTTGGAAACTGCTCCATCATAACGAATGTTCAGCTCTCTGAGTTAAACTCCATCGTCACAAAGAATTTTCTGAGAGTGCTACCGTCTGGTTTTTATATGAAGTTCTTTCCTTTACTACCACAGGCCTCAAAGCGGTCCAAATCTCCACTTGCAGATTCTACAAAAACAGTGTTTGCAAACTGCTCTATCAAAAGGAATGTTCAACTCTGGGAGTTGAATGCAATCATCACAGAGCAGTTTCTGAGAATGCTTCTATGTCGTTTTTAGGAGAAGATATTTCCTTTTCCAACACAGTCCTCCAAGCCCGCTAAATGTCCACTTGCACACTTTAGAAAAAGTGTGTCGAAGCTGCGCTATCAAAGGGAAAGTTCAACTCTGTGAGGTGAATGCAAACATCCCAAAGAAGTTTCTGAGAATGCTTCCGTTTAGCTTTTAGGTGAAGATTATCCCGTTTCCAACGAAACCTTCAAAGAGGTCCAAATATCCCCTTGCGGATCCCACAGAAAGAGTGTTTCGAAACTGCTGTTTCAAAAGGAATCTTCAACTCTGTGAGTTGAATGCAATCATCACAAAGAAGTTTCTGACAATGCTTCTCTCTCGTCTTTCTGTGAAGATAAAGGAAAAGGCTTTCAGGCCTTTTCCCACCACAGGCCTGAAAGCGCTCCAAATGTCCACTTGCAGATTCTGCCAAAAGAATATTTCAAAACTGCTCTATGAAAAGCAATGTTAAACTCTGTGGCTGGAACACAAACATCACAAAGCGGTTTCTGAGAATGTTTCAGTTTAGTTTTTCTGTGGAAATATTCCCGTTTCCAAAGAAATCTTCAAAGAGGTCCACGTATCCACTTACAGATTCTACAAAAAGACAGTTTCAAAACTGCTCCATCAAAAGGAGGGTTCAACTGTGTGACTTGAATGCAATCATCACTCAGAAGTTTCTGAGAATGCTTCTCTTTAGTTTTTACGTGAACATATACCCGTTTCGAACGAAGGCCACCCAGTGGTCCAAATATCCACTTGCAGATTATACAGAAAGAGTGTTTCGAACCTGAACTCTCAAAGGAAGGTTCATCTCTGCGAGTTAAATGCATTCATCATGAAGAACTTTCTCAGAGTGTTTGTGTTTAGTTATGGGAAATTATTCCCGTTTCCAACGAAATCCTCAGAGAGCTCCAAATATCCACCTGCAGATTCTACCAAAAGTGTATTTGGAAACTGCTCCATCAAAAGGCATGTTCAGCTCTGTCAGTGAAACTCCATCATCACAAAGAATATTCTGAGAATGCTTCCGTTTGTCTTTTATATGAAGTTCCTTCCTGTACTACCGTAGGCCTCAAAGCAGTCCAAATCTCCATTTGCAGATTCTACAAAAAGAGTGATTCCAATCTGCTCTATCAATAGGATTGTTCAACTCCATGAGTTGAATGCCATCCTCACAAAGTAGTTTCTGAGAATGCTTCTATCTGGTTTTTGTGTGAAGATATTTCCTTTTCCACCACAGGCCTCAAAGCCCTCCAAACGTCCACTTGCAGATTCTCGAAAAAGAGTGTTTCATAGCTGCTCTTTCAAAAGGAAAGTTCAACTCTGGGAGTTGAATACAAACATCACAAAATAGTTTCCGAGAATGCTTCAGTTTAGTTTTTATGTGAAGATGATCCCGTTTCCAGTGAAATCTTCAAAGAGGTCCACATATCCCCTTGCAGATTCCAAAGAAAGAGGGTTTCAAAACTGCTCCATCAGAAGGATTGTTCAACTCTGTGAGTTGAATGCAGTCATCGCAGAAAACTTTCTGAGAATGCTTCTGTCTAGGTTTGATGTGAAGATATAGACGTTTCAAACGAAGGCTACAAAGTGGTCAAAATATACACTTGCAGATTCTACTACAAGGGTGTTGCAAACCTGAACTATCAAAGGAAGGTTCAACTCTGTGAGTTGAATACAAACATCACAAAGAATGTTCTGAGTTTGCTTCCGTTCAGTTATGGGAAGTTGATCCCGTTTCCAACGAAATCCTCAGAGAGGTCCAAATATCCCCTCGCAGATTCTACAAAACATGTGTTTGGAAACTGCTCCATCATAACGAATGTTCAGCTCCCTGAGTTAAACTCCATCGTCACAAAGAATTTTCTGAGAGTGCTACCGTCTGGTTTTTATATGAAGTTCTTTCCTTCACTACCACAGGCCTCAAAGCGGTCCAAATCTCCACTTGCAGATTCTACAAAAAGAGTGTTTGCAAACTGCTCTATCAAAAGGAATGTTCAACTCTGGGAGTTGAATGCAATCATCACAGAGCAGTTTCTGAGAATGCTTCTATGTCGTTTTTAGGAGAAGATATTTCCTTTTCCAACACAGTCCTCCAAGCCCGCTAAATAGCCACTTGCACATTGTAGAAAAAGTGTGTCGAAGCTGCGCTATCAAAGGGAAAGTTCAACTCTGTGAGGTGAATGCAAACATCCCAAAGAAGTTTCTGAGAATGCTTCCGTTTAGCTTTTAGGTGAAGATTATCCCGTTTCCAACGAAACCTTCAAAGAGGTCCAAATATCCCCTTGCGGATCCCACAGAAAGAGTGTTTCGAAACTGCTGTTTCAAAAGGAATCTTCAACTCTGTGAGTTGAATGCAATCATCACAAAGAAGTTTCTGACAATGCTTTCTCTCTCGTCTTTCTGTGAAGATAAAGGAAAAGGCTTTCAGGCCTTTTCCACCACAGGCCTGAAAGCGCTCCAAATGTCCACTTGCAGATTCTGCGAAAAGAATATTTCAAAACTACTCTATGAAAAGCAATGTTAAACTCTGTGGCTGGAACACAAACATCACAAAGCGGTTTCTGAGAATGCTTCAGTTTAGTTTTTCTGTGGAAATATTCCCGTTTCCAAAGAAATCTTCAAAGAGGTCCACGTATCCACTTACAGATTCTACAAAAAGACAGTTTCAAAACTGCTCCATCAAAAGGAGGGTTCAACCGTGTGACTTGAATGCAATCATCACTCAGAAGTTTCTGAGAATGCTTTCTCTTTAGTTTTTACATGAACATATACCCGTTTCGAACGAAGGCCAGCCAGTGGTCCAAATATCCACTTGCAGATTCTACAGAAAGAGTGTTTCGAACCTGAACTCTCAAAGGCAGGTTCATCTCTGCAAGTTCAATGCATTCATCATGAAGAACTTTCTCAGCGTGTTTGTGTTTAGTTATGGGAAATTATTCCCGTTTCCAACGAAATCCTCAGAGAGGTCCAAATATCCACCTGCAGATTCTACCAAAAGTGTATTTGGAAACTGCTCCATCAAAAGGCATGTTCAGCTCTGTGAGTGAAACTCCATCATCACAAAGAATATTCTGAAAATGCTTCCGTTTGCCTTTTTATGAAGTTCCTTCCTATACTACCGTAGGCCTCAAAGCAGTCCAAATCTCCATTTGCAGATTCTACAAAAAGAGTGATTCCAATCTGCTCTATCAATAGGATTGTTCAACTCCATGAGTTGAATGCCATCGTCACAAAGTAGTTTCTGAGAATGCTTCTATCTAGTTTTTATGTGAAGATATTTCCTTTTCCACCACAGGCCTCAAAGCCCTCCAAACGTCCACTTGCAGATTCTCGAAAAAGAGTGTTTCATAGCTGCTCTTTCAAAAGGAAAGTTCAACTCTGGGAGTTGAATACAAACATCACAAAGTAGTTTCCGAGAATGCTTCTGTTTAGTTTTTATGTGAAGATGATCCCGTTTCCAGTGAAATCTTCAAAGAGGTCCACATATCCCCTTGCAGATTCCAAAGAAAGAGGGTTTCAAAACTGCTCCATCAGAAGGATTGTTCAACTCTGTGAGTTGAATGCAGTCATCGCAGAAAACTTTCTGAGAATGCTTCTGTCTAGGTTTGATGTGAAGATATAGACGTTTCAAACGAAGGCTACAAAGTGGTCAAAATATACACTTGCAGATTCTACTACAAGGGTGTTGCAAACCTGAACTATCAAAGGAAGGTTCAACTCTGTGAATTGAATACAAACATCACAAAGAATGTTCTGAGTTTGCTTCCGTTCAGTTATGGGAAGTTGATCCCGTTTCCAACGAAATCCTCAGAGAGGTCCAAATATCCCCTTGCAGATTCTACAAAACGTGTGTTTGGAAACTGCTCCATCATAACGAATGTTCAGCTCCCTGAGTTAAACTCCATCGTCACAAAGAATTTTCTGAGAGTGCTACCGTCTGGTTTTTATATGAAGTTCTTTCCTTCACTACCACAGGCCTCAAAGCGGTCCAAATCTCCACTTGCAGATTCTACAAAAAGAGTGTTTGCAAACTGCTCTATCAAAAGGAATGTTCAACTCTGGGAGTTGAATGCAATCATCACAGAGCAGTTTCTGAGAATGCTTCTATGTCGTTTTTAGGAGAAGATATTTCCTTTTCCAACACAGTCCTCCAAGCCCGCTAAATATCCACTTGCACATTGTAGAAAAAGTGTGTCAAAGCTGCGCTATCAAAGGGAAAGTTCAACTCTGTGAGGTGAATGCAAACATCCCAAAGAAGTTTCTGAGAATGCTTCCGTTTAGCTTTTAGGTGAAGATTATCCCGTTTCCAACGAAATCTTCAAAGAGTTCCAAATATCCCCTTGCGGATCCCACAGAAAGAGTGTTTCGAAACTGCTGTTTCAAAAGGAATCTTCAACTCTGTGAGTTGAATGCAATCATCACAAAGAAGTTTCTGACAATGCTTCTCTCTCGTCTTTCTGTGAAGATAAAGGAAAAGGCTTTCAGGCCTTTTCCACCACAGGCCTGAAAGCGCTCCAAATGTCCACTTGCAGATTCTGCCAAAAGAATATTTCAAAACTGCTCTATGAAAAGCAATGTTAAACTCTGCGGCTCGAACACAAACATCACAAAGCAGTTTCTGAGAATGCTTCAGTTTAGTTTTTCTGTGGAAATATTCCCGTTTCCAAAGAAATCTTCAAAGAGGTCCACGTATCCACTTACAGATTCTACAAAAAGACAGTTTCAAAACTGGTCAATCAAAAGGAGGGTTCAACTGTGTGACTTGAATGCAATCATCACTCAGAAGTTTCTGAGAACGCTTCTCTTTAGTTTTTACGTGAACATATACCCGTTTCGAACGAAGGCCAGCCAGTGGTCCAAATATCCACTTGCAGATTCTACAGAAAGAGTGTTTCGAACATGAACTCTCAAAGGCAGGTTCATACTCTGCGAGTTAAATGCATTCATCATGAAGAACTTTCTCAGAGTGTTTGTGTTTAGTTATGGGAAATTATTCCCGTTACCAACGAAATCCTCAGAGAGCTCCAAATATCCACCTGCAGATTCTACCAAAAGTGTATTTGGAAACTGCTCCATCAAAAGGTATGTTCAGCTCTGTGAGTGAAACTCCATCATCACAAAGAATATTCTGAGAATGCTTCCGTTTGCCTTTTATATGAAGTTCCTTCCTATACGACCGTAGGCCTCAAAGCAGTCCAAATCTCCATTTGCAGATTCTACAAAAAGAGTGATTCCAATCTGCTCTATCAATAGGATTGTTCAACTCCATGAGTTGAATGCCATGCTCACAAAGTCGTTTCTGAGAATGCTTCTATCTAGTTTTTATGTGAAGATATTTCCTTTTCCACCACAGGCCTCAAAGCCCTCCAAACGTCCACTTGCAGATTCTCGAAAAAGTGTGTTTCATAGCTGCTCTTTCAAAAGGAAAGTTCAACTCTGGGAGCTGAATACAAACATCACAAAGTAGTTTCCGAGAATGCTTCTGTTTAGTTCTTATGTGAAGATGATCCCGTTTCCAGTGAAATCTTCAAAGAGGTCCACATATCCCCTTGCAGATTCCAAAGAAAGAGGGTTTCAAAACTGCTCCATCAAAAGGATTGTTCAACTCTGTGAGTTGAATGCAGTCATCGCAGAAAACTTTCTGAGAATGCTTCTGTCTAGGTTTGATGTGAAGATATAGACGTTTCAAACGAAGGCTACAAAGTGGTCAAAATATACACTTGCAGATTCTACTACAAGGGTGATGCAAACCTGAACTATCAAAGGAAGGTTCAACTCTGTGAGTTGAATACAAACATCACAAAGAATGTTCTGAGTTTGCTTCCGTTCATTTATGGGAAGTTGATCCCTTTTCCAACGAAATCCTCAGAGAGGTCCAAATATCCCCTCGCAGATTCTACAAAACGTGTGTTTGGAAACTGCTCCATCATAACGAATGTTCAGCTCCCTGAGTTAAACTCCATCGTCACAAAGAATTTTCTGAGAGTGCTACCGTCTGGTTTTTATATGAAGTTCTTTCCTTCACTACCACAGGCCTCAAAGCGGTCCAAATCTCCACTTGCAGATTCTACAAAAAGAGTGTTTGCAAACTGCTCTATCAAAAGGAATGTTCAACTCTGGGAGTTGAATGCAATCATCACAGAGCAGTTTCTGAGAATGCTTCTATGTCGTTTTTAGAAGATATTTCCTTTTCCAACACAGTCCTCCAAGCCCGCTAAATAGCCACTTGCACATTGTAGAAAAAGTGTGTCAAAGCTGCGCTATCAAAGGGAAAGTTCAACTCTGTGAGGTGAATGCAAACATCCCAAAGAAGTTTCTGAGAATGCTTCCGTTTAGCTTTTAGGTGAAGATTATCCCGTTTCCAACGAAACCTTCAAAGAGGTCCAAATATCCCCTTGCGGATCCCACAGAAAGAGTGTTTCGAAACTGCTGTTTCAAAAGGAATCTTCAACTCTGTGAGTTGAATGCAATCATCACAAAGAAGTTTCTGACAATGCTTCTCTCTCGTCTTTCTGTGAAGATAAAGGAAAAGGCTTTCAGGCCTTTGCCACCACAGGCCTGAAAGCGCTCCAAATGTCCACTTGCAGATTCTGCGAAAAGAATATTTCAAAACTGCTCTATGAAAAGCAATGTTAAACTCTGTGGCTCGAACACAAACATCACAAAGCAGTTTCTGAGAATGCTTCAGTTTAGTTTTTCTGTGGAAATATTCCCGTTTCCAAAGAAATCTTCAAAGAGGTCCACGTATCCACTTACAGATTCTACAAAAAGACAGTTTCAAAACTGCTCCATCAAAAGGAGGGTTCAACCGTGTGACTTGAATGCAATCATCACTCAGAAGTTTCTGAGAATGCTTCTCTTTAGTTTTTACGTGAACATATACCCGTTTCGAACGAAGGCCAGCCAGTGGTCCAAATATCCACTTGCAGATTCTACAGAAAGAGTGTTTCGAACCTGAACTCTCAAAGGCAGGTTCATCTCTGCGAGTTAAATGCATTCATCATGAAGAACTTTCTCAGAGTGTTTGTGTTTAGTTATGGGAAATTATTCCCGTTTCCAACGAAATCCTCAGAGAGCTCCAAATATCCACCTGCAGATTCTACCAAAAGTGTATTTGGAAACTGCTCCCATCTCAAAAGGCATGTTCAGCTCTGTGAGTGAAACTCCATCATCACAAAGAATATTCTGAGAATGCTTCCGTTTGCCTTTTATATGAAGTTCCTTCCTATACGACCGTAGGCCTCAAAGCAGTCCAAATCTCCATTTGCAGATTCTACAAAAAGAGTGATTCCAATCTGCTCTATCAATAGGATTGTACAACTCCATGAGTTGAATGCCATCCTCACAAAGTCGTTTCTGAGAATGCTTCTATCTACTTTTTATGTGAAGATATTTCCTTTTCCACCACAGGCCTCAAATCCCTCCAAACGTCCACTTGCAGATTCTCGAAAAAGAGTGTTTCATAGCTGCTCTTTCAAAAGGAAAGTTCAACTCTGGGAGTTGAATACAAACATCACAAAGTAGTTTCCGAGAATGCT